>NT_187562.1:370523-741046 GCF_000001405.40 Homo sapiens
TCTAACAAGAAATTCATATTTCACTTTCTTTTCAGGAGAGAAGAAAAAAGCAGAAAGCAGCTGGGAAGCTTTAGCCTGCTTGAGTGATCTGGGATTCTCAAGTAGCATACATAACATCACCTTGGCTTTGGTTCCTTTAGATACCAAGCATGTGATCTGTGGAGGACAAGAAAATCCATTTTTTTTTGTTATAAAGTTATAAACACACAAGAGAACAATCCAGTTAGGGAGAATGTTAATAAATACAACAAACTCTGCCATTAGACCTGAAGATAATCAGCTAGTAGAATTATCAAAGAGATTGTAAGACTCTTACTGAGTACCTGTTTGAGGTCCTCTGAGGATAGATGAAGGAAGGAACTTAATTCTTACCATCACTGTGGCTTGGATTAGAATCCATGAGTTCCTTAACTTGTTTTTCTTGTAAAATATTATAAAATAATATAGAACACACATTTTATTTTCCTGTAGCCTGTAGTCCTCTTTAGCACCTAAAGGGAGAAGCGCATATCCCGGTGCAAAAGGGAGCTGGTTGCTTGCTTGGCAAAAAAATGAATTCACCAATTGGCCAATCTGCTGAAAGTCAAAATGAAAGGCTAATGTATGAGACTGATGACAGTTCATGGTTCTTGGTATAACTTCAACAGCGAGTGAACATTTTTTTCTTTGTCTATAGCTTTCTTTCAGCCATCGATCCTCAGTTGTGTCTTAGCCTCTTATCAGTCCAGCTCACTTTGATACTAAATTTGATTGTTGTGTATCTCAGCAAGAAGCACGTCTCACATTCTCTGTATTTTATGTGGTCATGAGTGTGTTCCTGTCTTATTCTTATTTTATGTGGTGCATTTTTAAATAGGACTGTACAGAATACAAGCATCTATTTGTATATGACTCTCATCTTTTATGGGGAGAGGTCAGAGTAGGTGAGCGTGCACTTTGATTCTCTGCTGGAATCTCTTTGGATTCTATGTCCCCTGTCACATGGTTTATTTTCATATGCATATTTCTCATGGTTCTCCTGACTCTTTTAGCAATGCTCATTGCAGGATATTAGAAATTGTATTACTTCTAATGGCAGAATGTTAGAAATTGTGTTGACTCTTAAGGCAAAATAAAATACCCGGACTCACCTTTCCATTGCTGTGTCTATTAGTCGTGGTCCTGGAGATATCAAGGAGGGACAAAAGGAGTATTTGCAAAGGTGTGGCAGGGTTAAGGGAACCCAGTAAGAGAAGTAGAAGTAGCCTAAGAACAGCAGAATCTGTGGCTCTTATTCACATTGGCCTGAAATAAGTAGGAGAGGATGTGGATCCCAAAGCATCAGGTACTGTAGCTCTAAGGCAAGGCTGCCTATAAGGTGCTGTGGACTTTGGTAGGGAAAAGTAACCTATATAAAATAATGAAGCAAGAGGAGAGCCAGGGCATAGATGAATCAGAACAAGTGGTGCCCCTACCTCCCTCTACTCTCCTGCCATTGTCTCCCATTAGCCAAACTCACTCTGGAGTTAGAGAAGAAGAGAGCCAGTTAACATAATACACTGAGGTCAGCCTCTGAAGGCAGGGTGGATCTGGAGAAATTAACGTAAATTATCCAGATCACTACGCATAAGATGGCCTTGAGGGTGCTGAATCCCAAACTGTCTGGCTAGGTCTGTGCTGTGAGCTGATAAAGCCCTAGTGTTATTTCTGGGGAATCTGTACTCTTAATAATTTACAGACAACCAAGGTCTGCTTTGGATCTGATCAGATAGACTAAATCTTGGGGACTTTGCACCACTGGCCACTCAAGGGAGGGGCTGGAAATATTTTCTGAGGACAAAAAAATAGAATTAGAAAATTTGGTTGAATCTAGCGTCAGAGAGATGACATTAGGACAGCCAGGGAGAGCTGGAACAAGAAGGTTTAATCACAGGCTCCTCACCCTCTGCTGATGGGCAGGTGTGTGAGCTCCAGCATGGAGCACGACAGCACTAGGTGGGAGGAGGGTGAGAGGGTGATGGGGCAGCCTGGGAGCTGGAGCAGTGTAGGCAGAGGAGCAACTGTCTCATCACAGAAGCTTCTGCCCTCACCCAACCCTTCTGCTGGACAGGGAGGGAGTTCAGGTTGTGGGGAGTACTGGACCTCAGGAAGCATTTATAGGGAGGACACAGGACAGTGACATCACAGGATATCCCACCCATCAGGAAAATCAAGGCCCAGAACTCACTTGGCCCTTCCCCAGGAGGACCAAGCCCTGAATCAGATGCAGTGCTGCCTGCCCCACTGTGCCATGGGCCCCGGGCTCCTCTGCTGGGAACTGCTTTATCTCCTGGGAGCAGATGAGTCCTGTGCACAGAACAGCAGCCCCATTCTCAGATTTCCCACCCCTGTGTCCTCCACTTTACACTGGGGAGGACCTCCAGGCTGTCTGCTGTGCTCATCCTCCATCTGCTTTTCCCACAGGCCCAGTGGAGGCTGGAGTCACCCAAAGTCCCACACACCTGATCAAAACGAGAGGACAGCAAGTGACTCTGAGATGCTCTCCTATCTCTGGGCACAGCAGTGTGTCCTGGTACCAACAGGCCCCGGGTCAGGGGCCCCAGTTTATCTTTGAATATGCTAATGAGTTAAGGAGATCAGAAGGAAACTTCCCTAATCGATTCTCAGGGCGCCAGTTCCATGACTGTTGCTCTGAGATGAATGTGAGTGCCTTGGAGCTGGGGGACTCGGCCCTGTATCTCTGTGCCAGAAGCTTGGCACAGCCCTGCAGAGTCACTGGAACTCTGTGCACTAATCTCTCTGCTTCCGTGTACAGCAGTCTCAGACCAGACAGCTGTGAGAACCTGGGGCCTTCAGGGGGAAAGATAAACAATTTCAGGACTCTGAACAAGGCTGGCGGAAACAAGGCCAGGAGGATATGCTCAGAGGATGGTGCTGCTTCAGGAGGTTCACGGCAAAATTACTTTCTTTGTCGGATGCTGTACACTATAGTGATAGAGTAGCTGGCACTCTCCTTTTTAGAAAAAGAAATTCATTTTGGTGTCAGGATTGTTCGACAGATGTGTAGTATAGAAGGTAAAATCTCAAGGGTTTGCTTTATATAATTAAGGGAGAAGAAATTGAGATTTGGTTTGGAGAAACTTGAGGAGAGAGAACATGATTAAAGATTATTAAATAAATAGAAGTAGAGCTACCAGATGATAAAAAATTGTGTTCTCTGCAACATAACCTGTCAAAGTTTTCAATTGCTAGAAAATACGCAGCAAGGCCTTGTAGCAACTGGCATCACCCCGAGGCCACTCTATGATGGTCATCACCACGTAGCCAGTTGCCCTGTGGGAGGGCCCTGGAGCTGGTTCCAATGTCTTCCTTCTGGACTTATATCTCAATTCTCAAAACAGAGGAATTCATTTCACTGCTGATGGTAAACAGATAAAGGCTCTCCCATTTCCCCAAAGATACATTCTGCTTCCCTTGTATCTCTTTCTGACACTTACCGCCCAGATCCATTACCTTCTGTGATCAAACACCTCTTCGAATATTTCCTAAAACTCTGCAGCCTTTACATTCTCTGCATTTGTGCTCAGTATTTCCATGGCCTGGAAGGACCTTCTGTCTCCCAAGAAACAGCCAGACCCTGCTTATCGGTCAAGGATGGGCTCACACGTGCTTCCTCTTTGCTTCTTACCATGACATTCCCCAGCATTGTACTATACCACCATCTTTATTATTTTCATAGGAAAAGCCAAGTATTAATTAAATATATAATGAATATTATTTGATGTTGTGAAATCTATGTTAATTCCTGCTTATATAGAGTTCTGGAATATTATTACTTTTATTCATGTGAGGGATATTATTAACCACTAACTATTTCCTGGTTAGAGATCAAAGTCACTTCTGTGTAATGATAGCAAATGTGAGAACCAGCTGAATCTGTTTGAATTACAGCTGGCAGTATTATTCATTTCAAAATTTTTATAATTTAGAAGTAAATTTTTAAAATCTAGAAATCCTTTTGTGAAATGCACTGTCTAAAATTTAGTAATAATGAACCTAAATACAAAATATGAAAACATATGGGTGTAATTAACTGGGATTAGCTGTGGAATATAGGGTTTCCAGGCTGGGTTTCCTTGATAGCATCACACTGTTTAATTGTATGGCCTTTATAATTCTGGCTGGTCTCTACCATCTTAACATATTATTTGCAATTATGTAACAATTGTTTATTTTGTAATCAAAATGTTGGTTCATGTGTCCTTTGACTCCATTGGCTAAGGGTAGATTTGAAAATCAACCCTAAATTGACTCTTCTGGGAAAGCATGGACGGGGTGTGTAAGAGGGTGGGAGTGGCAGGAGTGGGGGCATCTCTCTTTCTGATTTGGACAATTTGAGCATATCACGTCAGAGGGTATGAATCCATGAGACTGTAGACTGTTGGCCACTTGGAGGCGCTGTGGCTCCACAGTGCTGCAGAGAACTCAGCGGAGGGGTGGGAGAGTGGCCAAGAGAGGAGGACTGAAGGGGATGCCCTGGCTGCCTGCTGGCATCAGTAGAGTGGATGGAATTCCCTGAGTGGGGCCTGGCCATGTAGAGTTAAGCACAGACTATCATTGCCTTGAAAGAGTTGGGGTGCCAGAGGCCTCAGTTTGCATCAAGGAGGGAGTGTCTCTGCTGCTGCACGGGCAGTGGAGGGTGAAGGGGCTGGGGTGGCAAGGGCTGGGGAATCAGTGTCAGGGCAGGGACAGGGCGGGCAGAGGAAAGTAAGGTGTGATGTGGGTATGTTGGTACTGTGTTCAGTCCTCCTCACCTTTAGCTTCTGGCCTGTGCAAGACAGGAATAGTACATGGAGTAGCAGAACCTGAGGCCTGCCAAAGAGTACAGTGGGCTGGAGTGGCCTGCAGGGGAAAGTATGTCAGTGTGGTGACATCACAGGTCAATGCTCCTATCAGGAAGAAGGGAGCTTAGGAACTTCAGAATGCTTACTACAGAGACACCAGCCCCAAGCTAGGAGATCCTGCCATGGGCTTCAGGCTCCTCTGCTGTGTGGCCTTTTGTCTCCTGGGAGCAGGTGAGTCCTGGGCACAACTTGAAAGTCTCCGATCTTCATTTCTTGTCCCTGAAATGCATGTGGGCCAACGATGGCTTCAGCAGGAGGCTTTCTTCTGTGCCTTATGGTTAACTTTTGTCTTCTGACACACAGGCCCAGTGGATTCTGGAGTCACACAAACCCCAAAGCACCTGATCACAGCAACTGGACAGCGAGTGACGCTGAGATGCTCCCCTAGGTCTGGAGACCTCTCTGTGTACTGGTACCAACAGAGCCTGGACCAGGGCCTCCAGTTCCTCATTCAGTATTATAATGGAGAAGAGAGAGCAAAAGGAAACATTCTTGAACGATTCTCCGCACAACAGTTCCCTGACTTGCACTCTGAACTAAACCTGAGCTCTCTGGAGCTGGGGGACTCAGCTTTGTATTTCTGTGCCAGCAGCGTAGCACAGCCCTGCATGAGCATCAGCCTTCTGTGCAATAACATTCCTGCCCCACTCAGGAAGTGACGGTGAGGGGAGGGCTGCCAGCCAGAGGGGCTCAGGCCCTGGAGAGTGGACAGGCCTTTCCCAGGCACTCTCTGGTGCTTCTGTATGTGATCTGGTTTACTGCTCACTGAAGCTGTGTAAGCGAAATATTATTTTACCTGTTTATATATCTGAGGGACAGCAGATGTCCTGGGGCTCATATTTAGTAGCTAGCTGAAGTCTATTGTTTCAACACCTCTGCACTGTCCCTCCTCACTCCGGAGATCTGTCCTTTTACCTGGTGTCCCCTTTTTGTGTCCCCAAGAGCAGGATGCTAAGGTCATATATGAAACTGTGATCATGATAACTTGTTCCCTGACAAGTCCAATGGACACATAATTTCCAGGCAAAACATATCCATCTATTCTTTATTGTGATTTAAAAAAAAAAGAAAGAAAAGAAAGGTGCAGTTTTCTGCTCTGTAGCCCTCCTATGGGCAAGGCCAGGTCATCTCTTTTATGGAGACTGTATGAGGAGGGAGCTTTCCTAGGTTCACAGCAAATAGCAGGAAACGTTTTTTATGGGGCGTGTAGTCTTCCTGTGGCGGATGCAATCTGCCATCAGTGAAAGGACATGAAAAATTGTTATTCATTAGTTAATATTTTTTATTCTTTTTTTTTTTTGAGATAGAGTTTCACTCTTGTTGCCCAGGCTGGAGTGCAGTGGTGCTATCTTGGCTCACTGCAACCTCCACCTCTTGGGTTCAAGAGATTCTCCTGCCTTAGCCTCCCAGGTGGCCTCCACCACACCTGGCCAGTTTTGTGTTTTTAGTAGAGGTGGGGTTTCTCTTTGGTGGCCAGGCTGGTCTCAAACTCCCAATCTCAGGTGATCACCTGCCTTGGCTTCCCAACGTGCTGGGATTATAGAGCCATTGCACTAGGCCAATTTTTTATTCTTTATCAATAAATCTTTTGGGGCATCCTACTTTGTACAAGGGATTATATCACATGAAATATACAATGAAAAAAGATAATTGGAAAAAAGGGAAATTTTTTAAAAATGAAGAAAAGGGTGTTTCTTGCATTTGAGGGTATCAAAGTCTGTAATTTTTGGTATATTCTAATTAGTTTACTCAGTTTCTGATTTATACGAATTTCCTCTTTCTTCTCTTTCTCTCTTTGGCTACCTACACACTTTTGCCAGATTTTTTAAAGTTTTTAGTAACAATATTTAACATGAGATCTACCCTTTTTATAGACTTATAAGCACACAATACAGTTTTATACTCTGTAGTCATAACGTTGTACAGCAGATCTCTAGATCTTATTCATCTTGCATGATTGAAATTTTATACCCATTGGCAGCAACTCCCCATTTACCCCATTCCCCAGACCCTGACCGCTACCATTCTAGTCTTTGCTTCCATGAGTTGGACTATTTTAGATAACTCATGTAAATGACATTATGCAGATTTTTGTCTTTTTGTGATTGGCTTATCTCATTTAGCCTAATGTCCTACCAAGTATAGTGGTGACAGTTTTACTTCTATCTTCCACAGTTCACTCGAATAGCTCCTTGACCAACTGTAACCCAGAATCATAAAGATAAAGGCATTCTTAGAAATATAACTTCTTGTCCTGGCTAAGTTAACTTAACACAACCCGGTACGGGATGGATTCTCCCAGGTTGAGGCATCTGGTCACATACGAGTTTCAACCTATCATGGTCCCCAGGATCCATTTTTGGCGGCACCACTGCTGCCCAGGTGACTGTGGACACAACTTAGATGTCTCTGTCCTAGATTTTCCAGGCCCCAGCTACTGGCTTTTCTTTTAACCTGTGCCGGCAGTCTCCCTCCACTCAGACGCAGGGATCTGCCTCCTGCTCCCATCTCCTTCCTGAACTTCCGCCCTGCTGGAGTTGCATGGATATCAGGGCCCCTGCTCAATGTGCGGCAGCCCACGGAGGCACTGGGAGGGAAGCTCACCTCTAGCTGCCTTCTGGGGCCCAGTTCTGTTATACCCCAAGCAAGTGCTCTGGTCTCCCTTTGGGCTCCACAGTATGAGAAATGCACTTCATGGATTCATAGCTGACCCCTAGCTCAGTAATCTGATGACAAACTTTGAGTTTCACTCAAAGTGAAACTCTCAGAGCTGAGGGACTAGCTCTGCATTTCTCTGATGAGGGTAAGAATACAGTGCTGTAGAGATGCCTTCTTCCCTGTGTAGACCTGGCACTAAACAGGAAAAACCAGACAGGGTAAAAGTGCCCAAATATGTCTGAGAAGACTGAAAGAAAATTTCCTAAGAAAATCCTTCTCCTGACTTCATTCAGTTCCTAGTAAGACACACCTCACCCTCTGACCCCCATATCAGCTGGTCCCCCCAGGATATCACACGTCCTAGTATCTAACCCCACAGCAACTAATTCAGATACTGGCCTCTTTCCAACCTCCAGAAACGGTCTTGCCAATAGAGTTTTGTTGGCCGGGCGTGGTGGCTCACGCCTGTAATCCCAGCACTTTGGGAGCCCGAGGTCTGGTCTGGTCACCTGAGGTCAGGAGTTCCAGACCAGCCTGGCCAACATATTGTGAAACTCCGTTCCTTCCAAAAAAAAAAAAATTACAAAAATTAGCTGGTCATGGTGGCACATACCTGTGGGAAGCTGAGGCAGGAGAATTGCTTAAACCCAGGAGGCAGAGGTTGCTGTGAGCTGAGATCTCATCACTGCACACTCCAGCCTGGGCAACAGAGCAAGACTCCATCTCTTAAAAAAAAAAAAAAAAAAAGAGTTTTGTCCTCTGACCACCAGTTCTATCTAGATATCTAGGCAGATTTAATTTACGATTAATTTGACCTCTTAATCCCATTAAAGGGAGAATGAAGAGCGTATGGTTTCAATGTAAAGTATATTCATTTTATTTTGAATGAGTTGGAACTAAGTAGTAAACTGAGGATATCACTCCATTATAGTCTTAAAACAACCCATGGTAAAACAAATCTCTTTACTAGGACTTTCTTTTTCACATTTTAGTTCCTAGTTACCCAGAGTCCAGAATAGTTAAGAGTTGAAGAGTCATGACTGAGATGGTCTGTGGGGGTTTATAAATGAGCATTCACTTGTTGAACAAGCCTAGGGCCACTCTCTATGGAAGCAGTTTGTCAGCTGGTTTGGGAATTTTTAATTTAAAATATGGTACGTTCTTTATCTTGTATAAGTATAAAGTCTACAAATATAATTTGCATATATAGGCTAGTGCCTGAAGATTTGGGTAGGACAAAAAGGAAAGAAGAGATAATATTTGCAGATTTAGGAAGTTTCATTATATAAAACTTCAAGGGCTCAGGGGCTCTAATTTGTGAAGATAGTATAATGAAGAAGAATTAGAAAATCAGAACTCTCTTCTGGAGCCTACACTGGGGTTGTCCTGAGAAAAGATTATGATATGAGGAACATAATCCATGGTGTGCTTAGCAGCCCAGAGTGTAGCAGACAGTTCTTGACTCATGCAGTTGGGGGGGTGAGACTGGAGACACTTGTGGAAGGTACTGGCTGTTGAGGCTGTGCTATAGCCTCTCCAAAACCCCATAGATGAATGTCAGACAAATATACTGCCACTATGAAGAATATTAAAAGTTAGCAGAATTCATAAACACTCACAATAGGCAGCCTGAAGGTTTAAATTTTAGCATCATGACATATGACAGTTTGAAGAGCTGTAGTTAAATGCACACAAAAGAGAATTGAAACCTGAACAAGAAAAAAGAGACTCTCAGAAATCATTAGATAACTTTTTTAAAAGCATTGAATGGGATGTCTAGAAATGATCCCTAAAATGACTAAAAGAAAGCAGATAAATTGAAGAGCAGATTAGATGCTCATTGAAGAGATTATTATTGACTTCAAAGACAAATCTTAAGAAGTTACCCAAAACAACACAAAAAATTAAATGTATAATATGAAACAGAGAGGAAGCAACAGAGAAGAAACAATGGAGGTTTCAGTTATATTCGAATATATGTAACATTTCATAAGAATTTTCCATTTATTCTTATGTCATTGAAGTGTCAGAGAAAGAAAATAAGGAGAATGATATGAGGTGATATTGTGTGTGATGCTAGCTGAGAAATTTCCAGAGACATCTAAAGACCTAAAACGTGAGTTTCAAGAATTCAAATAAATCCCAGGTTAAATAGTTACCTCAGTGTTAAAATAGAAGAATATGAATGATGAAGACACAATTTTTCAAGCAGTCCAAGAAAGACAAATATCTCGCAAAGGAATAGACTGAGACCGACAGGAACGGTGAAGAAAGGGAGTTAAAAATATCTATAAATGCAGATTATAGTCCTCATTCATCAAAGAGACAAGGAGACCTCGGCAGTTCATATTCTGACCCCTTGGGCTGGTGACCTGAAATATATTTGGCTGAGTGTTCTCATTTGTAAACCGAATTCAATTTGCAGAGATTTTTTTTTTTTTTTTTGGAAATAGAGTCTCGCTCTGTTGCCAGGCTGGAATTCAGTGGCGCGATCTCAGCTCACTGCAACCTCCGCCTCCTGGGTTCAAGCAATTCTCCTGCCTTAGCCTCCCGAGTAGCTGGGACTAAAGGCACACACAACCAAGCCCAGCTAATGTTTGTATTTTTAGTAGAGATGGGGTTTCACCATGTTGGCCAGTCTGGCAGAGATTTGAGAGAGGTAACTTTAAAAATTAGAGTCATATAAAGTGTAGGTTCAAGAAATCTTAGGTCCCTATAAATTCTCTGACAAATCTCCAATCTAGCACAGTTATTTACTCTCTGAAATTCTGGTAACAAAGACAAGCACAGATTACTTTTGCCTGATTAAATCATGTTTCAGACACAAAGTCATCTAAAATGCAAATATAGTAGTCTGATAGTTCATTATGTAAAATTAACATAAAGAGTTGCCGTTTAAGGAAATATGAAAATGTTACCTCTTATGAACTTCCTGCTTGATAACTGAGTCTGATGTGCATGAAGGTGTGGTGCTCCTAGAAAGATATGGCTTCAGTGCAATTGTACATCACACAAGAGAGCTGATAGAAGAAGGCACAGCTTTATTGGAAAGAAGACCACAGAGGAGCCTCTAGTGGCTTCCATGACATCCTCTCCGCCCACCTCTGATTTCAGCCTTGCTGCTGTGGACGGTGCCAGTTCCCATTCACCTCTTGCTGACAGTGCCCTTCTGCAGTGCCTGCTTGGAATGTTGCTGCTTCCTGCTCTGGGGTCTTCTCTGGTATCTGAATCCACTTGGGCTGTATTCAAAGACAGCCAGAGGTCCTGATGCTCCTGGTGGAACAGGACAGGGGGACAAAAGCTCCAACCTGCCCATTCATGCAGATACTCCAGAGAGCACCCTATGCTCTTGGAGGTCCTGATGGATTCCGTCTCCTGTTGCCCCGGCACAAATACAATATTGCACCTTTATCCTGGTTTCTCCCTTCCCTATTTTGTTTTCCTTGCTCTCTTACTTCTTCCTGGAATCATTTCCCAAATAAGCTACATGCACCCAAGTCTCCCCATCACAGACTTTGTCTTCAGAGACAGACTAAACTGTGGCAGTGATGGAATGAAGCGACCATCAAAAGACCCTACCTTTTGAAGGAGACAACTGTTTATCTTTTATTCATATGGCTACCCATTCATTTAAAAAGTCTTATGATGATGTATATAAACTAATCTTTTCCAAATCCATCTGGATTCATCTGGAATTCCCAGCGTTCTCAGGATGGCTCCCTGCTCCCTTAAAACTTCAAACCTATTTTGAACTGAATAAACTTGGATTCTGTTTACAGAAGTAGAATCTGCCTGGACTCAGATAATCATTCATTCCTTTCTTCATTCAATAAATATTTAATGAATTATAGGTGAAGATTAGATTCAAGTTTTGTGGCGCACAAAGCTGATACATTTTAGGTAGCTCTTTGCAAAAGAGAGTGCAAAATAGCAAAGAGTTGAAAAGACCCTGTGCAAGTGAGAAGGCCTGAGGTTATTCTTCATCGGCTTCATGGCAAATACACAGGTACTGTCCAGGTACTTGGGAAACACCAGTGCAAAAAACAGACAAAGCTTCAAGTTGAGGTAGACGATTTTAACACATAATTGTTATAATTTATTATACTTAATAATAAATTAATTTAAAAGTAGAAGGATATATTCCTGGTAGATGCTTATCTTCCCGGAGAAGTTAGAGTGTCATTGAGAATATCAACATTCTTGGTAAATCATACCTGATTTAGGGAATGATCCTTGGAGCTCTGGAATTCTACGTGCCTTACCTTGCAAAATGAAGGTCCTGATCTGAAAAGTTTTTTTTTTTTTTTTTTTTTTTATGCCCTGGCCCAACCATGAGGATTGGCTTCTTTGCTGTGTGGCTCTTGGTCTCCCAGGATCAGGTGAGTTCTGGGCATAGATGAGAAAGTCCTTCCTGGGCTTGTCGGGCCCCAACCACGGCCTCCTATGGGGGTGCTCATGGGCCTCCTCCCTGTCTCCACTTCTGATTCTGTGTCCTCTCTCACTGGAGCATGATTGTGGGAATTACCCATCCAGGTTGCATCAAGATGTGCAATAGATAGCCTATTGTATCTGAAATAACTATTGCAGTGCTATGGACTACATGTGAGTTTTGCACCATAGCACGTTTACAAATCCATCAACCTTCTCCCATTTGGTGAATATAAGATCTGCTGGATGGGAATAGAGGATTTTCCTGTGACCCTAGAGACTCCAGGTAGGTGTAGTTCTTGGTGAACATTTCATCCATATTCCTAATGAGCCTCCTCTTTTCTTCACAGGAAGTACAGTCACTCAGGGGACTTAGATGGGGCAGTGTTTGTGGCTTCACCTGAAGCAAAGGGAGAAAACACCCCCATGAGAATACACAGCAGCCTGAGCTTGGATGGTGACATTCCCATCAGGTGTAATGAGGTGCTACAGCATGTAACAAGTCTTCAAGCGGTCATGACCTTGAACCTGGAACTTGGAACTTGGAGACATTTCTGGATGTCATTTAACCGAGGGTATCCCTGTATGCTGGCATACAAGTGTCCAGAGGTTAAACGAAGAGGAAAATAATTCAACTTGGAGTTGAATTTTGTGCAGGAAGTCATAAAAGTCACCAGGACTGCTATGACAATGTTCTTTAGCCTACAGAAATATTCATAAAAGTGAAAATAGTATTCAAATAAAGAATTTCTCATGATGGAAATAAAATATACATAGAAGAACAAATTCCCCTATTAAAATCAGGGAAAGAGCTTAGGAGTTTATTAGATTTCTTTCAAAACAGACCTAAAAATTATTCAACTCTGTTATAAATAATTTGTTCCTGCGGGGAAGAGAAGGGGCATGGCAGGTTAGCTCCGCAGTTCAAGCATTCAGCAGGAACAGTGACATCATCAAGTCACTGAGAGCCCAACTTCAGTCTGCCCACAGCAGGGCTGGGAGACACAAGATCCTGCCCTGGAGCTGAAATGGGCACGAGGCTCTTCTTCTATGTGGCCCTTTGTCTGCTGTGGGCAGGTGAGGGCTGGTCACAGGAGGGCCTCCTTCCCTGGAATTCCCAAGGCCTCAGTGCAGGCTTTTCTGTTGGGATGACAGCATCAGCATCTGTTGTTCTCTATTACAGGACACAGGGATGCTGAAATCACCCAGAGCCCAAGACACAAGATCACAGAGACAGGAAGGCAGGTGACCTTGGCGTGTCACCAGACTTGGAACCACAACAATATGTTCTGGTATCGACAAGACCTGGGACATGGGCTGAGGCTGATCCATTACTCATATGGTGTTCACGACACTAACAAAGGAGAAGTCTCAGATGGCTACAGTGTCTCTAGATCAAACACAGAGGACCTCCCCCTCACTCTGGAGTCTGCTGCCTCCTCCCAGACATCTGTATATTTCTGCGCCAGCAGTGAGTCCACAGTGCTGCACAGCTGCCTCCTCTCTGCACATAAAGGGCAGTTAGAATGACTGAGGTTGCCTGTGCTCCCAAGTCCCAGCCTTCACAGGAGTCGGAGAGCCCTGGCTAGCCTGGGGGCCATAGAGCAGGGGCCATATAAACCTTGATGTTGAGGTCCATTCCTACCCCAGTCTCAGACCAACTGGAGGTCACCCCAACACCCTTAGCTTCTGCAGTTCCCTCTTTCCTTTTGTAAAATGGAAAAGGCATCTTTAGTCGAGATTCCTAATTTCGTTGAAAATTTGAAACCCACCATATTCTTCTCTACCCTAAGGGCTGGGTGACTTTTCCACATACCCTTTCCCCTACCCTCTACTGCCTTTCAACTCCCAATCATAAATCTTTGCCCATGTGGTCTCTGCTCCTGGGGGCCCTTTATTCTAAGGGCAATAGACCCACGAGGTCCTATATCATTAGCCATTTACGTACCTCTTCATCATCATTTTGCACCATGTTTTCCCTGGCTCTCTGCTCCAGCCACACTCCCTTACATGCAGTTATTTCTTCATATGTGTCTGTTGTTTTCCACCCTGGGGATTGTTTATATAAATTCTGTCTTCTGCACTGAGCATACATACCACCCACTTAGTCCTACATCTCTACTTCATTTCTTAAATTAAAGTGTATTTCAGGCACACTTGCTCTTAATTGTAAAAAGCAAAAAAGAAAGTTTACTAGAAAAATTTAAGAAAAGCATTTTATGCATTCAGTTGAGGGATGACATTTTTAGAGGAGACAAAAAGCCACAAGCCAAAAGAACAACATTCATAACGCTAGTTGCATTAAATTGTTTCAAGCCAAAACACACCATAAAAAATAAAGTTAAGCTACAGCCTGGGAAAGGCATGAGGAATGCATACAAATGATGAAAAATCAGTGTGACAGAGAACATTCAGTGTAACAGAGAACATTCAGAACATCACTGAATACCTGTAGCTCCTCCATGGTTTCTGGTCTCCCTTGCAGTTGGAGGGGTGGGAACATGTCACCAGGTTCTGAATAGTGGGATAAAATGATGTCAGCTCATTTCAAGCCTGGCCCTTAAAAATATTCTGTGGCACCATGTTGAGGGTCTCTAAATGTACTCCCATGTTTAGAGTGTTGGTATATGGCATAGAGTTGTACTCATGGCTAAGATTTATTAAAGTGTCATAGTAAATACTCTGCAGCAGAACATGTGGAGAAAACACACAGGCAGAATCTGGAGGAATTCACAGGCAGGCTTCCTTATGCTCTCTTCCTCTCAGGAGGGGTCACACAGAGCTCTCTCTCCTCCCAGCAGCAAAAATGCATTAACACACGTGCAGTGTATCTGCCAAGGGAGCCCATTACAGACTTAGCACCCAAGAGGTTTTAGTAGAAGCTGGTCACACAGGCACCTACTTTTTAGCATGAACCAAAAGTCTAGATCCCAAAAGAAAATCTGATGTTCAGCATAATATTATTTGCAACACCAGCCTAGGAACGATGAGCCACCCCTGTCAGTCAGGAGAAACTTTGCATCAGTTCAGGGCACCGTTCACCAGCCAAGCTCCCAGATGTCTGCCAGAGTCCAATCTTGCAAGCAGGACTTTCTAAGCACCGCAGTCTCCAGCCTCCTGTCAACTCTTGTGCACAGACACTCTTCAACTCTCTTTTGCCATGTCCTGAACTCGGGAGCTACACGGTACAGATTGCCTAATGATAATATGGAAGCAGCCTGGCTCACTGAGTCAGAATTTGGTGGACAATCACAGAAGAAAGCTGCTCATGCCACACTGGGCTTTGTGGTCATGGGAAGTAAGACTTCATAGAGCTATGCCAGTGAGATTTTAGGATTTGTTTTGTTTTGTTTTCTGTAGCACAGCTGTTCTTGTCTAAGAGAATTAGTATCTAGAATGAGTAAAATATTCTTATTACTTAGTATTAAGAAGACAGCTCAATAAAAATAGCAATACTGAGGCTGAGTAGGCAATTCACACAAGAGTGAACATAAGTTACCACTAAACATGAGAATAACTTCGCAACCTTACTTACAATCAGAATATTGCAACCTGAAACAGTAAGTTATGATTTCAAAATTACTAGATTGGATACTTTTCCAAGGAATGACAGTCCTACATTTGAGTAGACATATGGGCTGGTGAAAATTGTTTGTATATTTATTACAAAAGATAATTACAACTACATCAGAAAACCCACTGTGGGATATATTGTGACAAACCACATTTCTGGAAAATTTATCAATGTATTTAAATCACTTGGGTTCCTTTCATTGTCTTTAAGTTCAATAATGGAGAATGCAACTGTCAGTGTTTTTCCTATTTTGAAGGTAGTCTTTCCATCTTTTAAAAAGTATGATAAAATGCACGTAACATATAATTTCATCACTTTATTTTTTAAATGTACAATTCAATGACATTAAGTACATTCACCTTGTTGTGGAATTATCAGCATTATCCATTTCCAAAATTATTTTCATCACCCCAAACAGAAACCCTGTACCCATTAAGAAATAACTTCACATTCTCCCTCCTCTGGCAAACTCTAATCTATTTTGTATATGAACGAATTTGCCTATTTTAGATAATGAATTTACATGAAACCAGGCACTATTTTTCCTTTTGTTTCTGGCTTCTTTCACTTAGCATAACGCTTTCCAGGTGTATCCACATTGTAGCATTTATTAGAACTTCATTCTTTTTCATTCTCAATAATATTCCATTGTGTGTATATAACACATTTGTTTATTCATTCATTAGTCAATTGACATTTGGGTGGTTTCCACCTTGTAGATATTGAGAACAATGGTGCAGTCAAGATTGGCCTGGAAATATCTGTTTGATTCCTTGTTTTCAATTCTTTTGGGTCTATACCTAGGAGTGGAACTTCTGGGTCCTTTGGTAATTCTGTTTCTCGTTTTGAGTAACTACCAAAATATTTCTTTGTTGCAGCTGCACGATTTTGGATTTCCACCAGCAGTGTCCAGTTTCTTCACAACATTTCCAGAACTTGTTATTTCCTTTTCTTTTTCTTTTTTCTTTTCAAAAATATGATGATGATGATTACTGTTTTTATAGCCATCCTAGTAAGTGTGAATGATATCTCATTGCGGTTTTGATTTGCATTTCCCTAATGACTAAAGATGTTAAGTGTCTTTTCTTGTGCCTATGGGCAATTTGCATACCTTCTTTGAAGGTAATATTTATTTTATTTGATTGTGTTTTTAGAGTCGCTGTTGACTTTAGATTTAAGCTGGTGTACTGTGATGATACTAAAGGAAATTGAGATTGAGATTAAACTTCTCTTGGGCGATTTGTTGTGGCTAGTGTTTTTAGTGCAGTACTTCTGAGACATTTTTGGTATACTGTAGAAGAGAGAAATAAGTAATTTATTGATATTTCTGGGAATTAGATTTTTTTTACAAAGAGAAGAGAGATATAAATAAGAAACGGGAAGATGAGGAAGAAATCTGTGGTGCTGACTTGAATTGGAGTTATTAATGCAAACTTAAGGTTTTAAAGATTATATATTTCCTAACTTTATCCAGAGAAGGGTCTAAAAAACAATACAAAGTAAATAAACGAATGGCTATATTTGCTTTTTTTTGTGCTCCCCAGTAACAATAGGTACATTATTTTATTCCAAATGTTATTCCTTATAAAAGGCTGCTTCCATATCAAGGGAAGGAAAAGTGTTAGAACATCTTTTGGTAGAAATCAAGAAAAAGGTCAGAACCAAGAAGACATGTCCAAAATCCACAGAAGCAATTTCAAGGGGCTCCATTAGCCAAATCCGGGTCAATGCAAGCTTTAAAGAAGAATAATGAGGATACTGAATTGTAACAAGTTATAAAAATCTATAAGGCTATAATGACAATCAAAAGAGATAGATAAGAATCTCTTCATTACGGAAGAATGCTAGTTGATATATCTAATGAGAAAATCAATGCAACCATCCACATAATTATAGACAAATTCCATTAGTAGATGCCTAAACTAACAGTTTTTGTTTCCTTCAATACTTTGAGTTATACTGTTCTACTCTCTCCTGGCCTGTTGGGTTTCTGCTGAGAAATCTGCTGAAGGCCATACTGGGGCTCCTTTAAATGTGATATGTTTCTCACTGCATGCTGCTTTTAGTATTCTTTCTTTGTCTTTGATTTTTGGTAATTTGATTATATTGTGTCTTGGTGAACTCCTTTTTGGGTTGAATTTGATTGGCAGCCTCCAAGCTTCCTGCACCTGGATGTTGCTGTCTTTCCTCAGATTTGGGAAATTTTCAACCATTATTTCCTTATATATGTTTTTGGTGCCTAACAGCATATGTACCTTGTTTCAAAGCATCAATACACAGATTATTACTTAATTACAAAGGGTAAAGGGCACATTCACAATGGAGAGATCTTGGATCAGTCATCTCAAATTAAGCATTGCCAAAATGCATAAAAATGACATTCCATATTCTTGTGATTGACCAGATGCAATGGGAAATAGACATCATCTATGGTGTATATTTTCCAAGTAATTAACCTCTAATAATATGAAAATTTTTATCGTGAGCTGTTTTAGAAGTAAGCTGACCAGGACACTTCAAAAATCTATGGTCATGAAAAACAGAAAATATAATAAGTGGGTGGAGGAGATGTATCATTGAAAAGTAACTAAAGAGATCCGACAACTTCCTGAAATACATGATCTTTGATATTGTCCCAGAGGAAAAAGTAAATCAAAACCAAGGGACATGGTTTTGGTGGGGACAAACCACGGCCAAACCGCAGGCGGGGCTCTGGCAAGACAGTAGGAATAGATGGAGTTGGGAGGAACTCCCCCCAGTGCCGCGCAAACACTGTCCAATATTAGCCCTGATTCTACTGAGGACAGTGTAGACATGGCCCCAGTATTTCTGACCCATGAATGGAGGGCCTGAGCCTGGTAACTCTGAACCGTTCATTGACCAGCAGGCGGCACTAGGGTTTGCTGGGGTTGGCTTGCTTTTAAATCAGGGCTCAGTGCTGTCTGAGGAGTTAAGTTTAAAGGAAAAGTGTGACTTCATCCCAGCATCCAGAATCTAGTTTGCAGATGTTTGAGTGTCCTGTGGAATGTGAGCCATTAAACAGAAACTCTTCATCTTCCAGCAATGCCAGTATCCTCTGTTCAGCAGGGAAACCCCAACTGTAGCAAAACATTGAGTGAATAATGTTCTGGGCTTGCATCAGGGATAGATGGAGGAGAGCCAGGAGCCAGCCTGCATGCTCACAGACCCATATAAAGGGAGAACCACTTCCTCCTCAGGAGAACTCAGAGAAACCTTAGCAATTCACCTGTACCCCACACCTAACCCATTCCAGTTGTGCCCTGGATGGTGGACAGGAGGATGTAAAGGGAACATAGGAGAGGGGAGTGGACAATTCCAGACCTCTCCAGATAGGCTTAGCTCAAATAACCTTGCAAATATTCTGAATAAGAGCCAGATTTCCCAGGGCTCTGGCCTTTTCTTCCCTGAGCAGCATGATGATGCTCCATTCCTGTCTTGACAAGGATTCTGTCATGGATTTCTTGGTTGTGCTGCCCAGGAAGCAGGTGAGGCCCAGGAACAATGAGGAATGTCGTCCCTGGACTTGGCATGCCTCACTCGCAAGCACACCATATGTGGGTCCTGTGATTGATAGGTTTGATAGATGGATACGTCCTGTTTCCAGCCACCAGCCTCTATCCCCTGAATGCTGTTGTCAACTCAGAGCCACAACTCTGGTCACAAAGATGGAGCAAGTAGTGGCACCTTAATGTGAAGAAATTTTCCATCATGCAATTGTTACCTGGTGCCTACATGAGTTAGACTCAAACCAGCAGCTGTTTACCTCAGTGATAGAGGATTTATGACAGAAACAGAGGGCTCTTGTAATTCTATACCCACAGGTATTCACCTGATAACCTTCACATGTGTCCCCTAGGTTTTGGGGACTTTGAGCCTGCCTCACTGAACACATATATCCTCGTTCCCAGCTCTCTGGACATGCATCTCCTTGTATTATTGTCTTATGCCAACTCTCAGGTGCTTCATCCCCTAACTCTTCCCATCCTTTACCCCTTAGGCAATGAATAAAAGTATATTTGTGACTAATGTTGCCCCATTAGAAAAAAAATGCCAGATACTAGCCACTGCTGTTCAATTGTAACTTATACTAAATCTGTAAGGTTTTTTTTTTTTTTTAAGATTTCAACAAATCTGATTTTAGATTTCTTTTTTCTTTTGTTTTGTTTTTTGAGACGGAGTCTTGCTCTGTCGCCCAGGCTGGAGTGCAGTGGCGCGATCTCGGCTCACTGCAAGCTCCACCTCCCGGGTTCACGCCATTCTCCTGCCTCAGTCTCCAGAGTAGCTGGGACTATAGGCATGTGCCGCCATGCCCGGCTAATTTTTTGTATTTTTAGTAGAGACGGGGTTTCACCGTGTTACCCAGGATGGTCTCGATCTCCTGACCTCGTGATCCACCCACCTTGGCCTCCCAAAGTGCTGGGACTACAGGCGTGAGCCACCATACCCGGCCGATTTTGGATCTCTTACTGTATTCACAATGATATTTTCAGGGATAAGAGAGTCCCCACCCATCTTATAAGATATCAGAACTTTCATTACATTGATGACCAAGAACCATAGGCAGAACCATGATGAAGACTTGGTACACAATGCATCATGAAGCTTGATAACAGAAAAGAGAAAGCTGGCCATTGACCTTCACCAAAAATGAACCCTTCCAACTCTCTCTCAGGGTATTATTTTACCCCTTTAGCTTAGAGCATGTCAGCTGGTTCAACATGCTTCTAGGATAAACCTGTGTCAACTACCCCAGCTCCCACTCTGTCTAAGCTCATAGCAATGAGAAAATGGAGAACCTGGTAAGACAGAAATGCCCAGAGAGAAGGATATACAGATAAGACATAGAGGTTACTAATTGTTGTCTGTATTTTGAGTTGCCTTTGACACATTCAAGTAGAAACATGCAGCAGAAGATGGCCCTGGAGATGCAGTGGGTGATCCAATCCCCCAAGCCCTAGAGATGTGAGTAAAGACACTTGGATGAACTTACACACAGTCCATGAATACGCTAAAGCAACTTCTAGCTCTGTTTTAGTTCATAACAACTGGTTTCTAAGAACTTAGGCACTTGTGGAGACAATGATGTTACTGTAGGAACTACCGTATAAGGACAGGATGTCCCACCTCCTCTGCTCCTGTTCACAAGGACCCTGAACTGGCAAAGCTCCCATCCTGCCCTGACCCTGCCATGAGCACCAGGCTTCTCTGCTGGATGGCCCTCTGTCTCCTGGGGGCAGGTGTGTCCTAAGAACACCATGATCATCCCATTGGAAATTCCAGTGATTTCTTCAATCATTTCTGTCTTTCTGTTTTCAAATTCTGTCTTTTTCCCCAACAGAACTCTCAGAAGCTGAAGTTGCCCAGTCCCCCAGATATAAGATTACAGAGAAAAGCCAGGCTGTGGCTTTTTGGTGTGATCCTATTTCTGGCCATGCTACCCTTTACTGGTACCGGCAGATCCTGGGACAGGGCCCGGAGCTTCTGGTTCAATTTCAGGATGAGAGTGTAGTAGATGATTCACAGTTGCCTAAGGATCGATTTTCTGCAGAGAGGCTCAAAGGAGTAGACTCCACTCTCAAGATCCAGCCTGCAGAGCTTGGGGACTCGGCCATGTATCTCTGTGCCAGCAGCTTAGCCACAGCGTTGCAGAGACTTTCTGTCCTGTGCACAAAACTCCAGGGCTCTCTCCGCTCTACTCAGCTCACAGCAGCCTTTCCTTATTCCTCATCCTCTCAGGGAAGAAGTGAGTTTTCAGATATAGCTAGGGTTCATATAGTGGGAGGAAATGAACTATTTTCTTAAAACATGAGCGCTATAGTTGTTGGTTGAAAACATGTCTTAGGGATTTGAAACACTTCTGGGTGGGAATTCAAGAAACCAAAACTGAAAGTGATTTATCCCAGACCTAGTCCTCAGGGGCAGTGATGGTTGTTCTTCTATAAAAAATGCACACAATGTTGTACGTTAATTAAGAAAATAAATAAATAAACTTGAAAAATAAAAACATTTAATCACCAAAACATGTGTGTTAAACTTTAATAATATAGATATTGATTACATGCAAGTAACAAACAGCAGGCCCTCCTTCTGCCGTTGTCAGCATCTGAATGATGTGAATCTTATCTGGCTCTGGAGCCTCTTCTTGACCTCTCACTGGATGTTTCATGCAGTCAAATCTCAACAGACACTGTGTGTTTGGAAATCTTTTCCCTCTGTTTTTGTGGAAATATGACAATAATAATAATATTGTAATGATGATGATGTTGATCATTTCAGCTATTTCATTCAGCACACTTTAAACTTCAAAGAAATGCACACAAATGGTTATCCTGGAAACAATTCCCAAATCTTAACTCAAAATGAATTTTGCTTCTCTGGAGTGCTTTAACTTTTCAGTGTAACAGACACAGCCCAACACTATAATTAGGCCTGGGCCAGCTAGTTCAGAGGCTGGTGAAGACACTTCCACCTGCCTGCCTACTTCCTTGTCTGCCCACTAAAATAGCTCCTTAGTGCATTAGATATTCCTGCCAGAACTTCAGAAGCAATGAGTTGCCCCTGGTCCAGTTGTCTCCTCTGATAATGCACTGTGTGTGTCCAACTCTAGTCTCTACCCTAACTTCTGCCCAGATTCTCCTGTACTAGAACTCATTCTAAAGTACTGGTTAGAATGTTTGGGAAGGCAGCTTCCTGGGAATCCTCCGAAGGACCATGGCTGTCAGTGATTCCCTCGTAACACTTCTTGAGAGCATCTTGTATTTCATTGAACGTAGGACTCCCATTTATTTCAGTCTGTCTGCTCCTGTTCACCTCTGAGATCTCTGTGGCTTGTTTGTGTTGATTTCCTTTTGTGCTGCTTCTTGGTCATTTGTTTGTATTTTTCCTTATAAACCTGATTATTTTTGACATCATGCCAGACACTATGGTTGTAGAAATAATTTTTGGTCTAGGATGGACATATCTTTCTGCAGAGATAATTTTATTGTGTTTTGTAAAGTGCATGGATACATAAACAATCCAGGACTCCCTGAAAAAGAGTTAAAGGCTAGAGGTGTCCTGGAGCCCCTGGAGAACAGGTTTCCTACTAGTTCATTGTTTCAATTCAAGTTCCTCAGTGGTCACCCTCAGTAAGTTCTGGTCTTAGCCATTACCCCCCAGCCTGTGAATCAGCTTCCTGAGAGCTGGGCTGGGATCAGCAAATGCCCCTAAGGGCAGTGACTGCTGTGTTCACTCCCCCAGGCTCCTGCCTTCTCCAAGATTCTGGACCAGTTATCCCTCATAATGTTTTTGGGATATTAATTAGTTTCAGTTTTTGTTAGTGTGGTAATTTACCCAACTATTTAAATAATAACAGAAGGGTTAATTTTGTTACAAGAAAGGGGTCCTGATCCAACCGCCAAGAGAGGGTTCTTGGATCTCATGCAAGAAAGAATTCAGGGTGATTCCACAGTGAAAAGCCAAAGCAAGTTTATTAAGAAAGTAACATGGTGAAAGAACAGCTACCCCATAGACAGAGTAGGGCTTTCCCAAAAGTAACAGGAGGAGCGCATCTACCCTAGGTACAATACTTGTTTATATATAGGATAAGAAAAGATCGTTGAGAGATGTGCTCTGCTACAAGGGTTTGTGATAAAGGATTAACTTTCTTAATTACTATGTTTTGCAAGAATCAGTATTATTATCTTTAAAGAGAAATTAGGAATGTTTCTGTTCCCAAGATATTGGGGTATCATGACACTCCCAAGTCTGGGTCTGTTTAGTAAACATTATTAATCTGTTGCTTTAACCATAAACATCTAGAGGTTAGGGATACCTGATTTTCTGGGAATGCAGCCCAGCAAGGCCCAGCCTCATTTTTTCACTTAAGATGGAGTCACTCTGGTTTGAACGCCTCTGACAATTTGAGTTTCCTCTTCTGTAATTACTCAGATGAAGGTCAAAGAATTTCATTTAAAGTTTTAATTTTCTTTGAATTTCAATGTCTGATTCTTAGTCTGTGATTTGCTTGATATTTAACTTAAATAGCATAGAGGAATGTTTTACTGAAACTTTAATTTCGAGGAAAGGACTTTTTTAAAAACTTGAAGGGGATTTATAATCAAATTGGGACACTCACTTGGTTTTGACATTTTATCATTTAGAGTATTATTATGTTGTTAATTACATAACCTTCGATGCTTCATTCGAACAGGGTAATGAGAATAGAGAGTAAATATTTAAACTTCATCAGATCTTTGACACACCTGACAAAAACAAGCAATGGGGAAAGGATTCCCTATTTAATAAATGGTGCTGGGAAAACTGGCTAGCTATATGCGGAAAACTGAAACTGGACCCTTTCGTTACACCTTACACAAAAATTAACTCAAGATGGATTAAATACTTAAAAGTAAGACCTAAAACCATAAAAACCCTAGAAGAAAACCTAGGCAATACCATTCAGGACATAGACATGGGCAAAGACTTCATGACTAAAACACCAAAAGCAATTGCAACAAAAGCCAAAATGGACAAATGGGATCTAATTAAACTGAAGAGCTTCTGCACAGCAAAAGAAACTATCATCAGAGTGAACAGGCAACCTACAGAATGGGAGAAAATTTTTGCAATCTATCCATCTGACAAAGGGCTACTATCCAGAATCTACAAGGAACTTAAACAAATTTACAAGAAAAAACAAAGAACCCCATAAAAAGGGGGCGAAGGATATGAACAGACGCTTCTCAAAGGAAGACATTTATGCTGCCAACAAACATATGAAAAAAAGCTCATCATCACTGGTCATTAGAGAAAGGCAAATCAAAATCACAATTAGATACCATCCTATGCCAGTTAGAATGGCGATCATTAAAAAGTCAGGAAACAACAGATGCTGGAGAGGATGTGGAGAAATAGGAACGCTTTTACACTGATGGTGGGAGTGTAAATTAGTTCAACCATTGTGGAAGACAGTGCGACGATTCCTCAGGGACCTAGAACCAGAAATACCATTTGACCCAGCAATCCCATTACTGGGTGTATATACCCAAAAGATTATAAATCATTCTACTATAAAGACACATGCACATGTATGTTTATTGCAGCACTCTTCACAATAGCAAAGACTCGAAACCAACCCAAATGCCTATCAATGATAGCCTGGATAAAGGAAATATGGTACATATACACCATGGAATACTATGCAGCCATAAAAAAGAATGAGTTCATGTCCTTTGCAGGGACATGGATGAAGCTGGAAATCATCACTCTCAGCAAACTAACACAGGAGCAGAAAACCAAACACCGCATGTTCTCATTCATACGGAGGAGTTGAACAATGAGAGCATATGGGCACAGGGAGGGGAACATCACACACCAGGGCCTGTTGGGGCGGGGGGGTCAAGGGGAGGGATAGCATAAGGAGAAATACCTAATGCAGATGACGGGTTGATGGGTGCAGCAAACCACCATGGCACATGTATACCTATATAACAAACCTGCATGTTCTGCACACGTATCCCAGAACTTAAAGTATAATAAAAATAAATAAATAAAATAAAGTTGATCAGAGAGCAGAGAGTGAACATGGAATTTACTTCATTCCTGCACTGTCGTGACTCATTTGTGCCATGTTTTGTGAGCACACCTGAGGGGCAGGGGTCAGAATTGGAGGGAGTCACAGGTGTGTGGCTATCATCTTTTCCTTCCCAGTCCCCTGGAAAGGTGCTTGGTTCCACATTTTCCATTTGGGGGAACTTCCCTAAAGTGATACACTGGTTTTTGTCTATTATTTGCCAAATGTTTCTTATGGGAAGTGAAATAAGTTATCTTATTTAGTCTCCTCTTCATCTGAGGTTAGTCTCTCTTCATCATCATCCTTTCATCCTGGCTACTGAGAAAAAAAAGTAGATTCTTTTGGTGCTTTTTCAACATACACTAAGATCAGTGGAGAACTTTCTTTCCTTACAGGGTTGGCCTGTAGTTTGCAGGGGAGAGAGAATGGATTAAATTCTGATTCAGAATAGTGTGGGTTGGCCTATTTGCTCTCCTATCTGAGCACTATTAGTTATTAACACTGATATTTTATCTCCACTTGTCTGACTTCAATGTCCACCTCTCAGGTGGTTCCATCTTAGGCCATAGCAACATTAAGATTGCTTTCTGACCTTCTAACACCAACAAATCATAATTCCCATATCTCCATGACTCAACAAAGCAAAGCACAAGTCCCCTGTGTCCTGGCAAGAGAGCAGATTTGTGCTGTTTCTGCCTACTGGCCACAAGGAGGCACTGTGGCTTTGTTGTCATCAGAGTCAAATGGGGAGGGGCGAAGATGGCTCTCTGGAAGATTCTTAAGGGAAACCCTGGGTTTGGCCCTAGATTCAGGGAGCTGGGCTGTCTGGAATGAAGGCTGGGAATGAAGGAATTAGAGACCAACCAATTTGCCTGTATCGTTGTGGAGAAGGGTTTTGCTCTAAACTGAGCTCTGAATGGGGCTGAGTGGCAGGTGTGCTTGCAGTGGATATATGTCTGAGCGCCCTTAAGATGTGGAGGCACAAGTAGCTGGGGTGGTGCAGTGCCCAGGTTCTGGGCTGGGAAAGCAGAGAAGCAGTTTTCATGTTACAGGAGCCTTGGAGAGCCTGGCTCCAAACCCCCAAACCAGCTCAGGCCAGCCCTACCTGCTCTGTTAAAAGTAGAAGGAAGAGCAGGGAGAGACGGAGGTGCTACCCTGGACCATCGGAGGGACCCTGTTCCCCAGGGAGGGGGCAATCACAATTACAACACCAGTAGCATATACACTTATTAGGCAGACACCAGGGTGGAGTAGAACAGAGTTTTCTCCACCAAGACCTTTTGCTCTCAGCAGGAAAATGGCCCAGTCTATTAATAGTTCACCTCTGCTACTCACTTCAGACTCCTGTGTGTCCCCTGGAAGAAGGTGGGGTCTGGGTAGAGATAGTACCTTTTCTTTTGGCTTGAATTAAAGTTCTTTCCATATGACTCGTTCATTTGCCTCTACCTGTACCTTGTATCTAGCTTCTGCCTCTTGTATTCATGTGTGCCTTGGACACTATAAAGTATTTGATTTCTACTGCTGCTGTAATGAATTACCACTGATTTTGGAGGCTTAAACAAAATACATTTGCTACCCTACAATACTGGAGGCCAGGAGTCCAAAATCAGTGTAACTGGGCCAAAATCAAGGTGTTGGCAGGGCTGCGTTCTTTCCCAGAGCTCTAGGGGAGAACTGTTTTTCTCCCCTTTTCAGCTTCTAGAGGCTACCAGCGTGTCTTGGCTTGTTACCCCATTCAATCTTCGAAACCAACAGGGACTGACTGAGCCTTTGCTCATGCTGCATCACTCTGACACTCTTTGTCCTCCCTCTTCCACATTTTAGGACCCTTGTGACTACATTGGACCCGCCTGGAAAATCCAGGACACTCTCCCAGTATGAAGGTCAGCTGATTGACAACCTGACTTTGTGTGGAACTTTAATTTTTCTTTTACAAGTAACTTAACACATTCCTAGGTTCCAGAGATTAGACCTGGACGTGGTTGGAGGGCCTTTGTTCTGCCTACCAAACCTAGGAACTTGGTAAGAGGGAGGAAAACAAAATGATCACCTGGAAACCAGAATACTGACCACCGTTTTACATCCCAGGCCTAACAGACACAAAAAGGGATGGAGCCCACAAGGAAATAGACACCTCAGGTCTCACAAGCTCGTCTGTAAACTATTTGCTCCTTAGGATCGGAAAGTACTCTGGGGTGCAGGGGACTCAGCAGTATGCCTCTGTGCCAGCAGCAAAAATGTGGCCCTAAACTGCTCCTTCTTGGTTAGCAATTAACCCAGTTGACCAACCCACAGAGCAGAGGCTTCTCTCAGCTCTGTACACTCTACACCCTGAGAGGAAGTCGGCTTCTGAGATGCAAGACTCTTTTATAAGGAAAAGTCCAGTTGTAAAGATTAAGAAACTTTGAGCTTTGCTAGAGGTAAAAATAGGATGTAAGTCAACTCTGGAGCATTTAATTTCCAAATGTTTATGAAAAAGACAATCTTCTTCCTGTTTTATTGTATGGATAGAGAATGAGAGAGATTCTGTACTCTGGGCTTTGCAAACTCACTAGAGTTCAAGAATAAATACACTCAGAGAGGTCTTTCACTGCAAAGAAGAGCTTTGAAATCGAATGAACTTTCAGGATATCAGTTCGGCTCCTGTATCTCTAACAACGCAGTTGACATGCTTGCCCTTCCTAGGGATCTCAGGGGCCAACTCCTAACTCACTTGTGGATAATTGAAGTGCATTCAAAGGAGTAGGAGCACAGAGACATCAGGGAGAGGAATAGGAGAGTTTGCAGAGAATCTGGCTTGCTGTAAGACAATGAGTTCATCTTGAAATAATTGGAGTGTGAGGTGCAGATGAATATAGTTGGCAAGATCCTAGGTAAGATATACTATAGAGAAGGCTTTATGAATTGGTAATATCAAGACAAATCCACAGAGAGCCTCCGTAGGTGTGCATTTGTGTCTCAGATCAATTATAGTTCAGTCCTGCCTGATTCATCTCCCAGAGATGCAGCCTCCACTTAAATAAGGAGCTTTCAAATTGGAGGTGGTGGCCCATTCAGTGACGTCACTGACAGATGCATCTTGTGTGGATAAAATGTCACAAAATTAATTTCTTTGTTCATGCTCACAGAGGCCCTGGTCTGGAATGTTCCACTTCTGCTCTCACTCTGCCATGGGCTCTTGGACCCTCTGTGTGTCCCTTTATATCCTGGTAGCGAGTGAGTTCTCCGATATTTATTATGGTCATGCTGGACCTCTGTCTAGATGACTCCTTATATTTTCCTTATTCTTTCCCCCAATTCTGTCTTCTTTTATAGCACACACAGATGCTGGTGTTATCCAGTCACCCAGGCACAAAGTGACAGAGATGGGACAATCAGTAACTCTGAGATGCGAACCAATTTCAGGCCACAATGATCTTCTCTGGTACAGACAGACCTTTGTGCAGGGACTGGAATTGCTGAATTACTTCTGCAGCTGGACCCTCGTAGATGACTCAGGAGTGTCCAAGGATTGATTCTCAGCACAGATGCCTGATGTATCATTCTCCACTCTGAGGATCCAGCCCATGGAACCCAGGGACTTGGGCCTATATTTCTGTGCCAGCAGCTTTGCCACAGCACTGCAGAATCTCCCCATCTCTGTGCAGAAACCCTGGTGCTTCCTCTTCTCCCCACAGCTCTCAGCAGTCGTCAGCAAAGTCTTTCCTGCTCTCTGCTCACCATGGCTCACGCCTATAATCCCAGCACTTTGGGAGGCCGAGGTGGGTGGATCATGAAGTCAGGAGATCGAGACCATCCTGGCTAACACAGTGAAACCCCGTCTCCACTAAAAATACAAAAAATTAGCCGGGCACGGTGGCAAGCGCCTGTAGTCCCAGCTACTCGAGAGGCTGAGGCAGGAGAATGGCGTGAACCCGGGAGGCGGAGCTTGCAGTAAGCCGAGATCGTGCCACTGCACTTCAGCCTGGGCAACAGAGCAAGACTCCATCTCAAAAATAAAATAAAATAAAAATTAAGTGGGTTTGGAGAATGACAAAGACAGAAGATGGTAGGATATTAACATAAAAAAAATCATGTGTAGGGGATAATGTAGAAAATGTGTTTTGTGAATTTCTCACAAATTGTCTAAGGAGTCAGAATTCACAGGCATGTAAGATAAACCTTAATTACCCCCACTGTAGGTTTCCTTGTCTCCAGGTATTTGCCATCCGCATTAGCAAGCTGAGAGCTCCTGAGAATGGCTATGTCTTTTGAACTAGTCTGCCCTCTGCATTCTATTTTCACCCTAAGCTGTGAACAGAAATTTCCCCCACAAGTTTTCTTGATTGTAAAAGAAAGTTCTTTTCTATGGCATTCCTTATAATGTTAATTTCAACTTACCATTTATATAGGGATTTTGCATTGCACTTAAAGAGTAAACCTCCTGTGGGTAATACAGGCAGTGAAATAGGTTAGATGTAAGCTGCTCCTCCTGGACTCTAGGGATCTATTTGTCTTTATCCTGCTTAAGGAGAGCCAAGTTCTAGCTGAAGGCCTGTGCCAACTCACAGGACACTGACGTGGTCTCTTCCACTGCCTGCTTGGAGCTATCCACATGTATCCACACAGGCTGTCTAAAAGCACACAGGCCTGGCCAGTCTTACTTTGACCTCTTTCCTCCCTGATGCTGTGTCCTGGACACGCATATCTATATATTTTTTCTGGTTTATGCCGCGTATTTCTACACAGCACTTGCAATTCATTCTGAAGAATTATAATTTCTTTCTTCTATAGTAGTACTTACATACTGATCACTTCTCAACCCCTATCAGGGTATCATTGGCAGGTGTTGCAAACTATTCCTGTATTTTGAGTGCCCAAGACAATTTGAGTTTACCTGAGTTCTTCCATATAGGCCTAGGTTTCACTTGTCATTGTCTAGTTTTGTTATTTAAAGGCCAAGGTTTTCAAGATCACAACAGTACAGAATAAAATTCAGGAATTTTTTAAAATGTACATCAACCGACCTACTCTGTGTTTATCTATTGTCCTGGTGTCTCCCTTGCTCTTTGGGCTTCTCTTTGCTGCCTCCAGATCACTTTCTTTCCTCCTTTTTTGAAGCCCAGCTCCTTACATACATGACGTTAGAACAGGACCCTTCATTGCTGCACTTGCTTTTTTCCCTTCAGAACTCTCTTCCCATTCAGTCCTGTCTGCTACTAATCCTGTCATCATTCTTAACGACTACTCATCCCACAGACCATTTTTACATTGGTTTGGCTCCTCACTTTTGAGGATTTTTTTTAACCTACTTTTTTTTTAAGAATTGCTTCCATGATTACAGTAAATATCTACTGAATAAATGCATGTCTTCCTCAGCTTGGAGATTTCTGAGGGTTGCAACTTTGTCGAATATTTTATCCATTAATCCTAACTGTGTATATTAGACAAGGAAGGTATTAAAAATCATGTTTTAAATCAGAAAATCAATAAATAGATTTAAAGAGACAAATGCAAAACAAAACTGTTTAGAGCTGCTGTTCTGGGCTGAACTACAGATGGACTGTGTAAGAAATAGTAAAATCATCTGGTAATTTCAACTTATCTTTAGAATCTTTGGCCGGAACAGCTCCAGGGAATCAAGGGATCATAGGTGGAAAGAAAGACAGAGGTTAAGGAAGTGAGAACTGGCTAGGGTAGCATTCTCTACCTTAAGGTTTTCAAACATAATATCAAGGTCCTCAGTTTATTTGTAATTTTTTTGAGGATGAAAGGAAATTATGCACGTGACCCAAGGTATACACAATAAGGAAACTGACACATGACTTTGCTGAGATGGAATTATATTAAAGTTCTGTGACACTCACAAACTCATCTCATGCTGATTAGAAACTGTGATTGGCAATGCTGTGTGTTACAAAAAAATTAAAAAATGATTCCTTTAAAAACATTATTTCTTTAAATCAGCATTTTCCAAAAATGGGGGAAATATTAAATACTATCCAATTTTGGTGGTGCAAGAAATAAAAAAGCTTAGGGGCTTCCAGTACCCCTGACCCAGCTGACCTTCCTTTCCCAGGCCCATGTCTTTTAATGTGCATTTACTCAGGGAAAGGGAAGTGTGGCTGTGCAGGAAAAGTGGCAATTTAGAAAACACAGGCTCAAGGGCTTGATGGAGGGTCCCAGAAGAGGGCAGGGCACTGGTGATCAGAGGGGATTAGAGGGCAAGCTGCTAGGGTAAGCTGTGCATCAGAAGTGGTTCCTTTTGTTTCCTTCAGCAGTAAATTTTTATTATCATTATTACTTTAGCTGTCCTCCATATCTACTTCTTTAGTATGGCTGGCTACTTCTCTTTCCAACTCTTTATGCACTACCGTGGATCTCACCCTAGGCAGAAACAAATCCCCAAACTCTCACCAGCTGCGCTCATGAAACAACCCTTCCTGGCAGGCTGTGATCTCGCCAAGAGTGATCAAGTTGATCAAGCTATAAACTGACTTCATCACTAGTCTAAAGAGGAAACTGTGGCAAGAACAGCTGCAGGAGAAACCCTAATTACAATGGGAGGAGAGACATAAGGATTTTAAAGCAGTTTTCAAACTAGTCCTTCTCAAGAACCAAACATATAAGGGATCACTGGGAGCTGTCTCTGAAGTGGGTTAAAGAGAAAAGAACAGACAAAGATAAGGTTCTGATGCCTGCTCTCTGTTCCTACAGATCTCTCCAGAAGTCACTGTAGACCTGCTACAATTTCCCTCACTTTGCTGTGACACAGCCTTTCTTCGTTGGTTCCTCCTCCCTATGACTTAAACCTCTCTCCCTCCCCTCCCCTATCTCCATTCTTCCAGAAAATTCCTCTGCCATTCCCAGAGACTTGCAGAACACTGGGGTTTGAAATACATTAAATAGATTTTTTTAAATTAATAATGATCTCTGTTAAGTAACAAAAGTTTCATATGTGAATTGTGCACAAAAAAATTATAGTAAACTTCTGAGATAATGTTAGAAGGCTTATGTAATGATCAGGCTAGCTTTGATGAAGGAATTTGGGACTCAGGGTGAGAAGACAAGATAAGTTAGTAGACAATAAAATGAGTTGATTTATTCTGTAGTAGTTGGGAACTTGTTTAAAAAAATGGAGAAAGAAATTGTTGAAAACCCTAACTCCCTCAAGAGGTCTGGGAATCCTGTAGCTTACATGGAATAGAAACTGAAAGGGAATCGCTTGAACCCAGGAGGCGGAGGTTGCGGTGAGCAGAGAACATGCCATTCCACTCCAGCTTGGGTGACAAGAGCGAAACTACATCTCAAAAAAAAAGCATGATCAAATTTGAATCATAGCCAAATCTTACAAAAATTTTATGTGAAATATTTAATTTTGCCAAAAAAAAAATTGATGCAATGACCTCTACCCTTGTTCACCTTTTTTTATCTTCACTATGTCACAGAGAGTTTGGCACATAATAGATGATAAGTAAATTTATTTTGACTCTATTGAGTAAATGACAATAATATTTCACATTCTCTCAATATAATAGTTGAATTCTATGTGTACTTTCTTACTTAGCAGAGTTTCACTTCAAAAGGGGCTTCGTCCTCCACATGAAATACAACAGAGAGTCATTATGGCTAGTCTCAATTTTCCATACAACTTCTGCAATATTCCAAGCAAATGTGTTTCCCCAGTCAGGATTAATGACCAATGTTACACAGTATCCTAACCACATCTAAAGCTGGAATTTGCAAACATCCTTTTGGAACAAAGAAATTTATGTTATAATAGTATTTATCCAGTCTCATGATCTGGTAAAATAAATTCTTCACCACAACCACATTTTCCCAAAACCACATTTTTTGAGGCTGGAAACATCATCATCTCAGAAAGCACCCTAAAACACTGTAAGAAAAATTCACCGTGCTCGGTAATAGAATCTTATCATCCTTGCAATAAGAAGATACCGTGTGTATGAGTGCGAGTGTGAGAGTGTGCATGTGTTTATATGTGTGAGTGTGTACACGTGTGTGTGTGCATTTTCTCATGGAGACTCATCCACATGAAAATAGTTTCTCTTTGGATTTCATTACTAAGAGGCACTGGGTGATTGGTGGAGCTCATAGGCAGTTCTGGGGAGTGACAGGAAATGTCAGACCACTCAATCTGCCTAAGTTATAGCTGATAGGGTTGTTTATTTCAAGACTTTCTATAAATTAAGAATTAAATATGAAAAAGCCCAGAGACCTCCATTATAAAATGCACTATCTAAAATTCTGTAAATAATCCAAGTACAAAATATGAAGAGATATGTGTCTGATCAATCAAAAGGAGACATGGAATATCGCGTTTCCAGGCTGGATCTGTTTGATCTCTTCAAGCTGTTTTACTTTATGCCCTGTGTTATTCAGGGTTCTCTCTTTCATCTTATCATATGAATTGCAATTATGTAACATTTATCAGCAATCAAAATATTGGTTAATGCACCCTTTTGTCTCCACTGGCTAAGGGTGGATTTGAAGATCAACCCTAAATTGGCCTGCTTGGGAAAGCATTGAGGTTGTGTGTGTGAGAGGGTAGGGTTTGTAGGAGCGGAGATGCGGGAATCCCTGTTCCTGATTTGGACAATCTTGAGCACATCAGTTCAGAAAGTGTGAATCCATGAGACTCTGGACAGTTGGCCACGTGGAGGCACTGTGGCTTCACAATGCAGTGGGGAACCTTGGAGAGCGGTGGGAGGGTGACCCAGGAGAGGAGGGCTGAAGGGAAGCCTGGTTGTCTGCTGGCATCAGCAGGGCAATCTGAGTTCAGAGTGGATCCTGAGTTAAATACTGCCAGAGAAGGGTAGGGGTGCCAAAGGCCTCAATTTGCCCCAAGGAAAAAGTGTCTCTGTGTCTGTATGGACAGTGGAGGGTGCTGAGGCTGGGGTGTCAAGGGCTGGGGAATGCTTCTCAGGACAGGGACAGGGTGGGCAGGCATAGGAAAATAGGGGTTGTTGTGAGCATGTGGGCACTGTGCTGCACCTGCCCCACCTTTCGTTTAGGGGCCCTGCAGACCAGGAATGGAACATGGAATAGCAGAGCCTGAGGCCTGCCTAAGTATGCAGTGAGCTCACAGTGTCCTGCAGGGCCAGTAACTGGAAAGGCCAGTTTCCTATGGAAATGCCAGAAATATTCCTGCCCTGACTGAGGTTCAGGATCTGGTGGCAGCCTTTCCCAGGCACTCTCTGCTGCTTCTTTTTTTTTTTTTTTGAGGGCATCTTGCTTTGCTCTGTCACCAAGGCTGGAGTACAGTGGCTTGATCTCAGCTCACTGCAGCCTCTGCCTCCTGGGTTCAAATGATTCTCCTGTCTCGGCCTCCTAAGTAGCTGGGATTACAGGCACCCACCACAACGCCTGGCTAATTTTTTGTATTTTTAATAAAGATGGGGTTTCGCCATGTTGGCCAGGCTGGTCTCAAACTCTTGACTTCAAACAATCTGCCTGCCTCGGCCTCCCAAAGTGCTGGGATTACAAGTGTGAGCCACTGTGCCCGGCCCCTCTGCTGCTTCTTTATGTGACCTGTTTTAATTCTGACAGAAATCATTCAAAATAAGTATTATCTTACCTGTTTATACATTTGACTGAAGCAGCTTTCCTGGGTCTCACATACGCTTAGATGGAAGAAACCAGACCTGGCATTGGATAGATCAGTAGTAGTGTGACAGTAGTTAACATCAGCCAATTATGCATTTCAAAATAGTGAGAAGAGAATAATTCAAATGTTCCTAGTCTAAAGAAAAGATAAATATTTAAGATAATGCCTATCCCAATGACCATGATTTGATTATACAAATGTATCAATGATCATATCTACCTAAAAAATATGTACATCTAATATACATCAATAAATAGTGAATTAAAAAAAAGATAACTGGCCGAAGCCTGTTCCTCCAACACCTCTATCCACTGTTCCCACTCTGTAGATTTGTCCTCTCACCTGGCCTTCCGTTTCCAGGTCCCCATTAGCAGGAGGGGAAGATTATGCCACATATGTGATCATTATAGCCTCTCCACTGACAAGTCCAAGGAGGATATGACTTCCAGGCAAAACATCTTTTCATCTTTCATTGTGACAAAAATCAAGGTTCAGTTTTCTCCACTATAGCAGTTCTATGGGTGAGGCCATGTGATTGCTTTTATGGAGGCTGTGTGAGGAGGGAGGTTTCTCAGCTGCACAGCAAGGAAATAAGATGTTGTTTAAGGAAAGCACAGTCTTCCAGTACCTGATGCAATTTACCATGAGGGAAAAGACACAAATAATTGCTATTCATTAGTTAATTTTATTATTTTTTAATAAGACACAAAGTCATCTAAAATGCAAAGATAGTAGTCTGATAATTAGGTAAAACTAACATAAATGGTTGTGTCTTAAGGGAAAGTAAAAATGTTGCCCCTTACAGCACTTCCTGGTTGATACTGAGTCTGATATGCAAGAAGGTGTGATGCTCCCAGAAAGCTGTGAATTCAGAGCAATCAGCAATCCCACAAAAGAGCTGATAGAAGAATGGGCGGTTTTATTAGAAAGAAGAGGAGCCTCTAGTGCCTTCCACGACATCCTCACTGCCCACCTCTGATTTCAGGCTTGCTGTAGTGGACAGTTGTGTGCAAGTCCCCATTCGCCTCGATCTGGCAGTGCCCTTCCACAGGTGCATGCTGGGAGTCTCTCTGCTTCTTCCCCAGGGCTGTTCCATGATATTATCTGAGCCCACCTGGCCTGTACTCAAAGACAGCCAGAGCTCCTGATGCCCCTGCTGAGACAGAGGACTAATGCTCCAGCCTGCCCATTCATGCAGAAACTTCAGACAGCATTCTGTGTGCTCCTGAGAGGCCCTGATGGATTCCATCTCCTATTGCTCCAACACAAACTCTTTTGTTGTTTGTGCACTTTTATCCTGGCTTCTTCCTTCCCTATTTTATGTTTCGTTCCTACTTCTTCTTCCTGGAATCATTTCCCGAATAAGCTACATGCACCTAAGTCCCCATCACAGACTTTCTCTTCAGGGATAGCCTATACTGTGGCAGTGATGGGATGAAGCCACCATCCAAAGACCCTTCCCTTTGAAGGAGACCTTTGTTTTTCTTTTACTCATACCGCTACCCATTCGTTTAAAAAGTCTTATGATGACATATATAAACTAATCTCTTCCAGATTCATTTGGAATTATTCCTGAATTCTCAGCAGCCTCAGGATGGCTCTCTGTTCCCTTAAAGCTCTGAACCCAATTTGAACTGAATAGACTTGGGTTCTCTTTACAGAAGCAGAGTTTGCCTGGACCCAGGTAATCATTCATTCCATTTTTCTTCCATTCAACAAATCTTTAATGAGCTATAGGTGCAGAGTAGATTCAAATTTTGTGGGGCACAAAGCTGATACAATTTTAAGGAGCTCCTTGCAAAGAAGAATGCAAAATGACAAAGTGTTGGAAAGGTCCTGTGTGAGTGAGAAGGCCCGAGGTTATTCTTCATTGATTTCATGGCAACTACATAGGTACTGTCCAGGTACTTGGGAAACACCAGTGGAGAAACCAGACAGAGCTTCAAGTTGAGGTAGACACTTCCAAAAAATTGTTATAACTTATTATACTGAATAATAATTAAAAAGTAAAAGGATATATTCCCCATAGATGCTTATGTCTCCAGAGAAGTTAGAGTGCTGTTGAAAGTACTGACATTCTGGGTAGCTCACACCTCATTTAGGGAAGGATCCTTAGAGCTCTGGGATTCTACGTGCCGTATCCCAAAAATGAAAGTCCTGCACTGAAAAGATTTTTTTTTCCCCTGCCCTGGCCCAACCACGAAGATTGGCCCCTTTGCTTGGTCTCCCAGGACCAGATGAGTTCTGGGCATAGATGGGAAAGTCCTTCCTTGGCTTACCAGGCCCCAGCCACGGCCTCCCATGGGGATGCTCATGGGCCTCCTCCCTGTCTCCACTTCTGATTCTGTGTCCTCTCTCACTGGAGCATGATTGTGGGAATTACCCATCCAGGTTGCATCAAGATATGCAATAGATAATCTATTGTATCTGAAATAACAATAGCAGTGCTATTGACTGGATGTAAGTTTGGTGCCAAAGCACGTTTACACCTCCTCCAATCTTCTCCCATTTAGTGAATACAAGATCTTCTGAATGGAAATAGAACATTTCCCTGTGACCCTAGAGACTCCAGATAGTTGTAGTTCTGGGTGAACATTTCATCCACATTCTTAATGAGCCTCCTCTTTTCTTCATAGGAAGTACAGTCACTTATGGGACTTAGGTGGTGAGTGTTTGTGGCTTCACCTGAAGCAAAGGGAAAAATCATCCTCATGAGAACACACCGCAGCCTGAGCTTGGATGGTGAGGCTCCCATCAGGTGCAATGAGGTGCTACAGTGTGAAACAAGACTTCAAATGTTAAAGACCTTGAATCCACAACTTTGAAACCTTTCTGGATGTCAGTTGACTCTTTTAACCAAGGGTATCTCTGTAGGCTGAAATACAAATATCCAGAGGTTAAACAAAGTGGAAAATAATTCAACTTGGAGTTGAATTTTGTACAGAGAAGTCATAAAAGTCACCAGGACTGCTATGACAATGCTCTTTAGACTACAGAAATATTCATAAATGTTAAAACAGCATTCAAATGAAGAATTTAGCATAATGGGAGTAAAATACGCATAGAAGAACAAATTCCCCTATTAAAATCAGGGAATGAGATTACACATTTTAAGATTTCTTTCAAAACAGATCTACAAATTTTTCCCAATCTAAGCTTCTCAAGTATGTCTATAATAAATGATTTGTTCCTGTGGGGAAGAGAACAGATGTGGCAGGTTAGCTCTGAGGTTCAAGCATTTAGCAGGGACAGTGACATCATCAAGTCACTGAGAGCTCAACTTCAATTTGCCCACAGCAGGGCTGGGAGACACAAGATCCTGCCCTGGAGCTGAAATGGGCACCAGGCTCTTCTTCTATGTGGCCCTTTGTCTGCTGTGGGCAGGTGAGGGCTGGTCACAGGAGGGCCTCCTTCCCTGGAATTCCCAAGGACTCAATGCAAGCTTTTCTGTTGGGATGACAGCATCAGTGTCTGTTGTTCTCTATTACAGGACACAGGGATGCTGGAATCACCCAGAGCCCAAGATACAAGATCACAGAGACAGGAAGGCAGGTGACCTTGATGTGTCACCAGACTTGGAGCCACAGCTATATGTTCTGGTATCGACAAGACCTGGGACATGGGCTGAGGCTGATCTATTACTCAGCAGCTGCTGATATTACAGATAAAGGAGAAGTCCCCGATGGCTATGTTGTCTCCAGATCCAAGACAGAGAATTTCCCCCTCACTCTGGAGTCAGCTACCCGCTCCCAGACATCTGTGTATTTCTGCGCCAGCAGTGAGTCCACAGTGCTGCACAGCTGCCTCCTCTCTGCACGGAAACGGCAGTTAGAAAAACTGAGGTTGCCTGTGCACCCAAGTCTGGGCCCCACCCTGGGACGTCTCAGCCCCCATAGGAGTCACAGAGTCCTGCCCAGGTTGGGGGGGTGTCTTAGAGCAGGGGCCATATGACCCTCAGTGCTGTGGCTCTATTCCTACCCCTGTCTCAGACCATCTGGAGTTTGCCCCAACACACTAACCTTGCTGGGTCTTTCTTCTGCAGCTCTCTTTTTCTGCTTGCAGAATGGAAGAGATATTTTGTTGATATTCCTAATTCCCTTCATAATTTCAAAGCCAACATATTCTTCTCTCCCTTATGGGATCAGTGACTTCTTCGTGTAAACCTTACCGTATCCTCTACTACCCTTCAACTCACAGACACAAATCTTCCCCCATGTGGTCTCTGCTCCTGGCTGCCTTTCTTCTAAGGGCAATAGCCCTACAAGGTCATCTATCATTTGCCCTTCACCTGCTTCTCCATCATCATTTTTTTTTTTTTTTTTTTTTTTTGAGACGGAGTCTTGCTCTGTTGCCCAGGCTGGAGTGCAGTGGCGCGATCTCGGCTCACTGCAAGCCCGCCTCCCGGGTTCGCGCCATTCTCCTGCCTCAGCCTCCCAAGTAGCTGGGACTACAGGTGCCTGCCACGGCGCCCGGCTAATTTTTTGTATTTTTAGTAGAGATGGGGTTTCACGGTGTTAGCCAGGATGGTCTCGATTTCCTGACCTCGTTATTCACCCGCCTTGGCCTCCCAAAGTGCTGGGATTACAGGCGTGAGCCACTGCGCCCAGCCTCCATCATCATTTTGCATTAAGTTTCCCCTGGCTTTCTGCTTTAGCCACACTCCCCTACATTCAGTTACAGCTTCGTAGGTGTAGTGTTGTTTTCCACCCTGGGGATTGTTTATGAATAATAGATTATTTCTACTTCACTGAGCATATGTGCCTCCAACTTATTCCCAGGCCTCTACTTCATTCCTTACATAAAAGTCTATTTCAGGTACATTTACTCTTAACTGTAAAAAGCAAGACAAATTTTATGAGAGAAAAATTAAGAAATATATTTTTAGCACTCATTTGAGGAATTAGTTTTTTAGATGACACATAAGAAAACCACTAGCCATAAAAATATTTGAGGCCGGGCGCGGTGGCTCATGCCTGTAATCCCAGCACTTTGGGAGGCTGAGGCAGGCGGATCACTTGAGGTTGGGAGTTCGAGATCAGCCTGACCAACATGGAGAAACCCCGTCTTTACTAAAAATAGAAAATTAGCTGGGCATGGGGTGCATGCCTGTAATCCCACCTACTCAGGAGGCTGAGGCAGGAGAATCGCTTGAACCTGGGAGGCGGAGGTTGCTGTGAGCCGAGATCATGCCGCTGCACTCCAGCCTGGGCAACAAGAGCAGAACTCCACCTCAAAAAAAAAAAAATTTGTAACTCCAGTTGCATTAAACTAAACTTTTGTACACCAAAACATAGCATAAGAAATGAAATGTTAAGCCACAGCACAGGAAAAAAATGAGGAATGCATGCAGATGATGAAAAATCAGTGTGACAGAGAAGAGTCAGGCTCACCCATGGCTCCTCTATGCTTCCTGGCCTCATTTGCACTTGGAGGGCTGGGAGCATGTCACCAGGTTCTGAATAGTGGGAGGTGAGTAAAAATAATGTTAGCCCAATTTCAAGTCTGGCCCTTAAAAATATCCTGTAGGTCCATGCTGAGGGTCCCTAAGCGTACTCCCGTGTTTAGAGATGTGGTATATGGCATAGAGTTGTACTCACAGCTAAGATTTTCTAACATGTCTTAGTAAGTTGTCAGCAGCAGATCATATGGAGAAAACACAGGTGGAATCTGAAGGAATCCAAACTCAGGCCTCCTTATGCTGTCTTCCTCCCGGGGAGGTCACACAGGGTTCTCGCTTCACTCCGTAGCAAAAATGCATTAACACATGTGCAGTGTTTCTACCAAGTGAGTCCATCAGAGACTCAGCACTCATGAGGTTTCAGAGGAGGCTGGTCACAAGCACATACTGCCTAGCATTAACCAAAAATTCAGACTCCAGAAGGAAATCTGGTGTTCAGTACAATACTGTTTGCAACACCAGTCTAGGCACAACGAGCCGCTCCTCTCAGTTAGGAGAAACTTTGCCAGTGCAGGGCACCACTCATCAGCCAAGTGGCCAAAGATCAGCCAAAGTTCAATCTTGCAAGCAGGCAGTCTCAAGCCTGCTGTCAACTCTTTTCTGCACAGACACTCTTCAACTCTCTTTTGCCATGTGTGGATGAATTTGGGAGGTCATGGCACAGATTATAAACTGGAAGCAGCTTGGCTCCCTGGGTCATAATTTGGTGGACAGCCATGGAAAAAAAGCTGCTCATGCCCCACTGGGTTTTGTGGTCATGAGAGGTAAGACTTGATAGAGTTCAGCCACTGAGATTTTAGGATTTGTTTTATTTTTTTTTTTCTGTAGCATAGGTGTCCTTTTCTAATAAACTTAGTACGTAAATGAGTAAAACATTCTTATTAATAAGACGACAGCCCAATAAAAATGGCAATACTGAAGCTAAATAGGCAATTCACACAAGTGAACATAAGTTACCACTAAACATGAGAATAACTTTTCAACCTTACTTGTAATCAGAATATAGCAACCTGAAATAATAAGTTATGATTCAAAAATTACTAGATAGGAAACTTTTCAAAGGAGTGACAGTCCTAAATCTGAATAGACATTTGGACTAATGAAAACCGTTTATATATCCACTACAAGAGATAATGACAACCACATCAGAAAACCCACTGTGGGATATATTGTGACTAATAGCATTTCTTGAGAAATTATGAGTGTATATAAATCATTTGGGCTCCTTTTCTTGTCTTTAGGTTCAATCGTAGAAAATTCAACTTTAAGTATTTATTTTTCCTATTGTAAAGGTAGTTTTTTAAAACAATCTTTTAAAAAAGTGGGCTGGGCATGGTGGCTCACACTTGTAATCCCAGCTACTCAGGAGGCTAAGGCAGGAGAATCGCTTGAACCCAGAGGCACAGGCTGCAATGAACCAAGATTATGTCACTGCACTCCAGCCTGGGCGACAGAGTGAGACTCCATTTCAAAAAAAAAGGGTGGGTGGCAGGGGGAAATATGTGTAACATATAATTTTGTCACTTTATTTTTAAATTGTACAATTCAGCAGCATTAAGTACATTCACTATGTTGGGAAACTGTCACCATTATCTGTTTCCAATTTTCTTTTCATTGCCTCAAACAGAAACTCAATACCCACTAAAGAATAACTCCACATACCCCCTCTTTCTGCTAACCTCTAATCTAATTTCTTTCTGAATGAATTTGCCTATTGCAGATTATTTATGTGAAACCATGCACTATTTTTCCTTTTGTGTCTTGTATCTTTCACTTAGCTTAATGCTTTCAAGGTGCATTCATATTGTAGCATTTATCAAAACTTCATTCCTTTTCATTTCTCAATAATATTTTGTTGTATGCATATACCACATTTGTTTATCCATTCATTAATTGATTAACATTTGGGTTGTTTCTACCTTGTAGATATTGGGAATAATGGTGCAATGAATATTGGCCTGAAAATATCTGTTTGATGCCCTGTTTTCAATTCTTTTGGGTATATACCCAGGAGTGAAACTTCTGGGTCCTTTGGTAATTCTATGTTTCTCCTTTTAAGTAACTACCAAAATGGTTTTTTTTTGGTTGCAGCTGCACAATTTTAGATTCCTACCAGCAATGTCATTTCTTCACAGAATTGCCAGCATTTATTTCTTGTTTTTCTTTTCAAAAATATTATTATGATGATGATTACTATTTTGTATAGCCATCCTAGTCAGTGTGAATGATATCTCATTGTGGTTGTGATTTGCATTTCTCTAATGACTAAAAATGTTAAGTGCCTTTTCTTATGCCTATGATCAATTTGCACACCTTCTTTGGAGGTAATGTTTTTTGTCTGATCGGCTTTTTTGGGGTCTCTCTTGACTTTAGAATTATGTTGGTGTACTGCGACAATGCTAAAAGAAATTGAGTTTGAACTTCATTTGGGAGGTTTGTGGTTGGTAGTGTTTTTAGTGCGGTACTTCTTAAACATTTTTAATATACCATAGAAGAGAGAAAATGATTACATTTTGATATGATTTGGCTGTGTCCCAACCCAAATCTCATCTTGAATTGTATCTCCCACAATTCCTACGTGTTGTGGGAGGAACCCTGTGGGGAGGTGATTGAATTATGGGGGCCGGGTCTTTCCTGCTGTCTCGTGATACTAAATGAGTCTCTTTTAGATCTGATGGTTTTAAAATGGGATTTTCCCTGCACAAGCTCTCTCTTTTATGTTGCCATCCAAGTAAGACATGACTTGCCCCTCCTTGCCTTCTGCCATGATTGTGAGGCCTCCCCAGCCATGTGGAACTGAAAGTCCATTAAGCCTCTTTTTCTTCTCAGTCTCTGGTATGTCTTTATCAGCAGCATGAAAATGAACTAATACATATCGTGATTTAGGGAACTCCTTTTTGGATTGAATTTAACTGGCAACCTCTGAGCTTTCTGTACCTGGATATTGCTAACTTTTTCCAGATTTAAGGAATTTTCAACCATGTTTTATATATGCTTTTGGGACTGGAACAGGATATGGACATTTTTCCAATGCATCACTCCACAGATTACTACTCAGTTACAGAGGGTAAAAGACATATTAAAAATGAAGAGATCCAGTGTCAGTTACCTCAAATATACATTGACAAAACTGCATAAAAATGACATTCCACATTCTTGCGATTGACCAGATGCAATAGGAAATACACATCATCTGTGGTGTATATTTGCCAAGTAACTAACCTCTAATAGTATAGAAATTCTTGTTGTGGCTCATTTTACAACTAAGCTGACCTAGGCACTTCAAAAACTTATAATCATGAAAAACAGGAAATATAATAAGTGGGTGGAAGAGATGTATAATTTAAAAGTAACTAAGGAGAACTGCTAACCTCATGAAATACGTGATCTTTGATTTTGTTCTAGAGGAAAAGTGAATCAAAACCAAGGGACATGCTGAGACAACTGGAGAAATTTGAATGTGAAGTATGTACTAGATGACAATGCTATGTGAATGCTAATGTTTTGGGCATAATAGTGACATTTGTGGTTATATAAGATAATGCCAATTTTTTAGGAGACTCATTTTATTATTAAGGATAAAATGCTTCAGAAATTGAGGGCAAAATATATAGAGAGAGATCAAGCAAAATCACAAAATGTACAATCGGCACACAGATATACATTTTAATATTCTGACTATTTCATTATTCTCTCACCTTTTCCATAGATGCTCAGTTTAAAAAAATTGAAGAAAAATATTAACAGACCAAAATAAAATGTTGGTGTTATTTCAGAGTAATAATGTTGTTGGGTATTTCTTATATTCATTTTTAATATATTTGAAATACTATGTCATTACCATAAAATAAATATATCAAATAAGGTATCTTTTAGTCTAGAGTATACTTTTTTAAATAGGAGACAGGCTATGATTTTTAAGAAAGTCCCAAAAGAAAACAAGAGAATTTGCAGTCTGAGGACAAAGCAGCTTGGTATCTCTGAGACCAGTGCAAAACTTAGCTAGTAATGCATGTCAAGAGGCCTTTTAGCAAATATACAGGACTGTTTTCTCTGTATCAAGAGATTCTGAGTATTCTACAGTTTGGCTGAAAACTCAAGAACTTTCAAAGGTGACTGAATGTAAAGAGAAGAGTAGTGATTTTCCAAAGTTAGGGCTGGACAATATGTATTTGTTCAACAAAGAGGGAGGCTGTCTCAGTTTGTCCTCTGCTGCTATAGCAGAATACCTGAGGCTGGGAAAATGTATAAAGAAATTTATAAGGAAAAGGGCTTTATTTGGCTTGCAATTCTGGAGGCTGGAAAGACCAGTAGGGCATCAACATCTACTGAACTTCTTTTGAGGGCTTTGTGCTGTGTCACAACGTGGAAGAGAAGTGGGAGAAATGAGCAGGCCTGTGCAAGGAGAGCCAGGATGAGCAAGACCCTCACTTTATAACAGCCTGCTTTTATGGTAACTAATCCAGATGCTGGAGAGAGAGAACTGACTCCTGGCATTAATCTTTGATGAGGGATCTACTCCCATGACCCAAACAATTCCCATAAGGCTCACACTACCCCAGAAAAATGTGAGCAATGTGCCTGTAGCAACACCACTACATTGACGAATAAGCTTCAACATGAATTTTGGTGGGAACACACCATAACTAAACTATAGGACAGGCTCTAGCAAGACAGTAAGAACAGATGGAACTGGGAAAAAATTTTCCCTGGTTTCTCACAAACACTGTCCTATATTAGCCCTGATTCTATTGAAGATAGTATAGAAGTCCCACCAGTATCTCTAAGCCATGGACCGAGGACCTAAGTCCAGTGACACTGGCCATCAGAAGGCACTGGGGTTTGATGATGCTCAAATGTTTTTGAAACAGCGCTCAGTGCTGCCTGAGATGTTAAGTTTAAAGGAAAAGTGTGTATACTAGTATCCAGTATCTTGTTTGCAGAAGTTGTGAGTAGTCAGTGAAATGTGAAATATTAAAAAAAAAACCCTTTATCTTTCATTGGTGCTGGCATGTTCTGCTCAGCAGTAAAATCTGAACTGTAGCAAATCTTTGAGTGGAGACTCTTCTGGGCTTGCATGGGAGGTAGATGGAGGAGGACCAGGAGCCAGCCTAAATGCTCAGAGACCCATGCAAAGGGAAAATGACTGGCTCCTCAGGAGAATTCAGAGAAATGTGAGCAATGCACCTGTACCTCACACCTTACCTATTCTAGTCGTGCTCTGGACAATGTATACGATGATGTAAGGGAAATATAGGAGAGTGGACAATTCTAGTTTATGCCAGATAGGCTATTCCAAATTGCAGGTAGTAACTACAGATATTCTTAACAAAAACCGGATTTCCCAGGGCTCTGGCCTTTTCTTCCCTGAGCAGCACAATGACCAGTTCCTGCCTTGACAAGAATTCTGTCATAGATTTCTCAGTTGCGCTGCCCAGGAAGCAGATGAGGCCTGGGAACAATGAGGAATGTCTTCCCTGGACTTGGCATGCCTCACTTGCAAGCACACCACATGCAGGTCCTGTGGACTGATAGGCTTGATAGACAGATAAGTCCTGTTTCCAGCTACCAGCCTCCATCCCCTGAATGCTGTTGTCACCCAGAACTGTAACCCTGGTCACAAAGATGGAGCAGGTAGTGGCCCCTTAATGTGAAGAAATTTTCCATCATGCAATTATTACCCGGTGCCTACATGAGTTGGACTCAAACCAGCAGATTTTTACCTCAGTAGTAAAGGATTTATGACAGAAACGGATGGCTCTGGTAATTCTATACCCACAGGTATTCACCTGATAACCTTGACATGTGTCCCCTAGGTTTTGCGGGTTTGGTGGAATATCTCTGAGTGCACCTCACTGAACACATATATCCTCATTCCCACCTCCCTGGACGTGCATCTCCTTGTGTTATTGTCTTATGCCAACTCTGAGGAGCGCCATCCCCTAACTCCTTTTATTTCTTATTACTCAGGCAAGGAATAAAAGTGCGTTTGTGACTAATGTTGCCCCATTAGAAACAAAAAAGAGATAATGACCACTACTGTTCAACTGTAATTTACACTAGAGGTATAGCTATAAGGTTATTTTTAGATTTCAGCAAGTCTCTTTGATTTTGCATTTCTTACAATATATACTGATATTTTCAGGGATAAGAGAATTCCCCACCTATCTTCGATAAAAATGAGAACTTACTTTCATTGCACTGGTGACCCAAAACTACAGGCAGAACCATGATGAAGGCTTGGTACACAATGTATCATGAATGATAACAGTAAAGAGGAAACTGTTCATCGGCCTTCACTAAAAATGAACCCTTCCAACTCTGTGCCCAGGTTATTGTTTTATCCCTTTAGCTTACAGCGCGTCAGCTAATTCAACAAGCTTCTAGGATAAACTTGTGTCAATTACCCCAGCTTCTAAGTGCATAGGACAAGGAAGATAGAGAACCTAGTAAAAGAGAAACACCCAAAGAGAAGGATAATTGCTGATAAGACAAAGAGGTCACTAACTGATATCTCTGTTTCGAGTTGCCTTCAACTCGAAACATCCAGCAGAGGATGGGCCTAGAGATGGAGTAGGAGATCCAGTCCCCAAGCCCTAGAGATGTGAGTGAGGACACTTGGCTGAACTTACACAGTCTGTGAATACGGTAAAGCAACTTCGTGCTCTCTTTTAGCTTATAATAATTGGTTTCTAACAATGTAGGCATTTGTGGAGGCAATGATGTCACTGTGGGAACTGCCATGAGAGGACAGGGATGTCCCTCCTCCTTTGCTGTTGCTCACAGTGACCCTGATTGGGCAAAGCTCCCATCCTTCCCTGACCCTGCCATGGGCACCAGGCTCCTCTGCTAGGCGGCCCTCTGTCTCCTGGGAGCAGGTGAGTCCTAGGAACACCATGATCACATTGGATCTCTCTGATTATTTCAATCATTTCCTTCTGTTTTCAAATTCTGTCTTTTTCCTTCTCAGAACTCACAGAAGCTGGAGTTGCCCAGTCTCCCGGATATAAGATTATAGAGAAAAGGCAGAGTGTGGCTTTTTGGTGCAATCCTATATCTGGCCATGCTACCCTTTACTGGTACCAGCAGATCCTGGGACAGGGCCCAAAGCTTCTGATTCAGTTTCAGAATAACGGTGTAGTGGATGATTCACAGTTGCCTAAGGATCGATTTTCTGCAGAGAGGCTCAAAGGAGTAGACTCCACTCTCAAGATCCAGCCTGCAAAGCTTGAGGACTCGGCCGTGTATCTCTGTGCCAGCAGCTTAGACACAGTGTAGCAGAGACACTTCCCTCCTGTGCAGAAAACCAGAAAACCGCAGGACTCTCTCCTCTCTACTCAGCTCACAGCAGCCTTTCCTTATTCCTCATCCTCCCAAGGAAGAAGTGAGTTTTCAGATATAGCTAGGACTCATATAGTGGGAGGAAATAAACTTTTTCTTTTCTTTTCTTTTTTTCTTTTTGTTTTTGAGATGGAGTCTTGCTCCATTGCCCAGGCTGGAGTGCAGTGGTGCGATCTGGGCTCACTGCAGTCTCTGCCTCCTGAGTTCAAGTGATTGTCCTGCCTCAGCCTCCCCAGTAGCTGGGATGACAGGCATGTGCCACCATGCCCAGCTAATTTCTGTATTTTTAGTAGAGATGGGATTTTGATATGTTGGCCAGGCTGATTTCGAACTCCTGACCTCAAGTGATTCGCCCTTCTCGGCATCTCAAAGCGCTGGAATTACAAGCTTGAGCCACTGTGCCTGGCTGGAGATAAACTATTTCTTAAAACATGAAGGCTGCAGTTGTTATTTGAAAATATGTCTAAGGAATCTGAAACACCTATCGGTGAGAATTCAAGAAACCAAAACTGAAAGTGACTTATCACAGACTTAGTCTTCTGGGGTACTAATAGTTGTTCTTGTATTTAAAAAATGCATACAATATTTTATATCAATTAAAAAATACGTAAATTTGAAAAATAAAAACATGCAGTCAATAAACATGTGTGATAAACTTTAATAATACAGATAATGATTGTATGTGAGTAACAATCAGCAGGTTTTCTCTCTGCAGTTGTCAGCATATGAATAATTTGAATCCTATCCTTGGTGACACCCTGGCTCTGGAGCCTCCTCTAGACCTCTCATTGGATGTATTATGCAACCAAATCTCAACAGGTACTATGTGTTTGGAAATCTTTTTCCCCTGTTTTTGCGGAAATATGCTAATAAGAGTAATGTTAAAGATGATGATGTTGATAATTTCAACTATTTCATTCAGCACCCTTTAAATTTCAAAAAAATGCACACAAATGGATATCCTGGCAACGAGTCCAAAATCTTAGCTCAAAATGAATTCTGCTACTCCAGAGCTTTCTAACTCTTCCATGTAACAAACATATCCCAACATTATATGGGGCTGGGCCAGCTAGTTCAGAGACTGATGAGGACACTTTCACTTGTCTGTCCTCATATATTAAAATAGCTCCTTAGTTGATATGGTTTGACTGTGTCCCCACCCAAATTTCAACTTGAATTGTACCTCCCAGAATTCCCACGTGTTGTGGGAGGGACCCGGGGGATATAATTGAACCATGGGGGCCAGTCTTTCTCATGCTATTCTCATGATAGTGAACAAGTCTCACGAGATCTCATGGGCTTATCAGGGGTTTCCACATTTGCTTCTTCCTCATTTTCTCTTGCCGCCACCATGTAAGATGTGCCTTTTGCTTCCTGCCATGATTCTGAGGCCTCCCCAGCCATGTGGAACTGTAAGTCCAACTAAACGTCTTTTTCTTCCCTGTCTTGGGTATGTCTTTATCAGGAGCATGAAAACAGACTAATACATCAGTGCATTAGATATTCCTGAAAGAACTTCAGAAGCAATTAACTGCCCCTGGTCCAGTTGCCTCCTCTGATAATGCACTGTGTGTGTCCAACTCTAGTCTCTACCCTATCTTCTGCCCAGACTGTCTTGTACTAGAAATCATTCTGAAGTATTGGTTAGAATGTTTGGAAATGCAGCTTCCTGGGAATCTTCTGAAGGACTGTCACTGTCCCTCAGCCCCTCCTGACTTCCCTTTCCATCCACCTGACTGCAGGTCCTAACTGATGGCCATGAACTCACTACACATCTCCCTTCCTTCCCTGCAATTTACTCAGCTAACAACACCTCAGCCAGGTGGTGGGTGACCATGACCATCCTCCACTTCCTTGCCAGAATTTTCATTTGGTTCTTTTTCTGATCTATAAGGTCACCTTTTACGGTCAGTCATTCCCTCATAACCTTTTTTGAGTGTATCTTTTATTTCGTTGAGCATAGGACACTCAGTTATTTCAGTCTGTCTGCTTATTTTCACCTCTGTGGTCTTTGTGGACATTTTTGTATGTGTGCTGCTTCTCAGTCATTTGTTTGTATTTTTCCTTATAAACCTGATTATTTTTGACATCGTGCCAGACACTATGGCTGTAGAAATAATTTCTGGTCTAGGATGGATATATCTTTCTCCAGAGATAATTTTATTGTGCTTTGTAAAGTGCATGGATGCATAAACAATCCAGGACTCCCTGGAACAGAATTAAAGGCTTGAGGTGTCCTGGAGACCCTGGAGGACAGGCTTCCTTCTAGTGCATTGATTCTATTCAAGTCCCTCAATGGTCACATTAAGTAAGTTATGGTCTTTGCCTTTACCCCTCTGGACTGTGAGTCAGCTTCCTTAGTGCTGGGCTGGGATCAGCAAATGCCCATAAGGGCAGTGACTGCTGTGCTCACTCCCGAGGCTCCTGCCTTCTCCAAGATTCTGGCCCAGTTATTCCTCATCGTATCTTTAGGATATGAATTAGTTGCAGTTTGTTAGTGTGGTTATTTTACTCAAGTACATAAATAATAACAAAAGCATTAATCTGAGTTCCCTCTTCTGTAATTATACAGATTAAGGTCAAAACATTTTATCTGAAGTTTTAATTTTCTTTGAATTTTAACGTCAGATTCTTAGTCTGATTTGTTTGATATTTGACTTAAACAGCGTAGAGATGTTATACAGAAACTTTAATTTTAAGGAAAGAACTTTTTAAAAACTTGAAGTGGATTTATAATCAAATTGGGACCCTTATTTGGTTTTGAGGTTTTATCATTTGAGTATTTTTATGTTATTTATTACATAATCTTTGATGCTTCACTGGATCATGAGACAAGATGAGAACAGAGAGTGAATATTTAGACTTGATCAGAGAGCACAAAGTGAACATGGAATTAGTTTCTGTTGATGAACAGTCCAACTATGTAAAATATTTAAAGACATTTATTCTGAGCCAAATATGAGTGACCATGGCCTGTGAAACAGCCTTCAGGAGGTACTGAGATCAGTGCCCAAGGTGGTCAGGGTGCAGCTTGGTTTTCTACATTTTAGGGAGACATGAGACTTGAGACTTCAATCAAACACAATTAAGAGATACATTGTTTTTGGCCAGAAAGGCAGACACCTGGAGGCAGGAGTGGGGAGAGGTTCCAGCTTAAAGGTAGATTTAAAATTTTTCTGGTTGACAATTGGTTGTCTCTCAGGTTAAATTTTAAAAGAGCCCTGGCTGGGTAGGAAGTCCATTCAGATTATTGGGGGCCTTTTAATTTTATTTGTGGTTTACACTTCATTTCTGCATTGTTGTGATCCATTTGTGCCATGTTTTTTGAGTACACCTGAGGGCCAGGGGTCAGAACTAGAGGGAGTCACAGATGTGTGACTATCATCTTTTCCTACTTAAGCCCAGGCTTCTGGGAAAACACTGTGCTCCACATTTTCCATTTGAGGGAACTTGCCTAAAGCAATGCTCCAGTTTTATTCTTTCTATTGCTTGCCAAATCTTCCCTATGGGAAGGGAAATAAGTTATTTTATTTAGTCTCCTCTTCATCTGAGGTTCCTCTCTCTTCATCCTCTCCCTTTCATCCTGGCTACTGGGAATAAAAGCAGATTCTTTTGGTGCTTTTTTAAATGCACTAAGATCAGTGGGAAACTTTCTTTTCCTTATAGGGATGGCCTGTAATTTGGAGGGGAGAGAGAATGGATTAAATTCTGATTCAAGACAGTGTTGGTCGGTCTTTTTGCCCTCCCATCTGAGCCGGGTTGTTTATGGATATTAAAACTGATATTATGTCTCCATCTGTCAGACTGTAATGTCCATCTCTCAGGTGGTTCCATCTTAGGTCATAATGTTGTTTTATGACCCTCCAACACCACAAATTATGGTATCTCGTTTCCCCATGGCTCAATAAAGGGAAGTGCAAGTCCTCGGTCTTGACAAAGAGCACATTTGTGCTGTTCCTGCCTACTGGCCACCAGGAGGCACTGTGGCTTCACTGTCATCCAAAGTCTATGGGGGAGGGGCTGGGATTGCTCCCTGGAGGATCCTTAATGAAAACCCTGGAGTTGGACCTAGAGTCAGGGAGCTGGGTTGGAGGTACCTGCAATGAAGGCTGAAAATAAAGGGATTAGAGACCAACCCTTTTGCCTCTTGATGCGGAGATGGGTTTTGCTGTAAATTGAGATTTGAATAGGGCTCTGAGTGGCAGATGGGCTTGCAAGTGGATGTAGGTCTGAGCTCACTGAAGACGTGGAGGCACAAGGAGCTGGGGTGGTGCGGCGCCGTGTTCTGGGCTGGGGAAAGCAGAAAAGCAGTGTTTGTGTCACAGGAGCCTTGTAGAGCCTGGCCCCAAGCCGGCCGAGGCTAGCCCTACCTGTTCCGTCGAACGTAGAGGGAAGAGCAGGTAGAAATGGAGGCGCTACCCTGGACCATGTCAGGGGGAGCCTGTCCTCAGGCAGCTTCAATCACAATGATGCTACCAGCAGCATATACACTTATTAGCAAGGCTTAGGGTGGAGTAGGACAGAATTTTCTCCCCCAAGAACCTTTGCTCAGGGCGGGAAAATGCCGCAGTCTAGTTCTAACTCTATTACTCCAGATGCCTCTGTGTCCCTGGAAGAAGGTGGGGTCTGGGCATATAAAAGTTTTGTTTGTTTTGCCTGGGTTGATTTCGTTTTTCCATGTGATCGTGCATCTGACTCTACCAGTATTTTGTATCCGGCTTCTGCCTCTCTCTCTCATGAGTCCCATGGCTACTATAAGGTATTCAATTTCTATTGCTGCTGTAACGAATTACCACTAACTTGGTGGCTTACAACCACACAAGTATTACCTTACAGTTCTGGAGGTCAGAAGTCCAAAATGGATGTTACTGGGCTAAAATCCAAGCGTTGGCAGGGCTGCATTCCTTCCTGAGGCTCTAGGGAAGAACTGTTTTTCTCTCCTTTTCAGCTTCTAGAGGCCACCAGTGCTCCTTGGCTCATGGCCCCATTCAATCTTCAAAGCCAGCAAGGACTGGCTGAGACTTTGCTCACTCTGCATACTCTGATGCTCACTTTTCATCCTCCCTCTTCCACATTTTAGGACCATTGTGATTACATTGGGCCCCTATATTAAGGTCAGCTGATTGGCAAGCTCACTTCACTTGGAACATTAATTCCCCTTTATCAGGTAATTTAACACATTCCAGGGATTAGGCCTGGGCATGGTTGAAGGGGCATTGTTCTGACTACCAAACCTAGGCACCTGGTAATAGGGAGGAAAACGTGTTGGTCACCTTAAAAACTGATTGATGACTACCGTTTTACATTCTGGATCTAACACACACAACAAAGGGATGGAACCCACAAGGAAACAGACACCTCAGGTCACACAAGCTCATCTGTAAACTATTTGCTCCTTAGGATGGGCAAGTCCCCTGGGGCGCAGGGGACTCAGCTGTATGCCTCTGTGCCAACAGCGAAAATGTGGCCTTAAACTGCTCCTTCTTCTTTGTTAGCAAATAACCTAGTTGACCAATTCATAGAGCAGAGGTTCTCTCAGTTCTCTATACTCTACACCCCGAGAGGAAGTCAGTTAGTGAGATGTAAGATTCTTTTATAAGAAAAAGACCAGGTGTAAAGATTAAGAAATGCTGAGCTTTGCTAGAGGTAAGAATAAGATGTAAATCAACTCTGGAACATTTAATTTCCAAATCTTTGTGAGAAAGACAATCTTGTTTCTGATTTATTGTGTGGATAGAGAATGTGAGAGATTCTGTGCTCTGGGCTTTGCAAACTCAATAGAGTTCAAGGATCAATAAACTCGGAGAGACCCTTCACTGCAAAGAAGAGCTTTGAAATCTAATGAGCTTTCGGGACACTGATTCAGCTCCTGTATCTTTAACAACGCGGTTGACATGCTTGCTCTTCCTGGGTAACTCAGATGCTAACTTCTAACTCATTTAAAGGCATTTGAAGAACTAGGAGCACAGAGTCACCAGTGAGAGGAAGAGGAGAGTTTGCAGAGAAGCTGGCTTGCAATAAGGCAATGAGTTCATCTTTAAATACTTGGAGTTTGAGGTGCAGATGGATATAGTTGGCAGGCTCCTAGGTAAGGCATGTTATGGAGAAGGTGCTATGAATTGATAATATCAAAGCAAATCTACAGGGATCCTCTGCAAGTGTGCATCTGTATCTCAGATCAATTATAGTTGACTTCAGTCCTGCCTGATTCATCTCCCAAAAATGTAGTCTGCCTGATTCATCTCCCAAAAATGTAGCCTCCGCTTAAAGGAGCTTTCAAGTTGGGGGTGGTGGGCCATTCAGTGTTGTCACTAACAGATGCATCTTGTGGGGGTAAAATGTCCCAAAGTATCTTTTCTTGCTTATGTTCATAAGGGCGCTGGTCTGGAATGTGCCACATCTGTTCTCACTCTGCCATGGACTCCTGGACCCTCTGTGTGTCCCTTTGTATCCTGGTAGCGAGTGAGTCCTCATGTATTTATCATCCTCATGCTGGGCCTCTGTATAGATGACTTCCTGTATTTTCCTTATTCTGTTTCCTAATTTTGCGTTCTTTTATAGCATGCACAGATGCTGGCATTATCCAGTCACCCAAGCATGAGGTGACAGAAATGGGACAAACAGTGACTCTGAGATGTGAGCCAATTTTTGGCCACAATTTCCTTTTCTGGTACAGAGATACCTTCGTGCAGGGACTGGAATTGCTGAGTTACTTCCGGAGCCGATCTATTATAGATAATGCAGGTATGCCCACAGAGCGATTCTCAGCTGAGAGGCCTGATGGATCATTCTCTACTCTGAAGATCCAGCCTGCAGAGCAGGGGGACTCGGCCGTGTATGTCTGTGCAAGTCGCTTAGCCACAGCGCTGCAGAATCTCCCCCTCCCTGTGCAGAAACTCTGGTGCTTCCTCTTTTCCTCACAGCTCCCAGCAGTCCTGAGCAAAGTCTTTCCCGCCTCACCCTCCCCACAAGAATAATTAAGTGGGTTTGGGGCATGGCAAAGACATAAGATGATACAATATCAACATACAAAATCTTGTGTAGGAGATAATGTCGAAAATGCATTTTGCAAATTTCTCACAAATTGTGTATGGGGTCATAACTCACACACAGGTAGGATAAACCTTAATTACCCACACCGTAGGTTTCCCTGCCTTCCTGTATTTGACACTCCCATCCAAACAGTGGGAGCTCTTGAGAATGGCTATGTCTTGTGAACTACTCTGCCCACTTCATTCCCTTCTCACTCTAAGCCATGAACAGAAATTTCCCCTACAAGTACTCTTTATTGTAAATGAAAGTTCTTTTCTATGATTGTGGACATTCCTTTATAATGCTAATTTCAATTTACCATTTATATACGGATTTTTACATTAAACTTAAAGAGATCTTCAGTGTGGATAATACAGGCAGTTTAATACATTAGAAGTAAGCTACCCCTCTTGGCCTACAGGGATCCATTTGTTTCTATCTTGCATAAAGCAAGCCAGGTGCTAGCTAAAGGTCTGTGTGCACTCACAGGACACTGATGAGATCTCCTCCACTGCCTGTTCTGGAACTATCAATATGAATATACACAGGGTGTCTAAAAGCACACAGGGCCTGGTGTGGTGGCTCATGCCTGTAATCTCAGCACTTTGGGAGGCTGAGGCGGGAGGAATGCTTGAGGTGGGGAGTTCAAGACTAGGCTGGGAAACAGTGAGATTTTGTCTCTAAAATATATATATATTTTAAAAATTAGCCTGGTATGGCAGTCTTAGCTACTCAGGAGGCTGAGTTGAGAGGGTTGCTTGAGCCCTGAAGTTCGAGGCTGGAGTGAGCCATGATCATCGCAACAGAGTAAGACCCCAAATCACACACAAAAAATAAATAAATAAAGTTAAAAAACATACACAGGCCTGGCCAGTCTTACTTGGCCCTCTTTCCTCCCTGATGCTGTGTCCTGAACAGCCAAATCTGTATTTTTTTTCTTCTGGTTTATGATACACATTTCTACACAGCACTTGCAATTTATTATGAAGAGTTATAATGTCTTTCTTCTATAGTAGTATTTACATACTGATGATTTCTCAACCCCTATCAGTGTATCATCGGCAATTGTTGCAAAATGTGCCTGTATTTTGCATGCCCAAGACAATTTGGGTTTACCCGAGTTCTTCGATAGAGGCCCTGGTTTCGCTTGTCACTGTCCTATTTTTGTTATTCAAAGACTGAGACTTTCAAGATCAGAATGATGCAGAATGAAATTCGGGGTATCCTTTAATGTACATCGAGAGACCTACTCTGTGTTTATATATTGTTTTGGTGTCTTCCTTGCTCTTTGGGCTTCTCTCTGTTGCCTCCAGATCATTTTCCTTCCTCCTTTGAAGCCCAGCTCCTTTACACACATGACATTAGAACAGCACCCTTCTTTGCTGCACTTGCTTCTTTCCCTTCAGAACTCTCTTCTCATTCAGTCCTTCTGTCTGCTACTAATCTTGTCATCATTCCTAATGGCTACTCATCACACAGACCATTTTTCATTGGTTTTGCTTCTCACTTTCTTGACTTCCTCACTTTTGACATTTTATCCATTAATCCTAACATTGTATATCTGACAAGGAAGATATTAAAAATCACATGTTTTGAATCAGTGAATCAATAAACAGGTTTAAAGAGACAAATGCAAAACAAAATTGTCCAGAGCTGCTGTTCTGGGCTGGACTACGGATAGATCATGTAAGAAATAATAAAATCATCTGGTAATTTCAATTTATCTTTAGAATCTTTGGACAGAACAGCTCCAGGGGAGTCAAGGGATCATAGATGGTAAGAGAGACAAAGAGGTTAGGAGGTGAGAACTGGCTAGGGTGGCAGTCCCTAACCTAAGGTTTTCAAGGATAATATCAAGGTCCTCAATTTCTTTTTAATATTTTTTGAAAGTGAAAGGAAATTATGCACATGACCCAAGCTATACATAATAAGGAAATTGACTCATGTCTTTGCTGAGATGGAATTATATTAAAGTTCTGTGAAATTAACTTATGGGCTCATCTCATGCTGATTAAAAACCCTGATTGACAGCGCTGTGTGTTACAAAAATGACAAAATAAATGATTACTTTAAAAACATTATTTTAAAAAATTAGCATTTGCCAAGAGTGGGGGTAAAAAATGACATACTGCCAGATGGTACAAGGAATGGAGACGTTTGAGGCTTCCAGAGCCTCTGACCTAGCTCACCCCACTTTCCCGGGCCCGATGTCTTCTAAAGTTCATCTGTGCAGGGAAAGGGAAGTGTAGTTGTGCAGGAAATACGGCAGGTTAGGAAATCACAGGCTCTAGAGCTTTTACAGGCTTTTACATCCTGTGTATCTGTGCTATTTCCACAGTCTGCAACAAACTGTATTCTCCCCAAACAGGGCCAGACACTCCTCATCTATCAAGGACTGACTCACATCTACCTTCCTCTTTGCTTCTTACCCTGACATTCCCTGGCCACTGCAGTATATCATTCTGTTTCCTTTACATTCAGAGGAAAATTCAGGTATATAATTGATACTACTCGATGTTTGTGAAATGAATAAATTAATGTCCATTTATACAGAGCTCTGAAATATTATCTATTACTGTTTTCCCTTCAAAAGGGGCTCCTTTTACTTGAAATATGATGGAGAGTCATTATGGCTAGTCTCAATTTTCCATACAATTTCTGCAGTATTCCAAGCAAATGTGTTTTCCCAGTCAGGATTAATGACCAGTACTACCCAGTACCCTAACTATATCTAAAGCTGGAATTCACAAATGTCCTTTTGGAACAAAGAAATTTATGTTATAATAATATTTATCCAGTCCTATGATCCAGTAAAAGAAATTCCTCACCACAACCACACTTTTCCAAAATCACATCTTTATGAGTCTGGACACATTATCAGGGGTGCATTTCAGAAGTCAACCTAAAACACTGAGAGAAAAATTTGTTGTGCTCAGTAATAGAATCTTATCCTTGCAATAAGAAGATACCATGTGTGTATGTGTGTGTGTGTGAGTGTATATGTGAGTGTGTATGAGTGTGTGTGTGAGAGTGTATGTGTGAGTGTGTATGAGTGTGTGTGTATGTGCATTTTCTCATGCAGATTCATCCACATGAAAAAGTTTATCTTTGGATCGCATTACAAAGAGGCACTGGGTCACCTGGGGAGCTCATAGGCACTTCTGGCTAGTGATGGGAAATGTCACACCACTCAATCTGCCTAAGTTATAGCCAATAGGGTTGTTTATTTCAAGACTTTTTATAAATTCAGAATTAAATATGTAAAAACTAGAAGCCCCTTTTATTAAATGCACTATTTAAAATTTGGTAATAATGACTCTAAATACAAAATATGAAGACACATGAGATATTAAATATTTTTCCAAGATCATTCTGCTGGATAGCTTCACACTGTTTAATTGTATGTCCTGTCTTATTCAGGCTCCTCTCTTCCACCTTATCATATGAATTGCAATGACATAACAACGATTAATTTTGCAATCAAAATGTTGGTTAATACACCCTTTTGTCTCCACTGGCTAAGGGAGGATTTAGAGATTAACCCTAAATTGGCTTATCTGGGAAAGCTTAGAGAGGGTGTATGTGAGAGGGTGGGGGCTGCAGGAGCGGGATGCAGGGGTCTCTGTTACGGATTTGGACAATCTAGAGCTCATCAGATCAGAAGGTGTGAATCTGTGAGACTATGGATCTATAGCCACTTGGAGGCGCTGTGTCTCCGCAATGCTGCTGGGAACCCTGGGGAGGGGAGGGCAGGTGACCCAGAAGAGGAAGGCTGAAGAGAATGCCTGGCTGCCTGCTAGCATCAGGTGGGGGCCATTTGAGTTCAGAGTGAGTTCTGAGTTTAACACAGACTCCTCACTGTCCAGAGAAGGGTAGGGGTGCGAAAGGCCTCAGTTTGTACCAACAAGAGAGTGTCTCTGTGTCTGTCTGGCCAGTGGATGGTGAAGGGGCTGGGGCATCCAGGGCTTGGGAATCAGTGTCAGGGCAGGGACAGCGGTGGGTGGAGTAAGGTGTGACATGGACATGTGGATACTGTGCTCCACCTTTAGTTTCGGGACCCTTCAGGGCAGGAATGATACATGGGGTAGCAGAGCCAGGCACCCACCTAAGGGTACAGTGGGCAAAGGATGGCCTGCAGAGGAAGTAAATAGAAAGGCAAGTTTCCTATGGTAATGCCAAAACATTCCTGCCCCCACTCAGAAAAAGACCATGAATGGGATGTTGGCAGCCAGAGGGGCTCAGGATCTGGTGATCCGACAGGCCTTTCCCAGGTACCCTCTGTTGCTTCTTTATGAGACCTGTTTTGATTCTGACAGAAATCATGCAAAATAAGTATTATTTAACTGTGTATACACTTGACTGAAATAACTTTCCTGGGTCTTGTACACTCTTAGATGGAAGAAACCAGACCTGGCGTTGGATAGATCAGTAATAGGGTGACTGTAGTTAACATCAACCAATTATGCATTTCAAAATAGCTAGAAGAGAATAATTCAAATGTTCTTAAGGTAAAGAAAAGACAAATATTAAAGTGATGCCTATCCCAATGACCATGATTTGATTATATTAATGTATCAAAGATCACATCTACTAAAAAATATGTACATCTAATATGTATCAATAAATAGTTAATTGAAAAGAAGATAACTAGCTGAAGTCTGTTCCTCCAGCACCTCTACCTGCTGTCCCCACTCTGCAGATTTGTCCTCTCACATGGCCTTCCCTTTCCAGGTCCCCATTAGCAGGAGGAGAAAGTCAGGCATTATATGTGATCACTATACTCTCTTTGCTGAAAAGTCCAAGGAACATATAACTTCCAGGCTAAACATATTCATTCATCCTTCATTGTGACAAAAAAGAGAGGTGCAATTTTCTGCACCATAGCTGTCCTATGAATGAGGCCAGGTGATCTCTTTCATGAAGGATATGTGAGGAGAGAGATTTCTCAGTGCACAGCAAAGGGAATGGGATGTTTTTAAAGGAAAGTGTAGTTTTCCTGTACCTGATGTAATTTATTATGAGGGAAAAGACACAAATCATTATTATTCATTAGTTAATTTATTGATTTCATAAACATTTTAAGCCCCCTGCTTTGTACAAGGGATTGTGCCACATAAATTTAAAAGCGAAACAAAAAATAAAATTTAGAAAAACAGATAAGACAATTTTTAAAAACAGTATGTTTCTCGCCTTTGACAATATTAAGGCAATTAATATGGAAATGTATTTATTGAATTATTTTGAAATTTATATTTTGCTAATTCAAAATACTTTAATGTTTCTGAATTATACAAATGTCCTTTTTAAAAATCTTTCTCTTTAGTTACCTACCTCCTTTTACCACCTTTTTAAAAAAAATTTTAGTGAGAACATTTAATATGAGATCTATCCTCTTAACAGGCTTTTAAGTATATAGTAGAGTATCGTAGTCCACAGACACAAGGCTGTACAGTAGATCTCTAGAACTTCCTCATCCTGCTTAACTGGGAATTTTATACCTGTTGACAGCAACTCCCCATTGCCACCAATCCCTAGCCCTTGGAAACCAATGTTTCAGTTTTTACTTCCATGAGTTTGACTATTTAGGTTGCCTCATAAAAGTAGAAAAAGGCACGGTGGCTCACGCCTGTAATCCCAGTACTTTGGGAGGCCGAGGTGGGCACATCACATGAGGTCAGGAGTTGGAGACCAGCCTGGCCAACATGGTGAAACCCTGCATCTACTAAAAATACAAAAATTAGCTGGGCACGGTGGCAGGCGCCTGTAATCCCAGCTACTCAGGAGGCTGAGGCAGGAGAATCATTTGAACCCGGGAGGTGGAGGTTGCAGCGAGCCGATATTGTGCCATTGCACTCCAGCCTGGTCAACAAGGCGAAACTCCATCTCAAAAAAAAAAAAAAAAAAAAAAGAGTCGTGCAGTATTTGTCTTTCTGTGTCTGGCTTACTCAGTTACCATAATGTCCTCCAGGTTTATCCACATTGCCACATATGGTGAGATTTTCTTCTTTTTTGATATTATTTCCTTGTGTGTATATAACACATTTAAGGTCTGTGGTAATAAATGCATAGTATTTGACTGTTTCTATAAAACCACACATCACACGAGTAACAGGGTCATTTGCAGAGGTGCAGGCTCTGAGTACATCAATGCACCTTTATGGTTCAATTATGCTGCACGGAGAAGATTCAGAAAAAAAAATCATAATTCCATCCTTTATTGTCATTTTACTATACACAAAATAGAAGCCCTTCATTTGCAAAATTGCAGTTAATTAGAAATTCAACTGTCAGAAAAAGCCTTAAGACACAAATGCTATTCTCATTTTACAGAGAGGAGGGAATTGACCCACAGGTTAAATAACATGATCACATTAAATGGCTATTAGGATGCAGTACCGGGGGTCCAGCTCTGACCTGTCAGTCTCTAAGCCCTGTGTTTATAGCTCTGTGCTATAAGGCATTTTCATGAAGAGAGACGCCTACCTTTCAAAATCAGAGTATTTGCTCTCTACATCCCTTTCAGACCTGCTGGCTCCAATAACATCACAGACAGAGATGAATGTATCCTGGAGACAGTATGGGGAAAGAACTCTGAAAAGATGCCATGGCACCCAGCCCTGACTCCCACTCTAACACCACCACATCACTAACTGAGACCAGCTCTTGACAGGTTAACTTTAGTTTGGTTTTTGTTTTGTTAATCTATAAAATGAGACTAATACAGTCTATCTATAGGGCTGTATATAGAATTTAGTATCATAAAATATCTAGCCTATAATAGGAATCTAAATCTCTTGATTCCCTTTGTTAATCTCAGACAGCCTCTTCCACCCTCACCATGCACAAAGGCAGATTCAGACACACTCTGCCTAGAAATCTTAAGCTGAGAACTTAGAAGTCACAGAAGTGGAAATATATATACCTGATGATCCCTCACATGAAATTAACTAAAGAATGTAGCATACATACCTCCTCAGATAGTTAAAAATCAACTTCATTAATATATAGATTATATAAACATTACACATTTTAAGTGAACTGATGAGTGATTTTGGAGCAATATATGTGTATAGACCCTTCAATCCCCATCCCTATTAAGATGCCGAACATTTCCATCACACAGAGAGTGTTCTCATTCCTCTCTGCAATGCCTCCCTCCATCCCTGACAACCAGTGATATTTATCACTAGAAAATTGTTTTGCTCAGGTATATTTTTAATGGAAATTTACAACCTCTAACTATTAAAACACTTCCTCTTTAGTACACAGGTAAATATTCAAGAGAGGGAGGTGCTCCCAAAGATATTTATGGCTATTCCCCTCAATGACAGAATGGATAAAGAAAATGTGACACATATACACCATGGAATACTATGCAGTCATATGAAAGAATGAGATCATGTCCTTTGCAGGGACATGGATGAAGCTGGAAGCCATTATCCTCAGCAAACTAATACAGGAACAGAAAACCAAACACCGCATGTTTTCACCTAGTGGGAGTTGAACGAAGAGAACACATGGACACAGGGAGGGGAACAACACACACTGGAGCCTGTCGGAGGGCGGAGGGTGAGAGGAGGGAGAGCATTACGATGAATACCTAATGCATGCGGAGCTTAAAGCCTAGATGACGGGTTGATGGGTGCAGCAAACCACCGTGGCACATGTTTACCTATGTAACAAACCTGCACATTCTTCACATGTATCCCAAAACTTAAAGTAACATTTAAAAAATTAAAAAAAAAAAAGATTTTTATGGCTTTAGAAGGGTGTCAAACACTTCCAGAACCCTGAGAGACACCTGATCCACGTTAGGGATAATCCTGTCTGGAGATAGACAAGATGATGAAATGACACCAAAAATCTTCCCACATGGAAGAGGCTATTTCCACATAATTTGTTCATTCATTTTCATTATTTTTTCTCATACACTCATTCACTTAAATTATTTTATAATGATATTCTGACAAAAACTAATCATCTCCAAGAACATTATTTTGAGTTTCCATCAGACAATATTTAGCTGTGATTCAGCTCTGCTTCCTGAGCACATAGAGTGCACTGGGGCCAAGTGAACCATGTGCAATAGTGACTACCTTGAGAGATAATGTCACATTGAGAGAAGGGGTCTCTCTTCCTTGACCGCAAGTGTCCAACCCATAAAACGTGAGCCTTGAGCTAGAAAATTCCCCTTTCTGTTCTGGCGCTGCCTGGGCACCGGGCTCTTTTGCTGTGTGTCCCTCTGTTTTCTGGACCAGAGAAATACTGGGCACATATGTGGCATCTACTCATTGGTTTGTTGGACCCTAGCTTGCAGATAATAGTACCAGGTGTTCCTTTGCTGTGACTTTAACTTCTGTGTTCTTCACAGGACACAGTCCCATTGATGGGATCCAAAGTACCATTGATACTGAGTGACCCAGACCCTGGTCATGTACTTGTGCTAAAAAGGAAAACAGCACATGGGGAGGTGAGCAGAATATGAAACACAATTATGGACTCAGAACCAGCCATACAACTTATTAGCATCCCGTTGGTTCAAAATATCATAAGAATTTGAAGAACATGACAATGTTATACTGACTGTGGCGTCCTAATAAGTGTGGGACTCTGTGCACCAAGATATGTTATTTGAATTCCTTTTTATTGATTACTAAATTAATGGCAGGAATCCCACACAAAGGGATACTCCCTATGAAACATGACAACTCAAATTAAAAAAGAGCACTCTTCCTTACTCTAAAGTCTGCCCTCTCTCCCCGAGTCCCTCACGCATAAGGCCACATTTGTGCCCCTAGGTCATGGGCAGCGCTGGTTGGCCACCATCGTCCACATGTAGAAGGCAGTCAGCAACGTGAAGTGGTTCTGCCTACTGCAGTCTCACCCCAGACATGGAAAGCAAGAGCCCTGGGTGGAGCTGAAGGTGCTCAGCTGGGTTTGTCAGAAGTCTCATCTGTCAGTGAGTTGACAAGAAACAGAGCAAAACGACTCCTCCAATGTTGACGAGCCTGCCCCTGGGATTTGGAAACTTCATAACAGAAAAAACCAATATAGACAAAGGATTTTAAACAGGATTAAGGTCAATTAAGCAAATTAGAAAAGGACACTTGAAGGAGTATTTGGGACAGGGGAATCAAAAGCACCAGGAAGACATGAGGAGTTTCCCTAAGACTCTAGACTACAGCACTAGCACTATGTAGATAACTAACACTAAAATATTAATTATATCATTGAAAAAATAAAATTTACAGTGAATTACAAACTGTTTCCAAAAGGTCATGAAAATCTTGTAGACTTGTTTCAATTCAGACAGATGTGTTCTTCTCATTCTCAGCTGTTCACTGGTGCATTTATTTTGGATTTGACCATCTGGGGAATGGGTGTGGCCTCTCCTGGCCTCTCCCTCCCTGGGGCCCAGGCAGGGAGAATGTCTCAGAATGACTTCCTTGAGAGTCCTGCTCCCCTTTCATCAATGCACAGATACAGAAGACCCCTCCGTCATGCAGCATCTGCCATGAGCATCGGCCTCCTGTGCTGTGCAGCCTTGTCTCTCCTGTGGGCAGGTGGGTCCTGGGCAGAGCCCCTTGTGTGAATTTCAAGGCCCAGCGCCTTCCCATTGGGGCTGCAGCATCAGCTTTGTTCTCCTTCTCTGCAGGTCCAGTGAATGCTGGTGTCACTCAGACCCCAAAATTCCAGGTCCTGAAGACAGGACAGAGCATGACACTGCAGTGTGCCCAGGATATGAACCATGAATACATGTCCTGGTATCGACAAGACCCAGGCATGGGGCTGAGGCTGATTCATTACTCAGTTGGTGCTGGTATCACTGACCAAGGAGAAGTCCCCAATGGCTACAATGTCTCCAGATCAACCACAGAGGATTTCCCGCTCAGGCTGCTGTCGGCTGCTCCCTCCCAGACATCTGTGTACTTCTGTGCCAGCAGTTACTCCACAGCGCTACAAGGCCGTCTCCTCTCTGCACATAAAGGCAGGGAGGTTCTGCCCTCCTCCCCCACCCAAGACTCAGGGATGCCCTGGGCAGAGATCTCTGCGCCAGGAACCTTGGAACCCACAGTGGCCCCAAGTGGCCTGGACAGTATGAGCCTTGCTCTGTGCCAGGTGCCTCTGCAGGCATCTCAGCCAGGCCTGGACTGGTCCCAGGTCCTCAGATGTCTCCTTTGTTGCTTTCTCTGGTCTATCCTTGGAGCTTTCCTTTTGGGGTGGGGCCAGGGCTTTCCCAGCTCCTACTTTTCTACTCATTATCCTGAGTCCGAGGCCCCCAGGATAAAACAGGATTTGCATTTCAGATCCATCTAGACTCCCGTCTCTCCCTGGTGACCCTGTTGCTTCCTCTCTCTAATGTTTCCCCCAGCCCCCACCCTCATGTTTTCTCTCCTGTGGCCCACCTTTCCCATCTGGGCAGTCACCCTCCAAGGCGTTGCTGGGTCTCTCCTCCCCCCACCTCCTCGCCCCTCTCTACTGCAGCCATGAGGGGAGCCCCTGTTCTGTGCCTCCTTCCTTCCCATCACAGAGACTTCAAAGGCCATTTCCTCTGCCCTTGCATGGAGCCTTCCTTTCTGCAGTGGCCAGCTCCTACCTGTCCTTCATATCTCAGCATGATCAACCCCTCTTGTGGGAAGCGCTCCCTCCCCTCCCATCTGAAATCAACTTTCCTCTCATAAGCTGTCACAGATTCATGTGTCTGTTAGTAACCTTTAGCACAGCTTGGCTTTCTCAGATACTTGTCTGGTTATTTTTGTACTCCACCCAATTTTTAAGCCCATGAGAGCTAAGGCTGTGCCTGCTGCATTTACCAACATTGGTGTCTGGCATGTAGGGAGACCCATTTCACAAAGAATGGATGAGTGAATGACAGGCTGAGTGAGTGATGAGTGGGTGGATAAACCAATAATAAAAACACACTACATCTACTGTAACCTGGCAGAGATCTAGCATTAAGTACAAGAAAGCCCATCCCTTTGATTGCTGGGCTCAGGTCGGTCTTGGAAATTGATGGGGAATCACTATCATGGCGGCCACACCTGGCTCAAAGCTTCCTCTTGTGGTTGCAGAGCCTGACCTCCTCCAGGTCTCTGTGCTCTCCTTCAGGGTCTTTCCCCACAACAAAGCGAGACAGATCAGAGATCCACTTCTAGAATTCCATCCTTAAAGGTTGTTCCTTGAAACCACTTCTGGTAAGAAAATCTCCATTAAGTTTGCAACAATAAAACAGGGCCGCTACAAGTTTGAGAGTGTAACAAATTTACGATCAGAATTAGACTTTATGCATATGTGGGAGGAGCTGAGAAAGAGAAGGTCTGGAGGAGAGAAGTCAGAAGGCGAGGGAGCCAGTCAATAGCCAGGGCTCCTGGGGGTCTCGGCAGGACAGGCTGGATTGGCAGGGACATGAAAGGATCAGAGTATGCCAGGACATGCAGTGGGACCTTGAACCGGGGGCACAGGAAAAGGCCAAGGAAACCTGCTTCTGGGGAAGCTGTTCCCACTCTACGGGGGCCACCCCTGCAGGTGCACTGCCAAAACAGCAGCCTGGCTGCTGTTTGCCAGCATTTGGGAAGATGAACTAGACACAGAGTGCAGAAGGAACAAGACTTCCTAGGTCTGTTGGATGCCTCTGTATCTGCTGGTCACAGACTCTCACTGTCTGACCACAATGACCTGCCAAGTCTAATAGTGACTGCTTTTCATCTGTCTTCCAAATTTTACCAAATGTATCCTTGACCATCTCTAACCCAGAATGATAAGAGAAATGGCATTCTGGGAAAGGCAGGCTCTTGCCTTTGCAAAGCTGACTTAACTCAATTCAGCCCATGATGGATTCTTCCAGATTAAGGCATCAGATCACACAACTGCCTCAACCTGCCATGGTCCCTGGACTCTTCTCCATGGACATCTGTGTTGCCCAGGTGAATGTGGACACAATTTGTATGTGGATGTTCCAGACACTGGCTACTAACTTTTCTTTTAATCCTGTACCTGAAATCTCCCTCCACCCAGAGGGTCTATAAATGTAAGAGATTTATTTTTTAAAAAATAGAAATTTGAATTCTATTCTGAATCTTTCCTTGGGACTGGCCAGAGAGCATTTTTGACCTACTAACCTATATTGTGGGTGTATTTGGCCCCCCAGAGTGCAGCAGACACTTCTTGGGCCCATACATTTGCGAGTTAGACTGGAGATGCCTGTAAACATGAGAGATTCTTGGTGTTGTTCCCTCTCAGTCCCGGCCTCTCTGGAATGTCGCAGACTACCATCAAACAAATAGATCCCCAGTATGAAGTACATAAGGACACATTAGGAGTTAGCAATGAGGAAATGTGAGCACAAGCAACAAACGTTTGAAGTGCAAACCCGAAGACTCAAAATTTTGGCATTATAAGATATGAAAGTTTGGAGAGCTACATTTAAATGAACATGAGAGGGAAAAAGAGAAACAAGGAAAAAGAGAATGTCTGAAACCATCAAGTAACTTTCATAAAAATTGTCAAATAATATATCTAGAAATTCCTCATACAACCACTGAAAACAAAATGGAAAGTCAAACAGTTGATTAGCTGCTCCTATGTCAAAGATGGATCTGCAGGAGTGATCTAGAATGCAGCACGGAAAATTAAAAGTGGAATATGAAAAAGTTAAAGAACAGGGAAGAAAAGAAATGGATGTTTCCCATATATTAGAATATGCAAATTTTTCATAAATTACCATTTTTTTTGCATATGATTGCAGTTTCAAATAGATAAAATAGGTAGAATGTTATGAGGTGATATTTATGAGATGTTAGCTGACAATTATTTAGAGGTGTTTAAGGACCTAAATTCAGAGTTTCCAGAATCAAAATGAATCTCAAGTAAGACAAATAGTCAAGTCATAGGGAAATTGTATAACATGAGGGACAAAGAGAAGATTTTGAAAGCAGTCAGAAAGAAAAGACAGATACCTCCCATAGGAATAGATGGAGAACAACAGTAAGTCAAGATAGTGGTTAAAAATAACCATTAGCTCAATCGTCATTCTCCTTCATTAGAGGTGAGATTGATTAAAAAAAAAACTTTTATACGTGGAATATGAAAAACCACCACTGTGAGTTTGCTACCAAGTTATCTTTTCTGAATTACAGTTAACAAAGGTGGGAAATGATCCCAAAGAAAGGCATGAGGGCAGTTCATGAGGGAACGCATGTGAGGGGACAGTCCTGTTGGGCACGTGTGACTGGGGGAATGGAGGAGGCTGGGGCATGAATGGGGATGGCAGAGGGGACCCTGACTTGCAGGAAAGACAATGAGCTCACCCTTTTGTGTTCTATGTTAGGGGCACTGTTGGTGCATCCTACAGGACATGCCTAGCAGACAGAAGAGCAGCTGTGGGCTGGCAAGATGAACTCAGAGATGCAGCGTGAGGCCTCCGGGTCCAGACAGATCTGGAGCCCAAAGCAATGAGCCATGCATTGATGTTGTTAAAAAGGAGCTTATAAATATTTAAAGCAGCACCCAAATGTGTTCTAATAGAAATGCTGGGGCCCTGAGGTCCTGGGGATTGACAGAGGAAGTGATGTCACTGTGGGAACCGCCCTGTGGAGACAAGGACGTCACTCATCCTCTGCTCCTGCTCATAGTGACACTGACCTGGTAAAACCCCCGTCCTGGCCTGACCCTGCCATGGGCACCAGGCTCCTCTGCTGGGTGGTCCTGGGTTTCCTAGGGACAGGTGAGTCCTTAGAACACAAAGTAGTTTCAGTTTTTTTCTGTGTGTAGGCTTGTGTGTGTGTGTGCGATGACTACAAATATTTTCCTTATTCTGTTGCCAAATTCTATTTCCACAGATCACACAGGTGCTGGAGTCTCCCAGTCCCCAAGGTACAAAGTCGCAAAGAGGGGACGGGATGTAGCTCTCAGGTGTGATTCAATTTCGGGTCATGTAACCCTTTATTGGTACCGACAGACCCTGGGGCAGGGCTCAGAGGTTCTGACTTACTCCCAGAGTGATGCTCAACGAGACAAATCAGGGCGGCCCAGTGGTCGGTTCTCTGCAGAGAGGCCTGAGAGATCCGTCTCCACTCTGAAGATCCAGTGCACAGAGCAGGGGGACTCAGCTGTGTATCTCTGTGCCAGCAGCTTAGCCACAGCGTGGCACAGTCGCCTCCTTTCTGCTCACAAACCTCATCCTTCTCTCTCCTTGCAGCTCCTACAAACCCTTAACAGAGGCCTCTCTTTGCTCCTTACTTTTCATGGGAAAAAGGTAGATTTGGACCTCAGCTGTCCTTTGGGTAGAAAGAGACCGCAGATTCATTCCTGAAACACAGTGAGTGCAAATGTAGGTGGTGAAAACAATCAGAGCCCACTGCGCTCTGGGAGTCCTCCGAGCCAGCTCACTGTTCCAAGCAAGGAGTCAGTGTCTTAGCCTTGGCCTTCAGGGCAGACATGCATCTTCTATAGGTCTTGGAGGCTGCTGTGCTGCCCACATCCATGAGGTTGTCATAGGCAGGAAACACGCCTCTTCTTCATATGTTGGGGCATTTGGAAGGTCTGAGGCTACATCCCCAGGAACATCTTTCTTCAGAAGCCTGTTCTACCCCTGTCACCTTGGAAGTTTCTTCAACAAAATATCAAACATCTCTTCCTATAAAGTAAACGTCTTTGCAAATTTGTGGTCCTTATTAATAAATACAATGGTGATAACAATAAGACTTCACTTCTTCTGCCTACTTTAAGCCACGTGTATCCTTTATTTTGTTTGCATTTGCCATTGCTACTGTCCTGATAGACAGAAGCGTGCATTCACCACCGCTGCCCATTCACCTTGATTCCCTCAGGAAATCTAATTTCTAGACTCTGAGGGTTTTCATTGCTGTCAAACTCATTTGATTTGAAATCATTTTCCTGAGGCCTTTAACTCAAGAAGTGTTTTATTTATAATATTGAATATATTTCTTTTTCTTTTATTTTTCATATTATATTTTATTATATAGTACTTGTTATAAATAGAAGTACAATGATTATATTGTAATAGAATCTTCAACTCGTCTGTGGGTGCTGCTGCAGTTTGTATCTATGAAAGCGAATGCACTGGTCAGAGCTGATGTGATTATGGATCATGGGTTTCAGGGAGTCTTCGGCATCAGACCACTTCTCCAAGTCTGGGACTCAGTGTCCCAGATGCAGCCATGATAGAGGTGCCCTGAGTCTTTCATAGCTAGGAGGGGCATCATAGCCCTCCCAAATTCTCTGATCAGAAATTGTGGTGGTACAGACACCAAATTTCTTTCCCCAGAGAATGATGATCTCTGGTAGGGAGCTGCTCTAGACCCAGTTTTTATTGTGCCATCATCAAATCATTCCTTGCTCAGGTACCCTCTGTCTCCTGGGACTGAGTAAGGCCAGGGCACAGATGGGAATTCCTTGTCTTCCTAGACCTTGTCTCTAACTGCTGCCACCTTCCTCCACGTGACTCCTGAGACACCTACTCCTAACAGTGGACAAGCTCTGACACTGAGGCTGAACAGAACACAGTCCACAATTGTAACCGGTGCTGCAACAACATGAAACAAAAGCAATCAGGACTTGCAACTTATACAGAAAATGAACATAGAAGAGTAGCAAAGGGCAGATATTACTAATGGACAAATAGGAAGGAATCAGTTTCTGCTCTAATGAAATCATTCAGTTGTCTTGAGTTAAGCAGGATAAACATTTCATTGCAATTACTTCAAGTCAAATGTAGCAGCTCCACAACCAACCAACATAGCTATTTGCTTTGTGATCTTGGCAGCTTCAAAGGACTCAGAAATCCTTTCTCTGCACAAACATCCCTTTGTCCATTCCAAGACCCAGGATCACACACTCTGATCCTATCATGAAAACAATGAGGTGTGCTATACTTGCTGCGGCCTCATTTTTTGTGTGTTGAGTAGGAAGCACTGAAGAACTTTGAAAGCTTTGCTCTTGAGTCTAGGGATGTGCTGGAGCCAGCTTGTATGAGTCAGAAGAATCAAATAGGCATATTACTCTTCCCAGCTCCCAAGCAGTGAAGCCATGTTGGCCACTTGAAATCTACCATGGTGGGTATGCTGGTACAACCGAAATTAGGAAATGCTACCAGACATGCCCCCACCTTCACAGACACCCAGTTTATCAGCACATCCCTGGGGTATTTTCTGATGTCCCTGTTATGCCATTTCTTGTGGGGCCAAAAGGGCTCAGAATTCACCTCCCCTCTACTTTTGTTCTTAGAAGCCATCACCTAAGGGGGCCTCGATTGTTCCTATTTCTATTCAACCTCCAGATTCTCTTGCTCTGTAATTCTGTGTCTCCTGCAAGCATGCCAGTCTGGAACATGACAACTATTTTGAATGTAACTAAAGGTATCACTGAACCAGTTCATTATTTACAAATTATCTTTCCTCGCATAGAATATTCAGATGCTGGAGTCATTGGCAACAGAGATGGCCAAGTAGCAACCATTCTTCTGTGGCAACGAGAGACCCTGTAAAAAGGACAATTTTGCTTTGGAGACTAAGCACCTCCACACCAGTCAGGAATGACTCTGCTTTTACTTTAGGCTGAGAGGTCAGAAGGGTCAGAATACTGAGGGTCAGAGGCCCTCAGTATTCTCCTTTCCAAGACAGAGTATGGCCACTCTCCATCTCAGTCCCTGGAAGGTGTCCGGAGCTCCCTGAGAATCCCTGCTCTGGGGCAGAATCACCAAGGCTCATCCTCGCCAGCTCCCCACAGGCTCCAGCAGGGCTTTCCTGCCAGGTGCAGGGCACAGGAATGGCTCTATCTGTCTCTTGGTTAGAGGGAGGCTATGCAATGATGTTTGTATAAGAGGGACTGGGATTCTGGGTCTCCATTAAAGTATTTGATAATATTTTCTTTGTTTTTTGTTTTATTTTGCCATCTCACCACTTAGGAGAGCAATCCCTTGGTAGTTATATTGTTTTTGCACTTGGTAAGGTTTTTGTGGTTAAGTCACATTAAGAAATTGTGCCTTTTTTTCCTGTTCAGCTGTAACCCAAGGCAGTGAAAGAAACAGCAATAATTTTGAAAGCAGTTACTTATGCATCCTATGATAAAGGTGTTAAGTTCCATTGCCCACATCTAACTTTCAGTCTAGTGGAAATGAAAAGGCACAGTTAGGGGGCATGTGAGCCTGCCATGAGAGAGGTCAATGCCAATTGAGAAGTCTGTGCCAATCCCCAGTACTGTGGGATTGAAGGGGAGGGAGAGATGACCTCTCCTTCAGACCATACTCAACAAGGAGGGAGAGGGAGTTCATCCATGGGAACCTGCGGAGCAGCAAATCCCAGGGGCATCTAACTCAGGGTGCAGGAGCAAATCATTGGAAATGAAAATGGTCCACTTCAGCTGTCACAGGAGACAGGAGAAAGAAAAGTCATACATTCCACAGTCCCCTGGCTGATTTTCTTCCTTATGATAGTATTTTGCACCAGCGTGTCCTCATCTCCCGCTGCTCCTCTGCCTCTTTCATAATCATCTCTTCCCTCTTTGCTGCTCAGATCAGTGGATGTGCATTGTACAAGCTGATCATTTCCTGTAGCAGCACCTTTGCTGGTCTTACTTATGTTCATCCTTATTTTGTGCATTAGGTATTGCTCCCTCCACCATTGCTTATTTCCTTGTAAGAGGTCTCCTTTATATATTTCAATTTTACTTTTTATTAATAGACATTTTTAACTTCATCTTTTGCTTATCTATGCTTTTGGGGTAACACTGTCATTTTTGGAGGGCATTTTTGTTTATCCTTAGTCATTCAGATTAAATAATCTCTTTATACCTCAACGTCTGTGTTTTCTTACTATTTAAAACCAAATATTGTTTCCTTTCATTCCTCTCCTTCTGTTCCTCTTTCTTTAGATGGTAGTTTTAAGGGAGAAAAAGTTAGACTATAACTGGAGCTATGTGATAAGAGTTATTCAGAATGAGGGTGGGATATTAAGATTGGTAACTCAAAGCAATAGTCAGGGTTAGAAGTAGTGTTGGGATGAGGGTTTAGGGAAGCTGCTCATAAAACCTGCGGGATGGCACTTCTGGAATATTCTGGCAGCTCGCTCTGTAGACATTTCTCAGCAGTCCTTGGGCCATTACAGAAGAAACAATGATGAAACTTCACTTATTGGCCACAAGATGGCACTGTGGTCCACTGGGAACTAAAGTACTCTGGGCAGTCTGGGAGAGCAGCCTAGGAGGGAAAGGGTTAAGAAAAATTCGGGCTTGGATCCCATATTATGCAGATGTTGCAGCAGTTTTCAGTTATTGCTAGGCTACCTACAGCTATGCAAGAGGCGGGAAGTCCCTCTAATCTTTAATGACATCTACAGTTGAAGAATGTTGGCTGGGCAGCTTTGGTGTCAGAGCAGGTGCAGACAGAGGAGCAACTGCCTCAGAGGAAAAGGCGAAAGAAAGGGGCCGGCTGTGCCCTGAGTCCAGTCCATCTCTGCTGCACTTCATCTTCCCTGCATGTCTCTCCAGGCAACAGCTTTAACCTCCTTGAGTGATCAGGGATTCTACAAGTTTATAAGTCGTACTGATAACATCACCTTGGCTTAGATTCCATTGGATACCAAGCACGTGTTCTCTTGAGGGCCAAAAATATTGACAACAATTTCTAAAACACCTAAGTAAACAAACTACAGAAGGAAAATATTAGTAGATGCACCAAACAGTGCCGTTAGACCTGAAGATAATCAACGAGTAGAATTATCAAAAGGAGACTATAAATAAGTCTCTACTAAGTATTTGTGGGCATCGAGCAGTGTTTGAGTCCTCTCAGGGTAGATTAAGGAAGGAATTCAGCTATTATCTTGACTTTGGCTTGGATGAAAATCCATGACCTCCTCAATTGATTTTCTTGTAAAATATTACAGAATAATATTGAGCAAACATTTTATTTTTCTCCAGCCTGTATCCCTCCTTAGCACTAACAGGTAAAGCGAATACCTAGAGGCAAGGTTTCTTTAGTTGGGATCCATTAACTGCAGGACTGGGAGGTCCATAGCTAGGCTTCACAGGGAGTGCAAACCCCACGTGCAGGGAACCCCGTGTGTCTGTGCTGTGCCCAACTCCCCTCTGTGAGGCTGCCAAAGGGGGACTGCCGGGTCTCCCAGGACCCCACTCACAAAGAGGGAGAAAGCTGCTTGCTGGGCAAAAAAATCAATTCACCAATTGGCCAATCTGTTGAAAGCCAGAAAGAAAAGAAACGTTCAATTGTGAGACTGATGAATGCCCAATTTCCCAAGTTATAAAATGTATAGCAGCTCATGGTTCTCAGAATGATTTCAACAGCATATGAAGATATTTTTAGAAAGTTTTTGTTTTTCTAAAGCATTCCTTGATATTGATCCTCACTTGTTTTTCAGCCCACTCATCCGTTGAGCTTAATTTGATGCCAAATTTCAATGTTGCCTATTTCAGTCACTGACCACTTCTCACATTCTCCATATCTTACACAGATACGTGTGTTCCTGTCTTTTCTTCTTTTTGTGTGATGCATTTTTAAATTGGGCTGTACAGAATACAAGCATACATTTGTAAATGACTGCCATCTTTTATGCAGTTTAGCTGTTTAATTTTTAGTAACACTTTTTATTAAGGTATAATTGAGAGTAAAACACAAGTATTAATACAAAAACATCCTGGTACATTTTGACAATTGCATACACCAGTGCAACAGTAACTGAAATGATTATAAAAAAAATTTCCATCACTCAAGAAAGTGTCCTCATGCTCCTTTCCAATCAATTTCTATCCCAGAGATAAAAACTTTTCTGTTTTTATCACCATTGACTAGCTTTGTCTATTCTTCAGCTTCATATAAATGGAATCATATTTTATTAGTTATTTTTCTCCAAAATTAGTATTTCTGAAGTGTATTCATATTGTTGTATCAGTAGGTCATTCTTTCTTATGACTAATATTCCATTGCATAAATATACCACAAATTTTTTGTGCATTCTCTTGTTGATGGATATCCATGTTATTCCTGTCTTCAACTATTATGAATAAAGTTGTTGTGAACATTCTTGTGGAAATCTTTCTTTTGGACATATGCATTCTTTTTTCTTCTTTTAAAACCTACACTTAAGAGTGGAAATACTGACTCATAGTGTAGATGTGTGTGCTATGCTTGCGTGTCCCCACAAAAGCTCATGTTGAAATTTGTCAGTGGAATGGTATTGGGAGGTGGGACAGCTATGACTAGGTCATAAGGGATCTGCCCTCAGAAAGAAATCAATGCCCTTATTGGGCGAGTGACTTAGTTTTCCTGGGAATGGTCTTCCAATAAAAAGGATGAATTCAGCTGTTTTCTCTGTCTTAAGTGCTTGCTTCCCCTTCCTTCTGCCTTGGATAACAGCAGGAGGACCTCACCAGCTGTGGCCCTTTGATCCTGGACTTCCCAGTCTCCACATCTATAAGCCAAATAAACCTCTTGTCTTTATACATTGCCCAGTCCGTGGTATTTCTCTATAGCAGTAGGAAAGAAATTGAAAGAAAATATGGCACCATGAGTCTGTTGTTATAATACCTGAAAATGTAGAAGCAGCTTTGGTTAATGGGAAGTGGCTAATGGATAGAGGTTGAAAGAATTGGGAGGAGCAGACTAGCAAAAGCCTAGACTCCTGAAAACAGAGCATTAAGGGCAATTCTGGTGAAGTGTCAGGGGGAAATGAGGGACAAGCTATCGGAAATTGAAGCAAATACCATCCTTGTTATAAATAGCAAAAACCTTGGCAAAATTGTGTCCTGTTCTAGGACTTTATGGAATATAAAATTATGAGCCATTCACTAGGATATCAACTGAAAGAAATATCTAAGCGGCAAAGCATTCAGGCTACTGTGTGACTACTTTCGGGCACCAGGAAATTTCACCCAGCAAGAAGGGAGCCATGGGAATAGATTTTGCAAACCAGCACAGATGGTAACCCTACCTCCCTCTGCTGTCCTGTCTCCCATAAGCCAAACCCTGTGCTGTGAGCTCTTAAAATCCTAGAATTATTTCTGGGGAATCTATACTCTTAATAATTTATAGACAACCCAGGTCTGCTTTGGATCTGATCAGACGGACTAAATCTTGGGGACTCTGCACCACTGGCCACTGAAGAAAGGGGCTGGGAATGTTGATGGGACAGGAAAATATAATAAGAAACATTGGTGTGAATCTAGTATCAGAAAGATGATGTGAGGACAACAAGGAAGAGCTGGAATGTGAGGGTTTAATCACAGGCTCCTCACCCTCCGCTGATGGGTAGGTGTGTTAGCTCCAGCATGGAGCACCACCGCACTAGGTGGGGGAAGGGTGATAGGGTGATGGGGCAGCCTGTGAGCTGGGGCAACGTAGGCAGAGAAGGAACTGTGTCACCACAGAAACTTCTGCCTTCACCCATCCCTTCAGCTCTGCAGGACAGGTAGAGACTCCAGGATCATCCACTGAGCACTGGACATAAGGAAGGCTGCATGGGGAGGACTCAGGACAGTGACATCACAGGATACCCCTCCTATTAGGAAAATCAAGGCCCAGAATTCACTCGGCTCTTCCCCAGGAGGACCAAGCCCTGAATCAGGTGCAGTGCTGCCTGGCCCACTGTGCCATGGGCCCTGGGCTCCTCTGCTGGGCGCTGCTTTGTCTCCTGGGAGCAGGTGAGTCCTGGGCACAGGACAGCAGCCCCATTCTCAGCTTTCCCACCCATGTCCTCCACTTTACCTTGGGGAGGACCTCCAGGCTTTCTGCTGTGCTCATCCTCCATCTGCTTTTCCCACAGGCTCAGTGGACGCTGGAGTCACCCAAAGTCCCACACACCTGATCAAAACGAGAGGACAGCAAGTGACTCTGAGATGCTCTTCTCAGTCTGGGCACAACACTGTGTCCTGGTACCAACAGGCCCTGGGTCAGGGGCCCCAGTTTATCTTTCAGTATTATAGGGAGGAAGAGAATGGCAGAGGAAACTTCCCTCCTAGATTCTCAGGTCTCCAGTTCCCTAATGATAGCTCTGAGCTGAATGTGAATGCCTTGGAGCTGGACGACTCGGCCCTGTATCTCTGTGCCAGCAGCTTGGCACAGCCCGGCAGAGTCTCTGACATTCTATACATAAACTTCCTGCCTTAGCTTTGACTTGAGAGCTGCAGGCCCCACCCAGGTTTCACTCCTGCAAGGGAAGCTTTTAGTTGTATGGAAGGCATGTGTTGTGTCCTACTGAGCACAGAGCTCTCCCAAACAGAGCCCAGGTTTCCTATGCCCTGAGTGTGCCCGCTTCTGTGCAGCATCTTCTTGCAGCTTGTCACTTCCTGGGTAACTTCAGTAGAAGAGTGACTGCGGAGCCCCAGATGTGTGCTAGATTCTTTGAATTTGTTATATAGCTTAAAGTCTTTCAACAACCTTGCACATCAATCATTCTTATTCTTCCTTGACAGATGGAAGTCTCAGGGACATTCAGTCATTTTCCCCAGTGTCTCCTGGCTTGTAAGGACCAGAAGTAGGAAACAAAGTAGTGCATCCATTTTCCACCTAGCCCCCTGCTCCATCATCACCTTCTGTGTCCTGGTCAGTAAGTCAGAGCCCTCAAACTGCCATCTAGTGACCAGCAGGGCCTCACTAGAGGCTTACATGTCTTCAGGGGTCATTACTCTGGCCTCTTCATTAGAAACTTTGAGGAATGTTAAATTTAACACTTTTTAAAAATCATTTATATGCATTCCCTTTGTCTATCCCCAGTCTGCAGCCTACACTTTCATTTTTATGGTGTTTTACACAAGTTTAATTTAATGCAACAATAACTAAAAACAATTTTGTTTCTGTGTAGACAAAAACTGCTTTCTCATATAAATGTCTAATGATATTTTTCTCAATTTATTCTACTAAAATTTAAGTTTGGATTTTCACCAATAAGAATAAATGAACCTGAAATATATCTCATGTGAGAAATAAGATAGAGAAGATAGAGACCTAGGAATTGGAGGGAAGCACATATGTTCAGTGAAGAAGCAATCGTCTTTCAAAAAGAGCTCTAAAGTGGACACCTCGTGCTGACAGTGGAGAGATAATTGGAAGGCAAATTATCATGAACCTTGTCTGTCTATTGTCTTGTAGAAGAAAGACAGCCAGGAGCAGAGACAACATGGGCGAATGTTTATGACTGGACTTCAGGTTGAAGGTTGCAGCAGGTAGAGGGAGGAGTTGCAGGCAGAGGGCAGAATTACTAGCTGGCAGGGGCAGTGGCATCACCAGTGACTCTACTGACATCCAGGAATTATGTCCCCAAGGCACAAGCTGAAAAACCTCCCACAATTCGCCGAATTTTCCCTGACCCTGCCTTGGCCACCAGATTTCTCAATGGTGCGGCCTTTTACCTCCTGGGGGCAGGTGAGTCCCCTAAAGCCTTTTCCTTGGCTTACCACATCCTAGCCTAAGCCTTTACCACAGGTCTACATTATTGAGGTCCCTCTTTGGGCACTCAACTTCCTTCTATCATAGACTTCATAGAATCTGGGATAACCAGATCCCAAGATACCAGAGAACAAAGGCAGGATGCGAAGCAACATGGAGATGCCTAAGACTGTCATCCATGACATGTGTAGGTGTTAATAGGAGCTGAAGCTGGTGCACAGCTGATCCGTCCCAGCACACACTACAGAGAAATTGCTGAGGGTCTGTAACTTTCTCTCAAAGCTAAATATGTGGCCTTGGTGTCAGACAGCCTCTCCCAGACCTCTGTGCCCTCTTGCACCAGCAGTCACCCCACAGCCACCTTCCTCTGCACACAATGCTCAGTGGAAGATATAGGTGGCCTCGTCTTCACGAGACTGCGATCCAGGCAGCGGAAGACGTTGTCCCATAGAAGTCTCCCCAACACTGCCCAGGCTGGGGCCCTCAGATTTCTGAGCAGCTCTGTGCATGGGAAACTCTGCCCTGTGCTGAGCTTCTCTTCCAGGCCAGTCTCAGCTGGACGACGGAATGTACTTTACCATGATGTGAGTGGATGCAGCCTCTCTTCCAGGCCCCTCCTGCAGCTCTGGCCTCAGAAGTCCTTTTCTTCAGTTATTCTCGAAAGGAAAGCTCATTTGAAGTTGTATATTTGCAGACAGCATTGACAACACAGGTCTATGTTCTTTTCCCTGTCAGCATTCACAACTCCATCTTCCCCACACCACGCTCATATCAGTCCTCAGCCTCCTCCACGTGATGTCCGCTCCCAGCTGTCCTCTCCCTTCCTCTGCATCCTCACCTCCAGGTCAACCACAGATGCCTCAGTTCAGGCCATTCCTCACGCGTCATGCTCCTCCTACCAAAGCCCTTTCCACTCCATGCTGTATCCTCTGGGTCAACACAAGTCTCTTCTTTTTTGTTCTTGCTCCAAATCTCAGTTTAACCACTACCATCTCTAGGGATACGCTCCTTCAACAGTTTTCCTAGGCTGCACCTCCTTAATATAAATCCTCACAGCTCATAATGTGCGTTAGTATTCATAGATTTAACACCATTGTCATTTTCCATGACTTCGGGTGACTAATGGACTCTTCTCTTGCTCTCTAGACTGTAAAACGCATCATTTTAGAAAGTGTGGATGTTTTGTTCCTGATTTTATCATCAGTACAAACAGCGGTTCCAGGTGCCAGTGGCCAATCTTGAAAGAATAAAGGATGGATAGTGAAAGGCCCTCTGGGTTCCCACGTAGAGTGTTTCAGAAGTCTGGACGCATTAAGCGGGAACCTCTATCCCTTCATCTCCTAGGATCTAATGAGTCCTGGAAACAGAGGAGAAATCCCTGTCATGGATGAGTAACTGGATCCAAGCCTTTCTGCAGGACTGAATTTCCTAACTGCCCACCGCCTTCCTGGCTTTTCTCCTCCAATGTCCTTCCCTCACAGGTGTCCTGGATTTGGGAGTCTCACAGACACAGCGCACCTAATCATTGGCAGAGTGGTGTGAAATATAGCATTAAATACTGGCATTAAAAGGTGATGGAGGCTGGGTGCAGTGGCTCATGCTTGTAATACCAGCACTTTGGGAGGTCAAGGAGGGCAGATGATGAGGTCAGGTTAGCCTGGCTAACATGTGAAACCCCAACTCTACTAAAAATACAAAATCAAAATTAACCAGCCGTGGTGGCAGTCGCCTATAGTCCCAGCTACTCAGTAGACTGAGGCCGGAGAATGGCGTGAACCAGGGAGGTGGAGCTCACAGTGAGCTGAGATCTCACCAGTGTACTCCAGCCTGGGCGAGAGAGCAAGACTCTTTCTAAAAAAAAAAAGTTCATGGAGAAAAAAACAAATGGCTTCTCCATTCTTTGGGTGGCTTTGAGGCCATGGTGGCTGCTACACTGAACTATATCATTAGTCTCCATTTCCATGAATTGGTGGGCAATGTCAGAGACACAGAGTTCATGGTCACCAGCTTCCTCCAGCGCACACCTGATTTTGGTTCAGGGCACTGAACAGAGACCTTTGCTTGTTCCCCTCCTTTGCCAGTTAGGAAAGGCTGGTTGTGAGGCAGAGGCTCCACATATAGAGCAGGGCTATGTGTTAGTCCCTGAAGAATTGTGAGAGCCATTCTGGGTGGAAATAATCAAATATACAATCACCAAGGATGGCCCACAGATAGACCGAAGCCCCAATTTTGCTGGAGTGATTTGCATCTATGCTTTAAAGACAAATGCAGTTTTATCTCTTTAGGCAATAAAGACCAAAAATAGACTAGCTATTTTAAATAATTGAACCTTAAACAGACCACAGTCAGAACATCTTCCCTAGGGACAGCATTTTCTTCCACCCACTCACTAAAGCTCTATTTGAGAAAGCTGTGTGCTGTTGATAAACACTGGAATATCGTTACAATCGACATTGTAATAATACTGCTACTTGGATCAGAAACAAAGAGCATTTCTAAAGCTTGAACAATGTAAAACTGGAAACGAGCTCTCACTGAGTTTGGAAATGCAGGCACTAGAGGGTGCTCATTTCTCTTCCTTTTCCAATCAGGGGCTATTCAAAGGCTGTTCTAGAACAAGGGGTGAGATCCTCCACTTCCCCGTGGTGATCAGGCTTTCACAGGTAGAAGCCTTATTAGTTCATAATCAGCCAAGCTGACCTCACCATCAAATGTATCGACCTCGATGCTCACCCTCCTCAGCAGTCAGAGACTGTCTGTGTTCACCAGGAGCTCGTGTGCTTTTACAGAGCACACTTTCTCCTCGGTTTAGTAAAAAAAATAAATGGGCCATTATAGGGGGTTCCATAAACAGAAGCTTTCTGTACTTTGCCCATTTAGACACTACAAATTCTGATGTCTGACAAAAAGTGTAAACTTAAAGCTTGCATGTGGTTAAGAACTTTTAATAAACAAATTAAATAATATATATAATGAAAATGTCAATAATGCTCTCCAATCCAATCCCACCTTCCACTCATAACCAATATTAACGCTCTGGTGTGCTTCTTTTCACCCCTCTTTTCTGTGTTCATGCACACCTTTCTACCCAAGTACACCTACAGAAAATGGGTTCACCTGTACACTTTACCTGCCACATGCATACTCTTTTCTGTTAATATATCCTGGTCTTTATTGTTCCAGATTGGTTGATATAGATCTAACTTGCTCCTATTAGCTGCTTCACATTGCATAATGAGGGTAGACAGGTACATTTGTGCTCTATTGTCTGATTCCTAAATTCTGCCAGATCTTTTCCAAAGTGACTGAATGTCCTCTTTGTGCTTCCGAGTTCCTCTCACCCCAGCACCCAGTTGATGATTCCAGCGTTTCCATCACTCATAGTCCTGGCAGGTTTGAGAGCTCCATTGGTTCCTCCTGCATGAGGAGACAGGGACGGATAAAAGGATAGACCTTTATCAAACCTAACAGAGACTACACGGTATCTCAGTTCAACCTCATAAAGCATTGAGGGGAATGTTAGTCTTGTTTTATAGATGAGTCTAGATGAGGCTAGAATCCAGGAAAGTTAATGAATGGCCTTGCCCACGGTCTCAGAGCTAATAAATGGTGGAGGCAGATGAAGGGCAGTCAGCCTGCTTCCATGTGGAATTGATAGAGGGGTCACTGGACTTTGACAGAGGGGAAGTCTAGAACCATCTGGGGCTGTCTTCAGATCGGACACCAGAGTTAAGAGAGCCTGTGTACCCTACAGCACTGCAGATAGAAGCATCATGGTGTTGGCAGTGGGGAGGTACTAGAGTGTGTAAGTGGTTAGTGGCCTACAACCAGAAGACCTGAGTTTTGAGAAAATTATTCCCATCACAAGATGTAGCAGAGACAGTGATATGGATATACTAGACCAGAGAGCTCTGTGAGGAGCTCTGTGAGGAGCTGTGGCCTAATCATGCATCAGGCCACCGTTGTGTCCATAGGTCATGGGCAGTGCTGGGTGGCCACCATCATCCATACAGAGAGGGCAGTCAGCAGCGTGAGGTGGTTCTCTGCCTGCTGTGGTCTCACCCCAGGCATGGAAAGCAAGAGCCCTGGGTGGAGCTGAAGGTGCTCAGCTGGGCTTGTCAGGAGTCTCATCTGTCAGTGGATTGACAAGAAACAGAGCAAAATGATTCCTCCAATGTTGATGAGCCTGCCCGTGGGATCTGGAAAGCTAATAACAGAGAAAACCAATATAGACAAAGGATTTTAAACAGGATTATGGTCAATTAAGCAAATTAGAAAATGATACTTGAAGGAGTATTTGGGACGCAGTAGTCAAAAACACCAGGAAGACATGAGGAATTGCCCTAAGACTCTAGACTACAGCACTATGTAGATAACTAACACCAGACTATTAATTATATCATTGAAAAAATAAAATTTACAGTGAATTACAAACTGTTTACCAAAGGTTATGAAAATCTTGTAGACTTGTTTTAATTCAGACAAATGTTTTCTTCTCATTGTCAGCTGTTCTCTGGCGCATTTATTTTGGATTGAACCATCTGGGGAAGAGGCGTGGCCTCTCCTGACAGGAAGGCTCTGGGGCCCAGGCAGGGAGAATGAGGTCTCAGAATGACTTCCTTGAGAGTCCTGTTCCCCTTTCATCAATGCACAGATACAGAAGACCCCTCCGTCCTGGAGCACCTGCCATGAGCATCAGCCTCCTGTGCTGTGCAGCCTTTCCTCTCCTGTGGGCAGGTGGGTCCTGGACAGGGCCCCTTGCATAGATTTCAAGGCCCAGCCCCTTTCCATTGGGGCTGCAGCATCAGCTGTTTCCTTCTCTGCAGGTCCAGTGAATGCTGGTGTCACTCAGACCCCAAAATTCCGCATCCTGAAGATAGGACAGAGCATGACACTGCAGTGTGCCCAGGATATGAACCATAACTACATGTACTGGTATCGACAAGACCCAGGCATGGGGCTGAAGCTGATTTATTATTCAGTTGGTGCTGGTATCACTGATAAAGGAGAAGTCCCGAATGGCTACAACGTCTCCAGATCAACCACAGAGTATTTCCCGCTCAGGCTGGAGTTGGCTGCTCCCTCCCAGACATCTGTGTACTTCTGTGCCAGCAGTTACTCCACAGCGCTACAAGACCATCTCCTCTCTGCACATAAAGGCAGGGTGGCTCTGCCCTCCTCCCCCACCCAAGACTCAGGGATGACCTGGGCAGAGTTTTCTGCAATGGGGACCTTGGAACCCCGAGTGGCCCTAAGTGGCCCGGACAGTATGAGCCTCAGTCTGTGCCAGGTGCTCCTGCAGCCATCTCAGCCAGGCCTGGACTGGTCCCAGGTCCTCAGATGTCTCCTTTGTTGCTCTCTCTGGTCTATCCTCTGAGCTCTCCTTTTGGGGTTGGGCCAGGGCTTCCCCAGCTCCTACTTTTCTACTCATCATCCTGACTCCGAGGCCCCCAGGATGAAACAGGATTTGTATTTCAGATCCATCTAGGCTGTCCTCTCCCTGGTGAGCATGCTGCTTCCTCTATCTAGAGTTTTCCCCTCCCCCACCCCACCCATGGTCTGTCCTGTGGCCTATCTTTCCCATCTGGGCAGTCACCTTCCATCCCCCGCCTCCCCGCCCCTCTCTACTGCAGCCATGGGGGGAGCACCTCTTCTGAGACTCCTTCCTTCCCATCACAGAGACTTCAAAGGCCATTTCCTCTGCCCTGGATGGAGACTTCCTTTCTCTAGTGGCCAGCTCCTACCTGTGCTTCAGATCTCAGAATGATCTGCCCTCCCGCAGGAAGCAATCCCTCACCGCCCAGCTGAGATCAATTTTCCTCTCATAAGCTCTCATAGAATCATATGTCTCTTAGTAACCCTTAGGACAATTAGGCTTTCTCAGATACTTGTCTGATGATTTTTGTGCTCTACCCAATTTTTTTTTTTTTTCTGAGACAGTCTCACTCTGTCACCAGGCTGGAGTGCGGTGGCATGATTTCCGCTTACTGCAACCTCTGACTCTGATTCAAGTGATTCTCCTGCCTCAGTCTCCCGAGTAGCTGGGATTACAGGCATGTGCCACCATGCTCAGCTAATTCTTTTTTGTATTTTTAGTAGAGATGCGGTTTCACCATGTTGGCCAGGATGGTCTCGATCTCCTGATCTCATGAACCACCTGCCTCGGTCTCCGAAAGTGCTGGGATTACAGGCGTGAGTCACCGTGCCCGGCCTCTCCACTCAATTTTTGAGCCCATGAGAGCTAAGGCTGTGCCTGCTGCATTAACAACATCAGTGCCTGGCGTGTGGGGATACCCATTTCACAGAGAATGGATGAGTGAACGAGAGGCTGAATGAGTGATGAGTGGGTGGACGAACCAATAGTAGGAACACACTACATCTACTGTAAACTGGCAGAGGTCTAGCATTAAGTACAAGAAAGCCCACCCCTTTGATTGCTGGGCTCAGGTCGATCTTGGAAATTGATGGGGAATCACTATCATGGCGGCCACATCTGGCTCAAGGCTTTCTCTTGTGGCTGCAGTACCTGACCTCCTCCAGGTCTCTGTGCTCTCTTTCAGGGTCTTTCCCCACAACAAATCTAGACAGATCAGAGATCCACTTCTAGAATTCCATCCTTAAAGGTTGTTCCTTGAAACCACTTCTGGTAAGAAAATCTCCATTAGGTTTGCATCAATAAAACAGGGCCACTACAAGTTTGAGAGTGTAACAGATTTATGATCAGAATTAGACTTTATGCATATGTGGGAGGAGCTGAGGAAGACAAGGTCTGGAGGAGAGAAGTCAGAAGGTGAGGGAGCCAGTCAGTAGTCAGGGCTCCTGAAGCTCTGGGCAGGACAGGCTAGAGTGGCAGGGACATGAGAGGATCAGAGCATACCAGGACATGCAGTGGGACCTTGAGCCGGGAGCACAGGAAAAGGCCAAGGAAACCTGCTTCTGGGGAAGCTGTTCCTTGTCTATGGGGGCCACCCCTGCAGGTGCACTGCCAAACACTGTGGGCAGCCTGGCTGCTGTTGGCCAACATTTGGGAAGATGAACTGGACACAGGGTGCAGAAGGAACAGGACTTCTGAGGTCTGTTGGATGCCTCTGTATCTGCTGGTCACTGACTCTCACTGTCTGACCACAATGACTTGCCAATTGTTATAGTGACTGTTTTATATCTGTCTTCTAAATTTTACCAAATGTATCCTTGACCATCTCTAACCAGAATGATAACAGAAATGGCATTCTGGGAAAGTCAGACTCTTCATTTGCAAAGTTGACTTAACACAATCCAGCACAGGATGGATTCTCCCAGATTAAGGCATCAGATCACACAACTGTCTCGACCTGCCACGGTCCATGGACTCCTCTCCGGGGGACACCTGTGCTGCCCAGGTGAATGTGGACACAATTTGTATGTAGATGTTCCAGACGCTGGTGACTAACTTTTCTTTTAATACTGTGTCTGAAGTCTCTCTCACCCAGAGGGTCTATATATGTATGAGTATATATGTATTTATAAATATGTATGTGTAATTTCTCCTTAGAAGAAAATGTCATGATGACTACATGGCTTAATGGCATTTATTTATGAAAGAGCTTTATTAAAAATAATTAGAAAATTTGAATTCTATTCTGAATTTTTCCTTGGGAGTGTCCTGAGAGCATTTTTGACCCTACCGACCTTTGTCATGTGTGTATTTGGCAGCCTAGAGTGCAGCAGTTATTGGCGCCATACATTAGGGAGTTAGACTGGAGATGGCTGCAAAATGACTGACTCTTAGTGTTATTCACTCTCACTCTGGGCCTCACTGGAATGTCACAGACTACCATCGAACAAATGGATTCCCAGTATGAAGAATATTAGGAGATAGCAATGAGGAAACATGAGCACAAGCAACAAACATTTGAAGTGCAAACCTGAAGACTCGAAATGTTGGCATTATAAGATATGAAAGTTTGGTGAGCTACATTTAAATGAACATGACGGGGAACTGAAACTAGGAAAAAGACAATGCCTGAAACCATCAACTTTCATAACAATTGTCAAAAAATATATCTAGGAATGCCTCATACAATCACTGAAAACAAAATGGAAAGTCAAACAGTTGATTAGCTCCTCCTACAGAGATTTTTAGTGATTTCAAAGATGGATCTGCAGGAGTGATCTAGAATGCAGCATGGAAAATGAAAAGTGAAATATGAAAGAAGAGAACAGGGAAGAAAAAAATGGATGTTTCCCATATATTAGAATATGCATATTTTTCATAATTTCCCATTTTTTGTTGCATATGATTGAATTTTCAGACAGATAAAATAGGTAGAATGTTATGAAGTGATATTTATGAGATGTTAGCTGAGAAGTTTTTTGAGGTGTTTAAGGACCTAAATTCAGAGTTTCCAGAATCACAATGAATCTCAAATAAGGCAGTCAAGTCATAAGCAAATTGTAGAACATGACGGACAAAGAGAAGATTTTGAAAGCCGTCAGAAAGAAAAGACAAATACGTCCCATAGGAATAGATGGAGAACAACAGTAAGTTAAGACAGTGGTAAAAATAACCATTAGCTCAATAATCATTCTCCTTCATTTAAGGTAAGATTGATTAAAAAAAAATAACTTTTAGAAGGGGAACATGAAAAAATGACTGCTGTGAGTTTGCTATCAAGGTTTCTTTTCTGAATTACAGTTAAGAAAGGTGGGAAATGATCCCAGAAGAAAGGCATGAGGGCAGTTCGTGAGGTAACCCAAGTGATGGGGCTGCCCCGTTGGGCACGTGTGACTGAGGGAATGGAGGAGGCTGGGGCATAAATGGGGATGGCAGAGGGGACCCTGAATTGCAGGATAGACAATGAGCTAATGCCTTGGTGCCTTGTTTTGGGGATGCTGTTGGCACATCCTACAAGACATGCCCAGCAGACAGAGGAGTGGCTGTAGGATGAGAAGATGAACTCAGAGATGCAGTGTGAGGCCTCTGGCTCCAGACAGCACGGGAGCCCAAAGCAATGAGCCAGGCATTGATGTTGTTAAAAAGGAGCTTATAAATATTTAAAGTGTGTTCTAATATAAATACTGTGACCCTGACATCCTGGGGATTGAGAGAGGAAGTGATGTTACTGTGGGAACTGCCCTGTGGAGACAAGGACATTCCTCGTCCTCTGCTCCTGCTCACAGTGACACTGATCTGGTAAAGCCCCCATCCTGGCCTGACCCTGCCATGGGCACCAGGCTCCTCTGCTGGGTGGTCCTGGGTTTCCTAGGGACAGGTGAGTCCTCAGAACATTAAGTAGTTTTATTTTTTCTCTGTGTGTAGGTGTGTGTGTGTTTGTGTGTGTGTGTGTGCGATGACTACAGATGTTTTCCTTATTCTGTTGCCAAATTCTATTTCCACAGATCACACAGGTGCTGGAGTCTCCCAGTCCCCAAGGTACGAAGTCACACAGAGGGGACAGGATGTAGCTCCCAGGTGTGATCCAATTTCGGGTCAGGTAACCCTTTATTGGTACCGACAGACCCTGGGGCAGGGCCAAGAGTTTCTGACTTCCTTCCAGGATGAAACTCAACAAGATAAATCAGGGCTGCTCAGTGATCAATTCTCCACAGAGAGGTCTGAGGATCTTTCTCCACCTGAAGATCCAGCGCACAGAGCAAGGGCGACTCGGCTGTGTATCTCTGTGCCAGAAGCTTAGCCACAGTGTGGCACAGTCGTGTCCTTCCTGCTCACAAACCTCATCCTTCTCTCTCCTTGCATCTCCTAGAGACCCTTAATAGAGGCCTATCTTTGATCCTCACTTTTCGTGGGAAATAAGTAGATTTGGACATCGGCTGTCCTTTGGGTAGAAAGAGACCACAGATTCATTCCTGAAACACAGTGACTGCAAATGTAGGTGGTGAAAACAATCACGTCCCACTGCCCTCTAGGAGTGCTTGGAGCCAGCTCACTGCTCCAAACGGAGTGGGTGTCTTAGCCTTGGCCTTCAGGGCAGACATGCATCTTCTATAGGTCTTGGAGGCTGCTGTGTTACCCACATATATGAGGTTGTCAAGGGCAGGAAACATGCTCTTCTCCTGCATATTTTGGGGCATCTGGAAGGTCTGAGGCTACATCCCCAGGAATATCTTTCTTCTAAAGCCTCTTCTATTCCTGTCACCTTGGAAATTTTTGCAACAAAATATCGAACCTCTCTTCCTGTTTAAAGTAAAGGTCTTTGCAACTTTCGTGGTCTTTACTTGATAAATACAATCATGGTAACAATAAGACTTCATTTCTTCTGCCTACTTTAAGCCACTTGTATCCTTTATTTTATTTCCATTTGCCATTGCTACTGTCCTGATAGACAGAAGCATGCATTCACCACTGCTGCCTGTTCACATCGATTCCCTCAGGAAATCTGATTTTTAGACTCTGAGTGTTTTCATTGTTGTCCAACTCATTTGATTTGAAATAATTTTACCGAGGCCTTTAACTCAAGAAGTGTTTTATTTATAATATTGAATCTATTCCTTTTTATTTTATTTTTTATAATAGATAGTACTATATAGTACTTGTTATAAATAGAAGTACAATGATTATATTGCAATAGAATCTTCCACCTATCTGTGGGTGCTGCTGCAGTGTGTATCTGTGAAAGCGAATGCACTGGTCAGAGCTGATGTGATTATGGATCGTGGGTTTCTGGGAGTCCTTGGCGACAGACCACTTCTCCAAGTGTGGGACTCAGTGTCCCAGATGCAACCATGATAGAGGTGCCCTGAGTCTTTCATAGCTAGGAGGGGCATCATAGTCCTTCCAAATTCACTGATCAGAAATTGTGGTGGTACAGATACCAAATTTCTTTCTCCAGAGAATGATGGTCACTGGCAGGGAGTTGCTCTTGACCCATTTTTTCTTGTGTCGTCATCAAATCCCTCCTTGCTCAGGTGCCCTGTCTCCTGGGACTGAGTAAGTCCAGAGCACAGATGGGAATTCCCTGTCTTCCTAGACCCTTTGTCTAACTGCTGCCACTTTCCTCCATGTGACTCCTGAGATAGCTGGTCCTAACAGTGGACAAGCTCTGACACTGAGGCTGAAGAAAACACAGTCTATAGTTGTCAACGGCGCTGCAAGAACATGTAGCAAAAACGAGCAGGGCTTCCAATTTATACTGAGAATGAACATGCAAGAGGAGCAAAGGGTAGATGGTACTAATGAACAAATAGCAAGGAATGCAGTTTCTGTTCTAATGAAGTCATTCTGTTGTCTTAAGTTAAGTAGGAGAAAACTTTCACAGTAATTACATCAAGTCAAAGGCTAGCGGCTCCCCAACCAACCAACATAGCTATTTGCTCTGTGATCTTGGCAGCTTCAGAGGACTCAGAAATCCCTTCTCTGCACAAACATCCCTTTGTCCATTCCAAGATCCAGGATCACACACTGATCCTATCATGAAAACAATGAGGTGTGCTATAGTTGCTGTGGCCTCATTTTAGTATGTTGAGTAGGAAGCATTGACGAACTTTGAAAGCTTTGCTCTTGAGTCTAGGGATGTGCTGGAGCCAGCTTGTATGAGTCAGAAGAATCAAATAGGCATACTTTTCCCAGCTCCCTGTTCAGTGAAGCCATGCTGGGAGCTTGAAATCTGCCATGGTGGGTATGTTGGTACAACAGAAATTAGCAAATGCTACCAGCCATGCCCCCACCTTCACAGACACCCAGTTTATCAGCACATCACTGGAGTATTTTCTGATGTCCCTGTTATGCCATGTCTTTTAGGGACAAAAGGGCTCAGAATTTATGTCTCCTCTACTCTGTTCTTAGAAGCCATCATCTAAGGGGGCCTTGATTGCTCCCATTTCTATCCAGCTCCCAAATTCTCTTGCTCTGTAGCTCTGTGTCTCCTGCAAGCACGCCAGTCTGGAACATGACAACTATTTTGAATGTAACTAAAGGTATCACTGAACCAGTTCATTATTTACAAATTATCTTTCCTTGCATGGAATATTCAGATGCTGGAGTCATTGGGAACAGAGATGGCCAAGCAGCAACTCTGGGTTGTGAAACACTTACAGCCCCGCTATTCTTCTGTGGCAACGAGAGACCCTGTAAAAAGGACAATTTTGCTTTGGAGACTAAGCAGCTCCCCACCAGTCAGGAATGACTCTGCTTTTACTTTAGGCTGAGAGGTCAGAAGGGTCACACCCTCAATATTCTCCTCTCCAAGACGGAGTGTGGCCACTCTCCATCTCAGTCCCTGGAAGTTGTCCAGAGCTCCCCGAGAATCCCTGCTCTGGAGGCAGAATCACCAAGGCTCATCCTCACCAGCTCCCCACAGGCTCCAGCAGGGCTTTCCCACCAGGTGCAGGGCACAGGAATGGCTCTGCCTGTCTCTTAGGTAGAGGGAGGCCAAACAGTGATGTTTGTATAAGAGGGACTGGGGTTCTGGGTCTCCTTTAAAGTATTTGACAAAATTTTCTTTGTTTTTGTTTTATTGTGCCATCTCACCAATGAGGAGAGCAATCCCTTGGTAGTTATATTGTTTTTGGCACTTGGGAAGGTTTTTGTGGTTAAGCCACATTAAGAAATTGTGCCTTTACAGGAAATTGTGCTGTACAGGAAAGTTCAGCTGTAACCCAAGGCAGTGAAAGAAATAGCAATAATTTTGAGAGCAGTTACTTGGGTATCTATGATAAAGGTGTTAAGTTTCATTGCCTACATCTAACTTTCAGTCTAGTGGAAATGAAAAGGCACAGTTAGGGGGCATGTGAGCATGCCATGAGAGAGATCGATGCCAATTGAGAAGTCTGTGCCATTCCCCAATACTGTGGGATTGAAGGGGAGGGAGAGATGACCTCTCCTTCAGACTGTGCTCAACAAGGAGGGAGTGGGAGTTCATCCATGGGAATCTGACGAGGAGCAAATCCCAGGGGCCTCTAACTCAGGGTGCAGAAGCAAATCCTTGGAGAGGAAAATGGTCCAGTTCAGCTGTCACAGGAGACAGGAGAAAGCAAAGTCATCTAATCCACAGTCTCCCGGCTGATTTGCTTCCTTATGATGCTATTTTGTACCAGCATGTCCTCATCTCCCGCTGCTCCTCTGCCTGTTTCAGAATCATCTCTTCCGTGTTTGGTGCTCAGATCAGTGGATGTGCATTGTACAAGCTGATCATTTCCTGTAGCAGCCCCTTTGCTAGTCTTAGTTATATCCATCCTTATTTTCTGCATTAGGTACTGCTCCCTCCACCATTCATTGCTTATTGCCTTGTAAGAGGTCTCGTTTTATATATTTCAATTTTACTTTTTATTAATAGATATTTGACTTCATCTTTTGCTGATCTATACTTTTGGGGTAACATTGTCATTTTTGGAGGACGATTTGTTTATCTTTAGTGATTCAGATTAAATAATCTCTTTATACTTCAATGTCTGTGTTTTCTTCCTATTTTAAGCCAAATATTATTTCCTTTCATTCCTCTCCTTCTGTTACTCTTTCTTTAGATGGTAGTTTTAAGGGAGAAAAAGTTAAACTATAACTGGACCTATGTGATAAGTGTTATTCAGAATGAGGGTGGGATATTAAGATTGGTAACTCAAAGCAATAATCAGGGTTAGAACTAATGTTAGACTTAGGGTTTAAGGGAAGCTGCTCATAAAACCAGCGTGATGGCACTTCTGGAATATTCTGGCAGCTTCCTCTGCAGACACTTCCCAGCATTCCTTGGGCCATTACAGAAGAAACAATGTTGAAACTTCACGTATTGGCCACAAGATGGCAGTGTGGTCCACTGAGCTCGAAAGGGCTCTGGGGAGTCTAGGAGAGCATCCTAGGAGGGAAAGGGTTAAGAAAAATTAGGGCTTGGATCCTGTATTATGCAGATGTTGCAGCAGCTTTCAGTTATTGCTAGGCTACCTACAGCTATGCAAGAGACGGGAAGTCCCTCTAATCTTTAATGACATCTACAGTTGAGGAATTTTGGCCGGGGCAAATTTTGTTCAGGGGCAGGTGTAGAGGAGCAACTGCCTCAGAGGAAAAGGGAAAAGCGAGGGGTGGGCTGTGCCCTGAGCCCAGTGGGTCTCTGCTGCACCTCATCTTCCCTGCAGGTCTGGCCAGGCAACAGCTTTAACCTGCTTGAGTGATCTGGAATTCTAGAAGTTCAGAAGTCGTACTGATAACATCACCTTGGCTTAGATTCCATTGGACACCAGGCATGTGTTCTCTGGAGGACAAAAAATATTGAGAACAAGCTCTAAAACACCTAAGTAAACAGACTACAGAAGAAAAATGTTAGTAGATGCACCAAACTGTGCCGTTAGACCTGATGATAATTGACTAGTAGAATTACCAAAAAGAGACTATAAATAAGTCTCCACTAAGTATTTGTGTTATTGAGAGCAGTGTTTAAGTCTTCTCAGGGTAGATTAAAGAAGGAATTCAGCTATTATCATGACTTTGGCTTGGATGAAAATCCATGAACTCCTCAATTGATTTTCTTGTAAAATATTACAGAATAATATTGAGCAAACATTTTATTTTTCTCCAGCCTGTATCCCTCCTTAGCACTAACAGGTAAAGCGAATACCTAGAGGCAACGTTTCTTTAGTTGGGATCCATTAACTGCAGGACTGGGAGGTCCAGAGCTGGGCTTCACAGGGAGTGCAAACCCCACGTGCAGGGAACCCCGTGTGTCTGTGCTGTGCCCAACTCCCCTCTGTGAGGCTGTCAAAGGGAGAGGGCCGGGTCACCCGGGAACCCCACTCACAAAGAGGGGAGCAGGCTGCTTGCTGGGCAAAAAAATCACTTCACCAATTGGCCAATCTGTTGAAAGCCAAAATGAAAGGAAAGTCTGAATGTGAGAGTGATGAATGCCCAATTTTCCAAGTTATGAAATGTATAGCAGCTCATGGTTGTCAGAATGATTTCAACAGCATATAAAGATATTGTAAACAGCTTTTGTTTGTCTATAGCTTTCCTTGATATTGATCCTCAGTTGTTTTTCAGCCCACGCATCAGTTGAGCTTATTTTGATACCAAATTTTAAAGTTGCCACTTCAGTCACCAAGCACTTCTCACATTCTCCATAACTTACAGATATGTGTGCTCCTGTCTTTTCTTATTTTTGTGTGATTCATTTTTAAATTGGGCTGTACAGAATACAAGCATACATTTGTAAATCACTCCCATATTTTATGCAATTAACTGTTTACTTTTTAGTAACAATTTTATTTAAGGTTTAACTAATAGAGATAAAAACAGAAATATTAATACAAGGACAACATGGTAAATTTTGACAAATGCATATGCCAGAGCAACGGTAACTGAAATGATTATAAAAAAATTTCCGTCATGCAGGAAAGTGTCGTCATGCTCCGTTCCAATCAATTTCTATCCCACAGATAAAAACTTTTCTTAGTTATTTATTTATTTTGAGACAGTCTCACTCTGTCGCCCAGGCTGGAGCACAGTGCTGTGATCTCAGCTCACTGCAAGCTCTGCCTCCCGGGTTCATGCCACTCTGCTGCCTCAGCCTCCAGAGTAGCTGGGACTACAGGCGCCCGCCACCATGCCCGGCTAATTTTTGTATTTTTAATAGAGACGGGGTTTCACCGTGTTAGCCTGGATGGTCTCGATCTCCTGACCTCGTGATCCACCCACCTCGGACTCCCAAAGTTCTGGGATTACAGGCATGAGCCACGGCGCCAGGCCAAAACTTTTCTTATTTTTATCACCATTGACTAGCTTGGTCTATTCCTGCACTCCGTATAAATGGAATCATATAACATTTTTATTGAGTTATTTTCCTCCAAAATTAGTATTTCTGAAGTGTATTCATATTGTTGTATCAGCAGGTCATTCTTTATTATGACTAATATTCCACTGTGTAAATATACCACAACTTGTTTATCCATGCTCCCGTTGATGGATATCCATGTTACTCCTGTCTTCAACTATTATGAATAAAATTGTTGTGAATATTCTTGTGGAATTCTTTCTTGTGGATATATGGATTCTTTTTTTTTTATTTTCTTTTAGGTATAGACTTAAGAGTGGAAATACTGACTCACAGTGTAGATGTGTGTGCTATGCTTGCGTGTCCCCACAAAAGCTCATGTTGAAATTTGTCAATGTAATGGTATTGGGAGGTGGGACAGTTATCACTAGGTCATCAGGGATCTGCCCTCAGAAACAGATCAACGCCCTATTGTGGGAGTGAATAAGTTGTCTTGGGAATGGTCTTCTGATAAAAAGTATGAATTCAGCCACTTTCTCTGTCTTGGGTGCTTGCTTCCCCTTCTTTCTGCCTTGGATAATAGCAGGAGGCCCTCAGCAGTTATGGCCCTTTGATCTTGGACTTCCCGGTCTCCAGATCTATAAGCCAAATAAATCCCTTGTCTTTATAAATTACCCAGTCTGTGGTATTTCTCTACAGCAGTAGGAAAGAAATTGAAAGAAAACATGGTGCTGAGAGTGGCGCTGTTGCTACAACAAGGACCTGAAAATGTAGAAACAGCTTTGGTTAATGGCAAATGGGTAATGGATAGAGGTTGGAAGAATTCGGAGAAGCAGACAAGCAAAAGCCTAGATTGCTGAAATAGATCATTAAGGGTAATTCTGGCGAAGGCTCAGGGGGAAATGAGGAACAAGATATCGGAAATCAAAGTAAATTCTATCCTTGTTGTAAGTAGCAAAAACCTTGGAAAAATTGTGTCCTGTTCTAGGACTTTCTGGAATAAAAATATTATGAGCTATTAGCTAGGATATCTACTGAAGGAAATATCTAAGCAGCTAAGCATTCAGGCTATTGTGGACTACTTTCAGGCACCAGGAAATTTAACCCAGCAAGAAAGGAGCCAAGGGAATAGATTTTGCAAACCAGCACAGATGGTGACACTACCTCCCTCTGCTGTCCTGTCTCCAATAAGACAAACTCGCTCTGGAGTTAGAGAAAAGAGGAGCCAGTTAACATAATACACTGGGGTCAGCTTCTGAAGGCAGGGTGGATCTGAAGGGAATAACATAAACTGTCCAGAGCACTACGTATAGGATGACCTTGAGGGTGCTGAGTCCCAAGCTGGCTAGGTCTGTGCTATGAGCTGAGAAGGCCCTAGAATTATTTCTGGGGAATCTGAACTCTTGATAATTTACAGACAACACAGGTCTGCTTTGATTCTGATCAGATGGACTAAATCTTGGGGACTCTGCACCGCTGGCCACTCAGGAAATGGGTTGGGAATGTTGCCTGAGACAGGAAAATATGATAAGAAACATGGTGTGAATCTAGCATCAGAAAGATGATGTGAGGACAGCAAGGAAGAACTGCAACTTGAGGTTTAATCACAGGCTCCTCATCCTCCCCTGATGGGCAGGTGTGTGAGCTCCAGGATGGAGTACCACAGCACTAGGTGGGAGAAGGGTGATAGGGTGGTGGGGCTGCCTGTGAGCTGGGGCAGTGTAGGTAGAGGAGCAACTGTATCACCACAGAAGCTTCTGCCTTCACACATTCCTCCAGCTCTGCAGGACAGGTTGAGTCCAGGGTCCGTAGTGCGCTAGACTTAAGGAAGGCTGCATGAGGAGGACACAGGACAGTGACATCACAGGATACCCCTCCCATCAGGAAAATCAAGGCTCAGAACTCACTGGGTTCTTCCCCAGGAGGACCAAGCCCTGAATCAGGTGCAGTGCTGCCTGCCCCACTGTGCCATGGGCCCTGGGCTCCTCTGCTGGGTGCTGCTTTGTCTCCTGGTAGCAGGTGAGTCCTGGGCACAGGACAGCAGCCCCATTCTCAGCTTTTCCACCCGTGTCCTCCACTTTACCATGGAGAAGACCTCCAGGCTGTCTCCTGAGCTCATCCTCCATCTGCTTTTCCCACAGGCCCAGTGGACGCTGGAGTCACCCAAAGTCCCACACACCTGATCAAAACGAGAGGACAGCAAGTGACTCTGAGATGCTCTCCTATCTCTGGGCACAAGAGTGTGTCCTGGTACCAACAGGTCCTGGGTCAGGGGCCCCAGTTTATCTTTCAGTATTATGAGAAAGAAGAGAGAGGAAGAGGAAACTTCCCTGATCGATTCTCAGCTCGCCAGTTCCCTAACTATAGCTCTGAGCTGAATGTGAACGCCTTGTTGCTGGGGGACTCGGCCCTGTATCTCTGTGCCAGCAGCTTGGCACAGCCCGGCAGAATCACTGACATTCTGTATATAAACTTCCTGCCGTAACTTTGACTTGAGAGCTGCAGGCCCCACCCAGGTTTCACTCCTTCAAGGGAAGCTTTTAGTTGCTTGGAAGGCATGTCTTGTGTCCTACTGAGGGCAGACCTTTCCCAACCAATAGAGCCCAGGTTTCCTGTGCCCTGAGTGTGCCTGCTTCTGTGCTGCATCTTCTTGCAGCTTGTCCCTTCCTGGGTAACTTCAGTATAAGAGTGACTGCTGAGCGCTTGGTGTGTGCTAGATTTTTGTATATGTTACATATCTTAAAGCTTTTCCACAACCTTGCAAATCAAACATTCTCATCCTTCCTTTACAGATGGGAGGCTCAGGGACATTGAGTCATTTTCCCCGGTGTCTCCTGGCTTGTAAGGATCAGAAGTGGGAAACAAACTAGTCCATCCATTTTCCACCTACCCCCCTGTTTCATCACCACCTTCTGTATCCTGTTCAGTAAACCAGAGCCCTCACACTGCCCTCTAGTGACCAGCAGGGCCGCAGCAGAGGCTCAGATGTCTTCAGGGGGTTATTACTATGGCCTCCTAATTAGCAATTTTGAGGAATGTTAAATTTCACACTTTTTAAAAAATCATTTATATGCATTCCCTTTATCTTTCCCATGTCTGTAGCTTACATTTTCATTTTTATGGTGTTTTTTGATGTACAAGAGTTTAATTTAATGCCACAAAAATGAAAAACAATTTTGTTTGTGTGTAGACAAAAACTTCTTTCTCATATAAATGTCTAAACATATTTTTCTTAATTTATTCTAGTAAAATTTAAGTTTGGCTTTTCTCCATTAAGAAGAAATGTACCTGAAATATATCTCACGTCAGAAATAACATAGAGACCTAGGAATGGGAGGGAAGCACATATGTTCAGTGAAGAAGCAACAGCCTGTCAAAAAGATCCCAAAATGGACACCCTGCGCTGACGGTGGAGAGGTAGCTGGAGGGTAAATGATCACGAACTTTATCAAGCTGTTGTTGTTAGAAGAGGGACAGCCAGGAGCAGAGACCACATGGGTGAAGGTTTATGACTTGACTCTAGGTTGAAGGTTGCAGCAGGTAGAGGGCGGAATTGCAGGCAGAGGGCAGAGTCACTGGCTGGCAGGGGCAGTGGCATCACCAGTGACTCTACTGACATCCAGGAATTATGTCCCCAACACACAAAGTGAAAAAACTCCCAACAATCTGCACATTTTTCCCTGGCCCTGCTCTGGCCACCAGACTCCTCAGTGGTGTGGCCTTTTGCCTCCTGGGGGCAGGTGAGATCTTTAAAGCCTTTTCCTTGGCTCACCACATCCTAGCCTAAGCCTTTACATCAGGTCTGCATTATTGGGGTCCCTCCTTGGTCACTCAACTTCCTTCTATCATAGACTTCACAGATGCTGGAACAACCTGATCCCAAGATACCAGAGAACAAAGGCAGGACGCGAAGTGACATGGAGATGCCTGAGACTGCCATCCATGAATACAGGTGCAGATGTTAATAGGAGCCGAAGCTGGTGCACAGCTGATCTGTCCCAGCACACACTACAGAGAAATCCCTGAATGTCTTTGACTTCCTCTTAAAGCCAAATATGTGGCCTTGGTGTCAGACAGCCTCTCCCAGACCTCTGTGCCCTCTTGCACCAGGCTTTACCCCACAGCCACCTTCCTCTGCACACAAAGTTCAGTGGAAGATATAGGTGGCCTTGTCTTTACGAGATCGTGATCTGGGCAGTGGAAAACATTGTCCCATAGGAGTCTCCCCAACACTGCCCAGGCTGGGGCCTTCAGAGCTCGGAGCAGCTCTGTGCATATGAAACTCTGCCTTGTGTTGAGCTTCTCTGCCAGGCCAGTCTCAGCTGGACAAAGGAACGCACATCACCATGATGTGAGTAGATGCAGCCTCTCTTCCAGGCCCCTCCTGCAGCTCTGGCCTCAGAAGTCCTCTTTCTCAATTGCTCTCAGGAAGGAAAGTTCATTTGAAATTGTATATTTGCAGACAGCATTGACAACACAGGTCTACGTATGTCCAATCCCATCTTCCATTTGTAACAAATACAAACACTGTGGTGTGCTTCTTTTCACCCCTCTTTTCTGTGTTCATGCACACCTTTCTACCCAAGTACACCTACAGAAATTGGGTTCACCTGTACACTTTACTGGCCACATGCATACTCTTTTCTGTTAATATACCCTGGTCTTATTGTTCCAGATTGGTCGATATAGATCTAACTTGCTCCTATTAGCTGCTTCATATTGCATAATGAGGGTAGACAGGTACATTCATGCTCTATTGTCTGAGTCCTAAATTCTGCCAAATCTTTTCTAAAGTGACTGAATGACCTCTTTATGCTTCCAAGTTCTCCTCACCCCAGCACCCAGTTGATGAATGCAGCTTTTCCGTCACTCATAATCCTAGCAGGTGTGAGAGCTTTATCAGTTTCTCCTGCATGAGGAGACAGGGAGAGATAAAAGGATAGATGTTTATCGAACCTACCAGAGCCTACACAGTATCTCAGTTCATCCTCATAAAGCATGGAGAGGAATGTGCGTCTTGTTTTATAGACGAGTCTAGATGTGGCTAGAGTCCAGGAAGGTTAATGAATGGCATTGCCCATGGTCTCAGAGCTAATAAATGGTGGAGCCAGATGGAGGACAGTTGGCTTGCCTCTGTGTAGAACTGATAGAGGGGTCACTGGAGTTTGAGGGAGGTGAAGTCTAGAACCATCTGGCGTTGTCTTCGGATCAGACGCCAGGGGGCAGTAGAGTCTGTGTACCCTACAGCACTGAAGGTAAAAGTATCATGGTGTTGGCAGTGGGGAGGTACTAGAGTGGGTATGTGGTTAGTGGCCAGGAACCAGAAGATCTGAACTTTGAAAAAATTTTTCCCATCACAAGACGTAGCAGAGACACTGATGTGGATAATCTAGGCCAGAGAACTGTGTGACGAGCTGTTCTTAAAATGAGGGAGGGAGGAGAAGCAACTAAGGGTCACTTCCTCTACATGAAATGGAGAGGAAAACAATGTTAACTAGAATCTCATCTGATTTTAGTCAGTTTTGCTTTGTAAGTAGTTGCAAGGTGGGACAATTTATTTTTGACGTTAAGTAAACATCTATACGGCTTCTTTACCTTATGAAGTCTGGTGGTGAAGGCAAAAATGGTACGGCCAATGGAGTCACAGTTTGTTTAATAAATAACTCAGAGTTCAAATGGAGACTCTCATGGGCCAGAAATTGGTAAATGTTCCTGCATTCTAAAATTAGGAGGATCTTATTTTCTTTGAATCAACAGAGAAGGAAGCACAGGCAGTGGGGAGGGACAGTAGGGAACTCGGCAGAGTGGCCACAGAATGTGGAAGACAAAGGACATGTAATACCAAATTCTAAGCTGTGAAGTTGTGATGCAACCCTCCTCCTTCTCCTAATGTTTTTCAGGTCTCAGCACAGATGCACACCTGAGGGAGTAACTTCTTTGGAAATGAAGGACAAATAGCTGTGTAATAATAAGTCCACCTTACAAAGCACAACTGGAAATGGAAACAAGATTATTTCTAAGGCCTTTTCTACTCTAAGAGTAACTTAGTAGCAAGCTGAGAGGTGAGGATGGGGGGATGTTCATCCACACGCAATGAGTACCATGAGGCTCTACCATGAAGCATATAGTCCTCAGTGTGAATCAGAGCCCTAAGAAGAATAATGCCCTTTACATTGCTTTGCCCTCTGCCATCCTAAACCCATCCCACCCATAATTAAGCAGCCATGGAAATGAAGGGAGCCAGAAGGAATCAAACCCTGCTGCTTGGTTCAGTAGACAGAGGGACCTGGGGGCAGGGTGTTGGCTGGGTCTAGGAGAAGATGATGAGCTCAGAAAATAGACAAGGAGAAACCCCAGGGGAAAGCTTGTAAAATCCTGGAGGAATCACAAGATATATTATTTGAGCTCCTTTTTATTTATTACTAAATTAATGGCAGGAATCCCATATAAAGGGATATTCCTTATGAAACATGACATCTAAAGTACAAACAGAGGATTCTTCCTTACCCTAAATCCTGCCCTCTCTCCCTGAGTCTCTCACGCATCAGGCCACCTTTGTGCCCATAAGTCATGGGCAACGCAGTGTGGTCACCTTCATCCACACCTAGAGGACAGTCAGCAAAGTGAGGTGGTTCTGCCTGCTGCGGTCTCACCCCAGACATGGAAAGCAAGAGCCCTGGGTGGAGCTGAAGGTGCTCAGCTGGGTTTATCAGGAGTCTCATCTGTCAGTGGATTGACAAGAAACAGAGCAAAACGACTCCTCCAATGTTGATGAGCCTGCCCCTGGGTTTTGGAAACCTGATAACAGAGAAAACCAATATAGACAAAGGATTTTAAACAGGATTATGGTCAATTAAGCAAATTAGAAAAAGATACTTGAAAGAATATTTGGGACACAGGAGTCAAAAACACCAGGAAGACATGAGGAGTGTCCCTAAGACTCTAGACTACAGCACTGTGTAGACAATAAACACCAGAATATTATTATATTATCGAAGTAATAAAATTTACAGTGAATTACAAACTGTTTCCAAAAGGTCATGAAAATCTTGTAGACTTGTTTCAATTCAGACAAATGTGTTCTTCTCATTCTCAGCTGTTCACTGGTGCATTTATCTTGAATTTGACCATCTGGGGAATGGGCGTGGCCTCTCCTGACAGGAAGGCTCTGGGGGCCAGGCAGGGAGAATGATGTCTCAGAATGACTCCCTTGAGAGTCCAGTTCCCCTTTCATCAATGCACAGACCCAGAAGACCCCTCCGTCCTGCAGCCCCTGCCATGAGCCTCGGGCTCCTGTGCTGTGTGGCCTTTTCTCTCCTGTGGGCAGGTGGGTCCTGGGCAGGGCCCCTTGTGTGGATATCAAGGCCCAGCCCCTTTCCACTGGAGCTGTAGCATCAGCTTTGTCCTTCCCTGCAGGTCCAATGAATGCTGGTGTCACTCAGACCCCAAAATTCCACGTCCTGAAGACAGGACAGAGCATGACTCTGCTGTGTGCCCAGGATATGAACCATGAATACATGTATCGGTATCGACAAGACCCAGGCAAGGGGCTGAGGCTTATTTACTACTCAGTTGCTGCTGCTCTCACTGACAAAGGAGAAGTTCCCAATGGCTACAATGTCTCCAGATCAAACACAGAGGATTTCCCCCTCAAGCTGGAGTCAGCTGCTCCCTCTCAGACTTCTGTTTACTTCTGTGCCAGCAGTTACTCCACAGCGCTGCAAGGCTGTCTCCTCTCTGCACATAAAGGCAAGGGAAGGTGCTGCCCTCCTCCCCCACCCAAGACTCAAGGATGCCCTGGGCAGAGATCTCTGCACCAGGAACCTTGGAACGCAGAGTGGCCCCAAGTGGCCCGGACAGTATGAGCCTCGCTCTGTGCCACGTGCCTCTGCAGGCATCTCAGCCAGGCCTGGACTGGTCCCAGGTCCTCAGATGTCTCCCTTGTTGCTCTCTCTGGTCTGTCCTCCGAGGTCTCCTTTCGGGTTGTGGCCAGGGCTTCCCCAGCTCCTACTTTTCTACTCATCATCCTGAGTCCGAGGCCCCCAGGGTGGAACAGGATTTGTATTTCAGATCCATCTAGACTCCTGTCTCTTCCTGGTGACCATGTTGCTTCCTCTCTCTAGGGTTTTCCCAGCCCCCACCCTCACGTAGTCTCTCCTGTGGCCCACCTTTCCCATCTGGGCAGTCACCCTCCAAGGCCTTGCTGGGTCTCTCCTCCCCTCACTTCCCCGCCCCTTTCTACTGCAGCTATAAGGGGAGCCTCTCTTCTGTGCCTCCTTCCTTCCCATCAAAGAGATTTCAAAGGCCATTCCCTCTGCCCTAGGCTAGAGGCTACCTTTTCTACTGGCCAGCGCCTACCTGTGCTTCAGATCTCAGCATAATCTGCCCCTCCTGCAGGAAGCACTCCCCCGCCTCCCAGCTGAGATCAACTTTCCACTCAAAAGCTCTCATAGAATCATATGTCTGTTGGTAACCTTTAGCACAGTTGGGCTTTCTCAGGTACTTGTCTGATACTTTTTGTACTCCACCCATTTTTTTTCCCTATTTTTCCTTTTTTTTTTGAGACAGAGTCTCGCTCTGTCACCAGGCTGGAATACAGTGGCACTACCTCAGCTCACTGCAACCTCCGACTCTCCGACTCTCTGGTTCAAGCGATTCTCCTGCCTCAGCCTCCCAAGTAGCTGGGATTACAGGCACACACCACCACACCCAGCTAATTCTTTTTGGTATTTTTAGTACAGACAGGGACTCACCATGTTGGTCAGGATGGTCCCGATCTCCTGACCTCATGATCCACCTGCCAAGGCCTCCCAAAGTGCTGGGATTACAGGCATGAGCCACTATGCCCAGACTCTCCACCGAATTTGTAAGCCCATGAGAGCTAAGGCTGTGCCTGCTGCATTTACCAACATCGGTGCCTGGCATGTGGGGAGACCCATTTCACAGAGAATGGATGAGTGAATGACAGGCTGAGTGAGTGATGAGTGGGTGGACGAACCAATAGTAGGAACATGCTACACCTACTGTAACTTGGCAGAGATCTAGCATTAAGTACAAGAAAGCCCACCCCTTTGATTTTTGGGCTCAGGTTGGTCTTGGAAATTGATGGGGAATCACTACCATGGCGGCCACACCTGGCTCAAGGCTTCCTCTTGTGGCTACAACACCTGAACTCCTCCAGGTCTCTGTGCTCTCCTTCAGGGTCTTTCCCCACAACAAATCCAGACAGATCAGGGATCCACTTCTAGAATTCCATCCATAAAGGTTGTTCCTTGAAACCACCTCTAGTAAGAAAATCTCCATTAGGTTTGCATCAATAAAACAGAGCCACTACAAATTTGACAGTGTAACCGATTTATGATCAGAATTAGACCTTATGCATATGTAGGAGGAGCTGAGAAAGAGAAGGTCTGGAGGAGAGAAGTCAGAAAGTGAGGGAGCCAGTCAGTAGCCAGGGCTCCTGGAGCTCTGGCAGGACAGGCTGGAGTGGCAGGGACATGACAGGATCAGAGCATGCCAGGCCATGCAGTGGGACCTTGACCTGGGAGCACAGGAAAAGGCCAAGGAAATCTGTGTCTGGGGAAGCTGTTCCCTCTGTGTGGGGGCCACCCATGTACGTGCACTGCCAAACACTGGGGGCAGCCTGGCTGCTTTTGGGAAGATGAACTGTACACAGGGTGCAGAAGGAACAGGACTTCCAAGGTCTATTGGATGCCTCTGTATCTGCTGGCCACTGACTCTCACTGTCTGACCACAGTTATCTGCTATGTGTAATAGTGACTGTTTTACATCTATCTTCCAAATTTTACACAAATGTATCCTTGACCATCTCTAACCCAGAATGATAACAGAAACGTCACTCTGGGAAGGCAGACTCCTACCTTTGCAAAGTTGACTTAACACAATCCAGCACAGGATGGATTCTCCCAGATTAAGGCATCAGATCACACAACTGTCTCGACCTGCCATGGTCTGTGGACTCCTCTCCAGGGGACACCTGTGCCGCCCAGGTGAATGTGGACACAATTTGTATGTAGATGTTCCAGACACTGGTGACTAAGTTTTCTTTAATCGTGTGCCTGAACTCTCACTCCACCCAGAGGCAGGGCTCTGCCTCCTGCTTCTGTCTCCTTCCTGAGCTTCCGTCCTGCTGGAGTTGCATGGACATCAGAACCCTGGTCAGAGTGCAGCGACCTGTGGAGACAGTGGGAGGGAAGCTCACCTCTTGCTGTCTTCCTGGACCTAGTTCGGTTATACCCAAAGCAACTTCTCTGGTCTCCCTTTGGACTCTGCAGTATCAGAAATGTGCTTCATGAATTTGTAGCTGATCAGCTCAATGATTTGATGGCCAACCCAAAGTGAAATCCTAAGATCTGCAGAAATTGCCGGCATTTCTGTGAAGATGGCAAGAATACTGTGTGCTAGAGATGCCTTCTCTCCATGTAGAGACCTGGCCCCAAAACAAGACAGAGCAGAGAGGGCCAAAGAGCCCAAAACATGTCTCAGATGGTTGAAGGGCAATTTCCTAGGACAATCCTGCTGACAAAATTTCATCCCTCCTATTACACGCCTGACCACCCTTCTCCCCAGATCAGCTGAGTACCCAGGATATCATACATCCCAGCATCTTCTAACAAGGGAAAATTCTTCACATGCCAGCCTTCTTCCTGCACCACATTGACTAACCCTGGAAACTTCGCCTTTCCAGAAAAAAGCTGTCTTCTCTTGGCCCAGTCTAGCCCAGTAGGTTTAATTCATGATTTATGTGACCTTTTAATTTACTCAGAGGAGAACATATGATTTCAGAGTAAAGAATATTCATTTTACTTTGTATAAGTTGGACCTAAACAGTAAACTGAGTACTTCTCTTCCATCAGTGTCTTAAATTAGACAACGGTAAAACAAATCTTTGATGCAAGAACTTTAGGTCCTGGTGTTTTTCATATGGAAGATCCCAGCTATCCAGTCCAGGGCATGGAATAGATGAGCGTTAATAAGTCACTCTATGCCTGAGATGGTTTTCTATTGGCATCTTTTCTGAGTTACAGTTAACAAAGGTGGGAAATGATCCCAGAAGAAAGGCACGAGGGCAGTTCTTGAGGGAATCCATGTGATAGGACAGTCATTGGGCACGTGTGACTGGGGGAATGGAGGAGGCTGGAGCATGAATGGGGATGGCACTGGGGACCCTGACTTGCAGGAAATGCAATGAGCTCACCACTTTGTGCCCTATGTTAGGGGCGGTGTTGGTGCATCCTAGAGTAAATGTCCAGCAGACAAAGGAGCAAGAAGCGGCTGTGGGATGACAAGATAAACTCAGAGATACAGCATGAGACCTCCGGGTCCAGACAGCTCTGGAGCCCAAGGCGATGAGCCATGCATTGATGTTGTTAAAAAGGAGCTGATAAATATTTAAAGCAGCACCCAACTGTGTTCTAATAGAAATGCTGTGATCCTGAGGTCCTGGGGATTGAGAGAGGAAGTGATGTCACTGTGGGAACTGCCCTGTGGAGACAAGGACATCCCTCATCCTCTGCTCCTGCTCACAGTGACACTGATCTGGTAAAGCCCTCATCCTGGCCTGACCCTGCCATGGGCACCAGTCTCCTATGCTGGGTGGTCCTGGGTTTCCTAGGGACAGGTGAGTCCTCAGAACACAAAGTAGTTTCATTTTTTTTTCTGTGTGTAGGCGTGTGGGCGTGTGTGTGTGTGTGTGTGTGTGTGTGTGTGTGTGTGTGCTGACGACAAATGTTTTCCTTATTCTGTTGCCAAATTCTATTTCCACAGATCACACAGGTGCTGGAGTCTCCCAGTCTCCCAGGTACAAAGTCACAAAGAGGGGACAGGATGTAGCTCTCAGGTGTGATCCAATTTCGGGTCATGTATCCCTTTATTGGTACCGACAGGCCCTGGGGCAGGGCCCAGAGTTTCTGACTTACTTCAATTATGAAGCCCAACAAGACAAATCAGGGCTGCCCAATGATCGGTTCTCTGCAGAGAGGCCTGAGGGATCCGTCTCCACTCTGACGATCCAGCGCACAGAGCAGCGGGACTCGGCCATGTATCGCTGTGCCAGCAGCTTAGCCACAGCATGGCATAGTCGCCTCCTTCCTGTTCACAAACCTCATCCTTCTCTCTCCTTGCACCTCCTAGAGACCCTTAACAGAGGCCTCTCTTTGCTCCTCACTTTTGATGGGAAAGAAGTAGATTTGGACATCGGCTGTCCTTTGGGTAGAAAGAGACCACAGATTCATTCCTGAAACACAGTGACTGCAAATGTAGGTGGTGAAAACAATCACGTCCCACTGCCCTCTAGGAGGGCTCGGAGCCAGCTCACTGCTCGAAACAGGGAGTGGGTGTCTTAGCCTTGGCCTTCAGGGCAGACATGCATCTTCTATAGGTCTTGGGGGCTGCTGTGCTGCCCACATACATGAGGTTGTCATGGGCAGGAAACATGCCTCTTTTTCATATGTTGGGGCATCTGGAAGGTCTGAGGCTACATCCCCAGTAACATCTTTCTTCTGAAGCCTCTTCTATCCCTGTCACCTTGGAAGTTTCTGCAACAAAATATCAAACCTCTCTTCCTGTTTGAAGTAAAGGTCTGTGCAACTTTTGTGGTCCTTACGTGATAAAAGCAATCATGATAACAATAAGACTTCATTTCTTCTGTCTACTTTAAGCCAAGAGTATCCTTCATTTTGTTTCCATTTGCCATTGCTGCTGTTCTGATACACACAAGCATGCATTCACCACTGCTGCCGGTTCACCTTGATTCGCTCAGCAAATCTGATTATTAGACTCTCGAGTGTTTTCATTGCTGTCAAACTCATTTGATTTGAAATAAGTTTCCTGAGGCCTTGAACTCAAGAGGTGTTTTACTTATAATATTGAATCTATTCCTTTTTATTTTAATTTTCACATTATATATTGTTATATAGTACTTGTTATAAATAGAAGTACAATGATTATATTGCAGTAGAATCTTCCACCTATCTGTGGGTGATGCTGCAGTTTGTATCCATGAAAGTGAATGCACTGGTCAGAGATCATGTGATCATGGATCATGGGTTTCTGAGAGTCCTCAGGGACAGGCCATTTCTCCAAGTGTGGGGACTCGGTGTCCCAGATGCAACCCTGATAGAGGTGCCCTGAGTCTTTCATAGCTAGGAGGGGCATCATAGTCCTTCCAAATTCACTGATCAGAAATTGTGGTGGTACAGACACCAAATTTCTTTCCCCAGAGAATGATGGTCACTGAGGTGGAGTTGCTCTGGACCCATTTTTTCTTGTGTCATCATCAAATCGCTTCTTGCTCAGGTGCCCTGTGTCTCCTGGGACTGAGTAAGGCCAGCACACAGATGGGAATTCCCTGTCTTCTGAGACCTTCTCTCTAACTGCTGCCACTTTCCTCTCCGTGACTCCTGAGACACCTGGTCCTAACAGTGGACAAGCTGTGACACTGAGGCTGAACAGAACACAGTCCACTGTTGTAAATGGCGCTGCAAGAACTTGTAGCAAAAGTGAGCAGGGCTTCCAATTTATACTGAGAATGAACATGCAACAGGAGCAAGGGGCAGATGTTTCTAATGAACAAATAGGAAGGAATAGGGTTTCTGCTTTATTGAAATCATTCTGTTGTCTTAAGTAAAGCAGGAGAAACATTTCATTGCAATTACTCTAAGTCAAAGGCTAGCAGCTCCCAACCAACCAGCATAACTCTTTGCTCTGTGATCTCGGCAGCTTCAGAGGACTCAGAAATCCTTTCTCTGCACAAACATCCCTTTGTCCATTCCAAGATTCAGGATCACACACTGATCCTATCATGAAAACAATGAGGTGTGCTATAGTTGCTGTGGCCTCATTTTTAGTGTGTTGAGCAGGAAGCATTGAAGAACTTTGAAAGCTTTGCTCTTGAGTCTAGGGATGTGCTGGAGCCAGCTTGAATGACTCAGAAGAACCAAATAGGCATACTACTCTTCCCAGCTCCCCTTTCAGTGAAGCCATGTTGGCTGCTTGAAGTCTGTCATGGTGGGTATGCTGGTACACCACAAATTGGGAAATGCTACCAGCCATGCCCCCACCTTCACAGACACCCAGTATAGCAGCATATCCCTGGGGTATTTTCTGATGTCCCTGTTATGCCATTTCTTGTGGGGCCAAAAGGGCTCAGAATTCACCTCCCCTCTACTCCTGCTCTGAGAAGCCATCATCTAAGTGGGCCTCAATTGTACCTATTTCTATTCAACCTCTAAATTCTCTTGCTCTGTAGCTCTGTGTCTCCTACAAGCATGCCAGTCTGGAACATGACAACTATTTTGAATGTAACTAAAGGTATCACTGAACCAGTTCATTATTTGCAAATTATCTTTCCTTGCATGGAATATTCAGATGCTGGAGTCATTGGGAACAGAGATGGCCAAGCAGCAACTCTGGGTTGTGAACCACATACAGCCCCGCTATTCTTCTATGTCACCGACAGACCCTGAAACAAGGACTATTTTGCTTTGGAGACTAAGCAGCTCCCCACCAGTCAGGAATGACTCTGCTTTTACTTTAGGCTGAGAGGTCAGAAGGATCATGCCCTCAGTATTCTCCTCTCCAAGACAGAGTGTGGCCACTCTCCATCTCAGTCCCTGGAAGTTGTCCAGAGTTCCCTGAGAATCCCTGCTCTGGGACAGAATCACCAAGGCTCATCCTCACCAGCTCCCAACAGGCTCCAGCAGGGCTTTCCTGCCAGGTGCAGGGCACAGGAATGGCTCTGCCTGTCTCTTAGTTAGAGGGAGGCCATGCAATGATGTTTGTATAAGAGGGACTGGGATTCTGGGTCTCCATTAAAGTATTTGATAACATTTTCTTTGTTTTTGTTTTATTTGGCCATCTCACCAATTAGGACAGCAATCCCTTTACAGTTATATTGTTCTTGGCACTTGGGAAGGTTTTTGTGGTTAAGTCACATTAAGAAATTGTGCCTTTTTTTCCTGTTCAGATATAACCCAAGGCAGTGAAAGAAACAACAATAATTTTGAAAGCAGTTACTTATGCATCCTATGATAAAGGTGTTAAGTTTCATTGCCCACATCTAACTTTCAGTCTAGTGGAAATGAAAAGTCACAGTTAGGGGGCATGTGAGCATGCCCTGAGAGAGGCCGATGCCAATTGAGAAGTCTGTGCCAATCCCCAATACTGTGAGATTGAAGGGGAGGGAGAGATGACCTCTCTTTCAGACCATGCTCAACAAGGAGGGAGAGGGATTTTCATCCATGGGAAGCTGAGGAGGAGCAAATCCCAGGGTCCTCTAACTCAGGGTGCAGGAGCAAATCCTTGGAGAGGAAAATGGTCCAGTTCAGCTGTCACAGGAGACAGGAGAAAGCACAGTCATCTAATCCACAGTCCCCTGGCTGATTTGCTTCCTTATGATGCTATTTTGTACCAGCATGTCCTCATCTCCGGCTGCTCCTCTGCCTGTTTCAGAATCATCTCTTCCGTGTTTGGTGCTCAGATCAGTGGATGTGCATTGTACAAGCTGATCATTTCCTGTAGCAGCCCCTTTGCTAGTCTTAGCTATATCCATCCTTATTTTCTACATTAGGTACTGCTCCCTCCACCATTGCTTATTGCCTTGTAAGAGGTTTCATTTTATATATTTCAATTTTACTTTTTATTAATAGACATTTGACTTCATCTTTTGCTGATCTATACTTTTGGGGTAACATTGTCATTTTAGGAGGATGTGTTTGTTTATCTTTAGTGATTCACATTAAATAATCTCTTTATACCTCAACGTCTGTGTTTTCTTACTATTTAAAACCAAATATTATTTTCTTTCATTCCTCTCCTTCTATTCCTCTTTCTTTAGATGGTAGTTTAAGGGAGAAAAAGTTAAACTATAACTGGAGATATTTGTTAAGAGTTTTTCAGAATGACGGTGGGATATTAAGATTTTGGTAACTGAAAGCAATAGTCAGGGTTAGAACTAGTGTTGGTATGATGATTTAGGGAAGCTGCTCATAACACCTGCGGGATGGCACTTGTGGAATATTCTGCCGGCTCACTCAGCAGACACTTCCCAGCGGAAGAAATAATGATGAAACTTCACTTATTGGCCACAAGATGGCACTATGGTCCACTGGGCTCTGGGGAGTCTGGGCGAGCAGTCTAGGAGGGAAAGGGTTAAGAAAAATTAGGGCTTGGATCCCATATTATGCAGATGTTGCAGCAGTTTTCAGTTATTGCTAGGCTACCTACAGCTATGCAAGAGGCGGGAAGTCCCTGTAATCTTTAGTGACATCTACAGTTGAAGAATTTTTGCCTTCGTATCAGGGGCGGGTGCAGAGGAGCAAATGCCTCAGAGGAACATTGGAAATTGTCTGATCAGGCAACAGCTTTAACCTGCTTGAGTGATCTGGGATTCTGCAAGTTCATAAGTCTTACTGATAACATCACCTTGGCTGAGATTCCACTGGACACCAAGTATGTGTTCTCTGGAGGGCAAAAAATATTGAGAAGTTCTAAAACACCTAAGTAAACAGACTACTGAAGGAAAATGTTAGTAGACGCATCAAACTGTGCTGTTAGAGCTGAATATAATTGACTAGAAGAATTATCAAAAATAGACTATAAATAAGTCACTACTAAAGTATTTGTGGGCATAGAACAGTGTTTGAGTCTTCTCAGGGTAGATTAAGGAAGAAATTCAGCTATTATCCTCATGACCTTGGCTTGGATGAAAATGCATGGACTCCTCAATTTATTTTCTTGTAAAATGTTACAGAATAATATTGAGCAAACATTTTATTTTTCTCCAGCCTCTATCCCTCTTTAGCACTTACAGGTAGAGCAGACACCTAGAGGCAAGGTTTTTTAGTTGGGATCCATTAACTGCAGGACTGGAGATCCACAGCTGGGCTTTACAGGGATTGCAAACCCCACATGCAGGGAACCCCGTGTGTCTGCGCTGTGCCCAACTCCCCTCTGTGAGGCTGCCAAAGGCGGAGGGCCGGGTGTCCCAGGACCCCACTCACAAAGAGGGGAGCAGGCTGCTTGCTGGGCAAAAAAATCACTTCACCAATTGGCCAATCTGTTGAAAGCCAAAAAGAAATGAAAGTCTCAATTGTGAGACTGATGAATGCCCAATTTCCCAAGTTATGAAACGGATAGCAGCTCATGGTTCTCAGAATGATTTCAACAGCATATGAAGATATTTTTAGAGAGCTTTTGTTTGTCTACAGCTTTCCTTGATATTGATCCTCACTTGTTTTTCAGCCCACTCATCACTTGAGCTTATTTTGTGGCCAAATTTCAATGTTGTCTATTTCAGTCACTGAGCACTTCTCACATTCTCCAAATCTTACACAGCTATGTGTGTTCCTGTCTTTTCTTCTTTTTGTGTGATTCATTTTTAAATTGGGCTGTGCAGAATACAAGCATACATTTGTAAATGACTCCCATCTTTTATGCAATTTAGCTGTTTAATTTTTAGTAATACTTTTTATTAAGGTATAATTAATAGAGAGTAAAACACAAATATTAATAGAAGGACATCCTGGTACATTTTGACAAATGCATACGCCAGTGCAATAGTAACTGAAATGATTATAAAAAAAATTTCCGTCACTCAAGAAAGTGTCATCATGCTCCTTTCTAATCAATTTCTATCCCAGGGATAAAAACTTTTCTATGTGTATCACTGTTGAGTAGCTTTGTCTATTCTTGAGCTTCATATAATGGAATCATATTTTTATTGAATTGTTTTTCTCCAAAATTAGTATTTCTGAAGTGTATTCATATCGTTGTATCAGTAGGTCATTCTTATGACTAATATTCCATTGCATAAATATACTACAACTTGTTTATCCATGCTCCTGTTGATGGATATCCATGTTACTCCTGTCTTCAACTATTATGAATAAACTTGTTGTGAACATTTTTGTGGAATTCTTCCTGTGGACATATGCATTTTTTTTAAAGATATAGACTTAAGAGTGGAAATACTGACTCATAGTGTAGATGTGTGTGCTATGCTTGCATGTCCTCACAAAATCTCATGTTGAAACTTGTCAAGGTAATGGTATTGGGAGGTGGGACAGCTATGACTAGGGTCATGAGGGATCTGCCCTCAGAAACAGATCAATGCCCTTTATTGTGGGAGTGAATTAATTATCTTGGGAATGGTCTTCTGATAAAAAGGATGAATTCAGTCATTTTCTCTGACTTCGGTGCTTGCTTCCCCTTCCTTCTGCCTTGGATAACAGCAGGAGGCCCTCAGCAGTTATTGCCCTTCTATCTTGGACTTCTCAGTCTCCAGATCTATAAGCCAAATAAAACTATTGTCTTTATAAATTGCCCATTCCATGGTATTTCTCTATAGCAGTAGGAAAGAAATTGAAAGAAAATATGGTACCTGAGAGTGAGGCTGTTGCTATAATACCTGAAAATGTAGAAGCAGCTTTGGTTAATGGGAAGTGGCTAATGGATAGAGGCTGAAAGAATTGGGAGGAGCAGACTAGCAAAAGTCTAGATTCCTGAAAACAGAGCATAAAGGGCAATTCTGGTGAAGGCTCAGGGGGAAATGAGGAACAAGGTATTGAAAATCGAAGTAAATGCCATCCTTGTTGTAAGTAGCAAAAACCTTGGCAAAATTGTGTCCTGTTCTAGAACTTTATGGAATATAAAAATTATGAGCCATTTGCTAGTATATCTGCTGAAAGAAATATCTAAGAGGCAAAGCATTCAGGCTACTGTGTGACTACTTTTAGCCACCAGGAAATTTAACCCAGCAAGAAGGGAGCCATGGGAATAGATTTTGCAAACCAGCACAGATGGTGACTCTACCTCCCTCTGCTGTCCTGTCTCCCATAAGCCAAACTCTGTGCTGTGAGCTGTTAAAGTCCAAGAATTATTTCTGGGGAATCTGTACTCTTAATAATTTACAGACAACACAGGTCTGCTTTGGATCTGATCAGACAGACTAAATCTTGGGGACTGTACCAGTGGCCACTGAGAAAAGGGGCCCGGAATGTTGTCTTGGATAGAAAAATATAATAAGAAACATTGGTGTGAATCTAGCATCAGAAAGATGACGTGAGGACAGCAAGGAAGAGCTGGAAACTGAGGTTTACTCACAGGTTCCTCACCCTCCGCTGACGGGCAGGTGTGTGAGCTCCAGCATGGAGCACCACAGCACTAGGTGGGAGAACAGTGATAGGGTGATGGGGCAGCCTGTGAGCTGGGGCAGTGTAGGCAGAGGAGGAACTGTATCACCACAGAAACCTCTGCCTTCACACATCCCTCCAGCTCGGCAGGACAGGTAGAGAGTCCAGTGTCCTGGAGCACTAGACCTAAGGAAGGCTGCATGGGGAGGACAAAGGACAGTGACATCACAGGATACCCCTCCCATCAGGAAAATCAAGGCCCAGAACTCACTCGGCTCTTCCCCAGGAGAACCAAGCCCTGAATCAGATGCAGTGCTTCCTGTCCCTCTGTGCCATGGGCCCCGGGCTCCTCTGCTGGGCACTGCTTTGTCTCCTGGGAGCAGGTGAGTCCTGGGCACAGGACAGCAGCCCCATTCTCAGCTTTCCCACCCCTGTGTCCTCCACTTTACCTTGGGGAGGACCTCCAGGCTGTCCCTGTGCTCATCCTCCATCTGCTTTTCCCACAGGCTTAGTGGACGCTGGAGTCACCCAAAGTCCCACACACCTGATCAAAACGAGAGGACAGCAAGTGACTCTGAGATGCTCTCCTAAGTCTGGGCATGACACTGTGTCCTGGTACCAACAGGCCCTGGGTCAGGGGCCCCAGTTTATCTTTCAGTATTATGAGGAGGAAGAGAGACAGAGAGGCAACTTCCCTGATCGATTCTCAGGTCACCAGTTCCCTAACTATAGCTCTGAGCTGAATGTGAACGCCTTGTTGCTGGGGGACTCGGCCCTCTATCTCTGTGCCAGCAGCTTGGCACAGCCCATCAGAGTCACTGACGTTCTGTATATAAACTTCCTGCCTTAGCTTTGCCTTGAGAGCTGCAGGCCCCACCCAGATTTCACTCCTTCAAGGGAAGCTTTTAGTTGTTTGGAAGGCATGTCTTGTGTCCTACTGAGGGCAGAGCTCTCCCAACCAATAAAGCCCAAGTTTCCTGTGTCCTGAGTGTGCCCACTTCTGTGCTGCATCTTCTTGCAGCTTGTCACCTCAGTACAAGAGTGACTGCTGAGCCCCAGATGTGTGCTTGATTATTTGCATTTCTTACATAGCTTAATGCCTTTCAACAATCTTGCACATCAAACATTCTTATTCTTCCTTTACAGATAGAAGGCTCAGGGACATTGAGTCATTTTCCCCAATGTCTCTTGGCTTGTAAGGATCAGAAGTAGGAAACAAACTAGTCCATCCATTTTCCACCTACCCCCCTGCTCCATCATCATCTTCTGCATCCTGGTCAGTAAATCAGAGCCCTCACACTGCCGTCTAGTGACCAGCAGGGCCGCAGTAGAGGCTGAAATGTCTTCAGGGGTCATTACTATGGCCTTTTCATTAGCTCCTTTGAGGAATGTTAAATTTCACACATTTTAACAATCATTTATATGCATTCCCTTTGTCTTTCCCCAGTCTGCAGCTTATATTTTCATTTTTATGGAGTTTTTGGTGCACAAGAGCTTAATTTAATGCAACAAAAACTAAAAACAATTTTGTTTGTGTGTAGACAAAAACCACTTTTTCATATAAATGTCTAAGCATATTTTTCTCAACTTATTCTACTAAAATTTAAGTTTGGATTTTCATCACTAAGAATAAATGTACCTGAAATACATCTCATGTAAGAAATAAGATACAGACCTAGGAATGGGAGGGAAGGACATATATTCAGTGAAGAAACAATAGCTTGTCAAAAAGAGCCCTAAGTGGACACCTGGAGCTGACGGTGGAGAGGTAGGTGGAGGGCAAATGAGCATGAACTTTGTCAGTCTATTGTCTTGTAGAAGAAAGACAGCCAGGAGCAGAGACCATATGGGTGAAGGTTTATGACTTGACTGTAGGTTGAAGGTTGCAGCAGGTAGAGGGAGAATTGCAGGCAGAGGGCAGAGTCACTGGCTGGCAGGGGCAGTGGCATCATCAGTTGACTCTACTGACATCTAGGATTTATGTCCCCAACACACAAGCTGAAAAACCTCCCCACAATTTCCCCATTTTTCCCTGACCCTACCATGACCACCAGACTCCTCAGTGGTGTGGCCTTTTGCCTACTTGGGGCAGGTAAGATCTTTAAAGCCTTTTCCTTGGCTCACCACATCCCAGCCTAAGCCTTTACCTCAGGTCTCCATTATTGGGGTCCCTCCTTGGGCACTCATCTTCCTTCTATCATAAACCTCACAGAAGCTGGGACAATCAAATCCTTAAGATACCAGAGAACAAAGGCAGTACATGAAGTGGCACGGAGATGCCTGAGACTGTCATCCATGACTACATGTGTAGGTGTTAATAGGAGCTGAACCTGGTGTACAGCTGATCTGTCCCAGCCCGCAATACAGAGAAATCCCTGAGGGTCTGTGACTTTCTCTCAAAGCCAAATATGTGGCCTTTGTGTCAGCCTCTCCCAGACCTCTGTGCCCTCTTGCACCAGCAGTCACCCCACAGCCACCTTCCTCTGCACACAATGTTCAGTGGAAGATATAGGTGGCCTTGTCTTCACGAGACCATGTTCTAGGCAGTGGAAGACGTTTTCCCATAGGAGTCTCCCCAACACTGCCCAGGCTGGGGCCCTCAGATTTCTGAGCATCCCTGTGCATGGGAAACTCTGCCCTGTGTTGAGCTTCTCTCCCAGGCCAGTCTCAGCTGGACGAGGGAACGCACATCACAGTGATGTGAGCAGTTGCCGCCTCTCTCCCAGGCCCCTCCTCCAGCTCTGGCCTCAGAAGTCCTCTTCTTCACTTGCTCTCAGAAAGGAAAGTTCATTTGAAATTGTATATTTGCAGACAGCATTGACAACTTTTCCCCGTCGGCCTTCACAACTCCATCTTCCCCACACCATGCTCATGTCAGTCCTCAGCCTCCTCCACATGATGTCTGCTCCCAGCTGTCCTCTCCCTCTGCACCTTCACCTCCACGTCAACCACAGATGCCTCAGTTCAGGACATTCCTCATGCATCATGCTCCTCCCACCAAAGGCCTTTCCACTCCATGCTGTATTCTCTGTGTCAACACAAGTCTCTTCTTCTTTGTTCTTGCTCCAACTGTCAGTTTATCTACAACCATCTCTAGGGAGACACTCCTTCAACAGTTTTCCTAGGCTGCACCTCCTTATTGTAAATGCTCACAGCTTATAATATGCATTAAAATTCATAGATTTAGCACCATAGTCATTTTCCATGACTTTGTGTGACTATTTAATTGACACTACTCTTGCATTCTAGACTGTAACATGCATCATTTTACAAATTGTGGATGTTTTGTTCCCCATTTTATTGTCAGGACCAACAGCAGTTCCAATCTTGAAACTGGCCAATCTTGAAAAATGAAGAACAGATATTGAAAGGCCGTCTGAGTACCCACTTAGATGTCTGGACGCATTAAATCGGAACCTCTATCCCTTCATCTCCTAGGATCAAATGAGTCCTGGAAACAGATGAGAAATCCCTGTCATGGATAAGTAACTGGATCCAAGCCTTTCTGCACGACTGAATTTCCTATCTGCCCATCGCCTTCCTGCCTAATCTCCTCCTTCAATCTCCTTCCCTCACAGGTGTCCTGGATTTGGGAGTCTCACAGACACAGGGCACCTAATCACTCTGAGAGAGTGATCAGAAACATAATGTCAAACACTGACATTAAAAGGTCATGGAGAAGAAAACAAATGGCTTCCCCATGCTCTTATGGAGAGTTTTCCCAAGGCACAAATATCTCTTTGGGTGGCTTTGAGGTCATGGTGCCTGACACACTGAGCGATATTATGGGTGTCCATTTCCATGAATTGGTGGGCAATGTCAGAGACACAGAGTTCATGGTCACCAGCTTCCTCCAGCCCACACCTGATTTTGGTGCAGGGCGCTGAGCAGAGACCTTTGCTTGTTACCCTCCTTTGCCAGTTAGGAAAGGCTGATTGAGAGGCAGAGGCTCCATTTACAGAGCAGGGCTATGTGTTAGTCCCTGAAGAATTGTGAGAGCCATTCTGGGTGGAAATAATCAAATATACAATCCCCAAGAATGGCCCACGGATAGACAGAAGTCCCAATTTTGCCAGAATGATTTGCATCTATGCTTTGAAGACAAATGCAGTTTTATCTCTTTAGGCAATAAAGACCAAAAATAGACTAGTTATTTTAAATAATTGAACCTTAAACAGACCAAAGTCAGAACATCTTCCCTAGGGACAGCATTTTCTTCCACCCACTCACTAAAGCTGTATTTGAGAAAGCAGTGTGCTGTTGATAAACGCTGGAATATCGTTACAATCGACATTGTAATAATACTGCTACTTGGATCAGAAACAAAGAGCATTTCTAAAGCTTGAACAATGTAAAACTGGAAACGAGCTCTCACTGAGTTTGGAAATGCAGGCACTAGAGGGTGCTCATTTCTCTTCCTTTTCCAATCGGGGGCTATTCAAAGGCTGTTCTAGAACAAGGGGTGAGATCCTCCACTTCCCCGTGGTGATCAGGCTTTCACAGGTAGAAGCCTTATTAGTTCATAATCAGCCAAGCTGACCTCACCATCAAATGTATCGACCTCGATGCTCACCCTCCTCAGCAGTCAGAGACTGGCTGTGTTCACCAGGAGCTCGTGTGTTTTTACGGAGCACACTTTCTCCTCGGTTTAGTAAAAACAAATGAGCCTTTATACGGGGTTCCATAAACAGAAGCTTTCTGTACTTTGCCCTTTTAGACACTGCAAATTCTGATGCCTGATGAAAAGTGTAAACTTAAAGCTTGCATGTCGTTAAGATTTTTTAATAACCAATTTAAATAATATATATAATGAAAATGTCAATAATGCTCTCGAATCCAATCCCATGTTCCATTGGTAACCAATATTAACGCTCTGGTTTGCTTCTTTTCACCCCTCTTTTCTGTGTTCATGCACACCTTTCTACCCAAGTACACCTACAGAAAATGGGTTCACCTGTACACTTTAACTGCCAAATGTGTACTCTTTTCTGTATATCTTGGTCTTTATTGTTCCAGATTGGTTGATATAGATCTAACTTGCTCCTATTATCTGCTTCATATTGCATAATGAGGGTAGACAGGTACATTCATGCTGTATTGTCTGTTTCCTAAATTCTGCCAGATCTTTTCTAAAGTGACCAAATGGCATCTTTACGCTTCCAGGTTCTCCTCACCCCAGCACCCAGTTGATGATTCCAGCTTTTCCATCACTCATAGTCCTGGCAGGTCTGAGAGCTCCATTTGGTTTCTCCTGCATGAGGAGACAGGGAGGGATAAAAGGATAGACCTTTATCAAACCTACCAGAGACTACACGGCATCTCAGTTCATCCTCATAAAGCATTGAGGGGAATGCTAGTCTTGTTTTATAGATGAGTCTAGATGAGGCTAGAGTCCAGGAAATCAATAAATAGCCTTGCCCATGGTCTCAGAGCTAATAAATGGTGGAGGCAGATGAAGGGCAGTCGGCTTGCTTCCATGTGGAATTGATAGAGGGGTCACTGGAGTTTGAGGGAGGGGAAGTCTAGAACCATCTGGCGTTGTCTTCAGATCGGACACCAGGGTTGAGACAGTCTGTGTACCCTACAGCACCGCAGGTACAAGCATCATGGTGTTGGCAGTGGGGAGATACTAGAGTGGGTAAGTGATTAGTGGCCTGGAACTGGAAGATCTGAGCTTTGAGAAAATTATTCCCATCACAACATGTAGCAGAGACACTGATGTGGATAAACTAGGTCAGGGAGCTGTGTGAGGAGCTGTTGTTAAAATAAGGGAGGGAGGAGAAGCAACTAAGTGGTCACTTCCTAACATGAAATGTAGAGGAAACCAATATTAACTAGAATCCATCTGATTTTAGTCAGTTTTCCTTTGTAAGTATTTGGAAGGTGGGATAATTTATTTTCAAGGTTAAGTAAACATCTATACATCTCCTTTATCTTTTGAAGACTGGTGGCGAAGCGAAAAATGGCACGGCCAATGGAGTCAGAGTTTGTTTAAAAAATATCTCAGAGTTCAAAGAGAGACTCTCATGGGCCAGAAATTGGTAAATGTTCCTGCATTCTAAAACTAGGAGGATCTTATTTTCTTTGAATCAACAGAGAAGGAAGCACAGGCAGTGGGGAGGAACAGTTGGGAACACGGCAGAGTGGCCGCAGGATGTCAAAGACAAAGGACATGTAATATCAAATTCTAAGCTGTGAAGCTGTGATGCAACCCTCCACCTTCTCCTAATGGATTTTTTAGGTCTCAGCACAGATGCACAGCTGAGGGAGTAATTTCTTTGGAAATGAAGGACAAATAGCTGTGTTAAATATTAATAACAAGTCCACATTACAAAGCACGCCTGGAAATGGAAACAAGATTATTTCTAAGGCCTTTTCTACTCTAAGAGTCTCTAACTTGGTGGCAAGGTGAGAGGTGAGGTTGGGGTGGGTGTTGATCCACACGCGATGAGTACCATGAGGCTCTACCATGAAGCATGTAGTTCTCAGTGTGAATCAGAGCCCTAAGAAGAATAATGCCCTTTACTTTGTTTTGTCCTGTGCCATCCCAAACCCACTCCACCCATAATTAAGCAGCCATGGAAATGAGGGTAGCCAGAAGGAATCAAACCCTGCTGCTTGGTTCAGTAGACACAGGGACCTGGGAGGAGGGTGTTGGCTGGGTCAAGGAGAAGATGATGAGCTCAGAAAATAGACAGGGAGAAACCCCAGTGGAAAGCTTGTAAAACTCTGGATGAATCACAAGATATGTTATTAGAGCTCCTTTTTATTACTAAATTTTATTTATTACTAAATTAATGGCAGGAACCCTGCACAAAGGGATATTCCCTATGAAAGATGGCATCTCAAATAAAAACAGAGCATTCTTCCTTACCCTAAAGTCTGCCCTTTCTCCCCAAGTCCCTCATGCATCAGGCCACCTTTGTGCCCACAGATCATGGGCAGCGCTGGGTGGCCATCATCATCCACACAGAGAGGGCAGTCAGCAGCATGAGCTGGTTCTGCCTGATATGGTCTCACCCTAGGCATGGAAAGCAAGAGACCTGCGTTGAGCTGAAGGTGCTCAGCTGGGTTTGTCAGGAGTCCCATCTGTCAGTGAATTGACAAGAAACAGAGCAAAACGACTCCTGCAATGTTGAGAAGCCTGCACCTAGGATCTGGAAACTTGATAACAGAGAAAACCAATATAGACAAAGGTTTTTAAACAGGATTATGGTCAATTAAGCAAATTAGAAAAGGATACTTGAAGGAGTATTTGGGATACAGGAATCAAAAACACCAGGAAGACATGAGAAGTTTCCCTAAGAGTCTAGACTACAGCACTGTGTAGATAACTAACATCAGAATATTAATTATATTATTGAAGAATTAAAATTTACATTGAATTACAAACTCTTTACAAAAGGTCATGAAAATCTTGTAGACTTGTTTCAATTCAGACAAATGTGTTCTTCTCATTCTCAGCTGTTCACTGGTGCATTTATCTTGAATTTGACCATCTGGGGAATGGGCGTGGCCTCTCCTGACTGGAAGGCTCTGGGGCCCAGGCAGGGAGAATGATGTCTCAGAATGACTCCCTTGAGAGTCCTGTTCCCCTTTTATCAATGCACAGACCCAGAAGACCCCTCCGTCCTGCAGCCCCTGCCATGAGCCTCGGGCTCCTGTGCTGTGCGGCCTTTTCTCTCCTGTGGGCAGGTGGGTCCTGGGCAGGGCCCTTGCGTGGATTTCAAGGCCCATCCCCTTTCCACTGGGGCTGCAGCATCAGTTTTGTTCTTCTCTGCAGGTCCAGTGAATGCTGGTGTCACTCAGACCCCAAAATTCCACATCCTGAAGACAGGACAGAGCATGACACTGCAGTGTGCCCAGGATATGAACCATGGATACATGTCCTGGTATCGACAAGACCCAGGCATGGGGCTGAGACTGATTTACTACTCAGCTGCTGCTGGTACTACTGACAAAGAAGTCCCCAATGGCTACAATGTCTCTAGATTAAACACAGAGGATTTCCCACTCAGGCTGGTGTCGGCTGCTCCCTCCCGGACATCTGTGTACTTGTGTGCCAGCAGTTACTCCACAGCGCTACAAGGTTGTCTCCTCTCTGCACATAAAGGCAGGGAGGCTCTGCCCTCCACCCCGACCTGAGACTCAGGGATGACCTGGGCAGAGTATTCTGCAACGGGAACCTTGGAACCCGAAGTGGCCCCAAGTGGCCCAGACAGTATGAGCCTCGCTCTGTGCCAGGTGCCTCTGTAGGCATCTCAGCCAGGCCTGGACTGGTCCCAGGTCCTCATATGTCTCCTTTGTTGCTCTCTCCTACAAGCTCTACTTTTGGGGTTGGGGCCAGGGCTTCCCCAGCTCCTACTTTTCTACTCATCATCCTGAGTCCAAGGCCCCCAGGATGAAACAGGATTTGTATTTCAGATCCATCTAGACTCCTGTCTCTCCCTGGTGACCATGTTGCTTCCTCTCTAGGGTTTCCCCCAGCCCCCACCCTCCTGTGGCCCACCTTTCCCACCTCCGCAGTCATCCTCCACCCCCCACTTCCCTGCCCCTCTCTACTGCAGCCATGAGGGGAGCACCTCTCTGTGACTCCTTCCTTCCCGTCACAGAGACTTCAAAGGCCATTTTCTTTGCCCTGGGCCAGAGCCTTCCTTTCTCTAGTGGCCAGCTCCTTCCTGTGCTTCAGATCTCAGTATGATCAGCCCCTCCTGCGGGAAGCACTCCCTCCCCTCCCAGGTAAGATCAACTTTCCTCTCATAAGCTCTCAATGAATCATATGTCTGTTAGCAACCTTTAGCACAGTTGGGCTTTCTCAGATGCTTGTCTGATTATTTTTGTGCTCCACCCAATTTTTTTTTTTTTAAGACACAGTCTCACTCCGTCACCAGGCTGGAGTGCAGTGGCATGATCTCTGCTCACTGCAACCTCTGATACTCTGATTCAAGTGATTCTCCTGCCTCAGCCTCCCAAGTAGCTGGGATTACAGGCACACACCACCACGCCCAGCTAATTCTTGTTTGTATTTTTAGTAGAGATGGGGTTTTACCATGTTGGCCAGGATGGTCTCGATCTCCTGGCCTCATGATCTGCCCTTCTCGGCCTCCCAAAGTGTGGGGATACAGGCGTTAGCCAGCACGCCTGGCCTCTCCACCCAATTTTTAAGCCCATGAGAGCTAAGACTGTGCCTGCTGTATTTACCAACATCGGTGCCTGGCATGTGGGGAGACCCATTTCACAGAGAATAGATGAGTGAATGACAGGCTGAGTGAGTGATGAGTGGGTGGACGAACAAATAGCAGGAACACGCTACATCTACTGTAACCTGCCAGAGATCTAGCATTAAGTACAAGAAAGCCCACCTCTTTGATTGCTGGGCTCAGGTCGGTCTTGGAAATTGATGGGGAATCACTATCATGGCGGCCACACCTGGTTCAAGGCTTCCTCTTGTGGCTGCAGCACCTGACCTCCTCCAGGTCTCTGTGCTCTCCTTCAGGATCTTTCCCCACAACAAATCTAGACAGATCAGAGATCCACTTCAAGAATTCCATCCTTAAAGGTTGTTCCTTGAAACCACTTCTGGTAAGAAAATCTCCATTAGGTTTGCATCAATAAAACAGAGCCACTACAGGTTTGTGAGTGTAAAAGATTTATGATCAGAATTAGACTTTATGCATATGTGGGAGGAGCTGAGGAAGACAAGGTCTTGAGGAGAGAAGTCAGAAGGTGAGGGAGCCAGTCAGTAGCCAGGGCTCCTGGAGCTCGGGCAGGACAGGCTGGAGTGGCAGGGACATGAGAGGATCAGAGCATGCCAGGCCATGCAGTGGGACCTTGAGCCGGGAGCACAGGAAAAGGCCGAGGAAACCTGCTTCTGGGGAAGCTGTTCCCTCTGTGTGGGGGCCATGCCTGCGGGTATAGTGCCAAACACTGGGGGCAGCCTGGCTGCTGTTGGGCAGCATTTGGCAAGATGAACTGGACACAGGGTGCAGAAGGAACAGGACTTCCTAGGTCTGTTGGATGCCTCTGTATCTGCTGGTCACTGACTCTCACTCTCTCACCACAATGACCTGCCAATTGTTATAGTGACTGTTTTGTACCTGTCTTCTAAATGTTACAAAATGTATCCTTGACCATCTCTAACCCAGAATGATAAATGGCATTCTGGGAAAGTCAGACTCTTACATTTGCAAAGTTGACTTAACACAATCCAGCACAGTATGGATTCTCCCAGATTAAGGCATCAGATCACACAACTGACTCAACCTGCCACGGTCCGTGGACTCCTCTCCGGGGGACACCTGTGCTGCCCAAGTGAATGTGGACACAATTTGTATGTAGATGTTCCAGACACTGGCTACTAAATTTTCTTTTAATCCTGTGCCTGAAATCTCGCTCCACCCAGAGGCAGGGCTCTGCCTCCTGCTTCTGTCTCCTTCCTGAGCTTCTATCCTGATGGAGTTGGATGGACATCAGACGCCTGGTCAGAGTGCAGTGACCTGTGGAGACAGTAGGAGGGAAGCTCACATCTTGCTGCCTTCCTCCATCCAGTTCTTTTATAACCAAAGCAAGTGTTCTGGTCTCCCTTTTGACTGTGCAGTATGAGAAATGTGCTTCATGAATTTGTAGCTGATCAGCTCAATGATTTGATGGCCAACCTAAAGTGAAATCCTCAGATCTGCAGAAATTGCCCTGCATTTCTGTGAAGATGGCAAGAATACAGTGTGCTAGAGTTGCCTTCTCTCCAAGTAGAGACCTGGCCCCCAAACAGGATGGAGCAGAGAGGGCCAAAGAGCCCAAAACATGTCTCAGATTGTTGAAAGGCAATTTCCCAGGACAATCCTACTGATGACATTTCATCCCTTGTATTACACACTTGGCCACCCTTCCCCCCAGATCAGCTGAGTACCCAGGATATCACACATCCCAGCATCTTCTAACGAGGAAAAATACTTCACGTACCAGCCTCCTTCCTGCACCACATTGACTAACCCTGGAAACTTAGCCTTTCCAGAAAAAAGCTCTGTCTTCTCTCGGCCCAGTCTAGCCTGGTAGGTTTAATTCATGATTTATGTGACCTTTTAATTTACTCAAAGGAGAACGTATGATTTCAGGGTAAAGAATATTCATTTTATTTTTATAAGTTGGACCTAAACAGTAAACTGAGTACTTTTCTTCCATCAGCGTCTTAAATTAGACAACGGTAAAACAAATCTTTGATGCTAGAACTTCAGATCCTAGTGTTTTTCACATGGAAGTTCCCAGTTACCCAGTCTAGGGCATGGAATAGATGAGCATTAATAAGTCACTGTATGCCTGAGATGGTTTTCTATGGGCATCTTTTCTGAATTACGGTTAACAAGGGTGGGAAATGATCCCAGAAGAAAGGCATGAGGGCAGTTCTTGAGGGAACCCATGTGATGGGACAGTCTCATTGGGCACGTGTGACTGGGGGAATGGAGGAAGCTGGGGCATGATTGGGATGGCACAGGGGACCCTGACTTGCGGGAAAGACAATGAGCTCAACCCTTTGTGCCCTATGTTAGGGGCGCTGTTGTTGCATCCTACAGGACATGCCCAGCAGGCAGGGGAGCAGCTGTAGGATGAGAAGATGAACTCAGAGATGCAGTGTGAGGTCTCCAGGCACAGACGGCTCTGGAGCACAAACCAATGAGCCATGAATTGATGTTGTTAAAACGGAGGTTATAAATATTTAAAGTGTCACCCAAGTGTGTTCTAATAGAAATGCTGTGACCCTGAGGTCCTGAGGATTGAGAGAGGAAGTGATGTCACTGTGGGAACTGCCCTGTGGAGACAAGGACATCCCTCATCCTCCGCTCCTGCTCACAGTGACACTGATCTGGTAAAGCCCCCATCCTGGTCTGACACTGTCATGGGTACCAGTCTCCTATGCTGGGTGGTCCTGGGTTTCCTAGGGACAGGTGAGTCCTCAAAACACAAAGTAGTTTCATATTTTTTCTGTATGTAGGTGTGTGTGTGTATGCATGTGTGTCTGTGTGTGTGTGTGTGTGTGTGTGTGTGTGTGAGATGACTACAAATGTTTTCCTTATTCTGTTGCCAGATTCTGTTTCCACAGATCACACAGGTGCTGGAGTCTCCCAGTCTCCCAGGTACAAAGTCACAAAGAGGGGACAGGATGTAACTCTCAGGTGTGATCCAATTTCGAGTCATGCAACCCTTTATTGGTATCAACAGGCCCTGGGGCAGGGCCCAGAGTTTCTGACTTACTTCAATTATGAAGCTCAACCAGACAAATCAGGGCTGCCCAGTGATCGGTTCTCTGCAGAGAGGCCTGAGGGATCCATCTCCACTCTGACGATTCAGCGCACAGAGCAGCGGGACTCAGCCATGTATCGCTGTGCCAGCAGCTTAGCCACAGCATGGCACAGTCGCCTCCTTCCTGTTCACAAACCTCATCCTTCTCTCTCTTTGCAGCTCCCAGAGATCATTAACAGAGGCCTCTCTTTGCTCCTCACTTTTCCTGGGAAAGAGGTAGATTTGGACCTCGGTTGTCCTTTGGGTGGAAAGAGACCACAGATTCATTCCTGAAACACAGTGACTGCAAATGTAAGTGGTGAAAACAATCACGTCCCACTGCACTCTAGGAGGGCTCGGAGCCAGCTCACTGCTCCAAACAAGGAGTGGGTGTCTTAGCCTTGGCCTTCAGAGCAGACATGCATCTTCTATAGGTCTTGGAGGCTGCTGTGTTGCCCACATACATGAGGTTGTCATAGGCAGGAAACATGCCTCTTCTTCATATGTTGGGGCATCTGGAAGGTCTGAGGCTACATCCCCGAGAAGATCTTTCTTCTGAAGCCTCTTCTATCCCTGTCACCTTGGAAGTTTTCTGCCACAAAATATCAAACCTCTCTTCCTGTTTGAAGTAAAGGTCTTTGCAAATTTGTGGTCCTTACTTGATAAATACAATCATGGTAACAATAACACTTCATTTCTTCTGCCTACTTTAAGCCAAGAGTATCCTTTATTTTATTTCCATTTGCCATTGCTGCTGTCCTGATAGACAGAAGCATGCATCACCACCGCTGCCACTTCACCTTGATTCACTCAGGAAATCTGATTTTCAGACTCTGAGTGTTTTGATTGTTGTCCAACTCATTTGATTTGAAATAATTCTCCCAAGGCCTTTAACTCAAAAAGAGTTTTATTTATAATATTGAATCTATTCCTTTTTATTATATTTTTTCATAATATATAGTGTTATATAGCACTTGTTAGAAATAGAAGTACAATGATTATATTGCAATAGAATCTTCCATCTGTCTGTGGGTGATGCTGCAGTTTGTATCTATGAAATGGAATGCACTGGTCAGAGCTGATGTGATTATGCATTATGGGTTTCGGGGAGTCCTCAGCGACAGACCACTTCTCCAAGTCTGGGACTCAGTGTCCCAGATGCAACCCTGATAGAGGTGCCCTGAATCTTTCATAGGTAGGAGGGGCATCATAGTCCTTCCAAATTCACTGATCAGAAATTATGGTGGTACAGACACCAAATTTCCTTCCCCAGAGAATGATGGTCACTGGCGGGGAATTGCTCTTGACCCATTTTTTCTTGTGTCGTCATCAAATGACTCCTTGCTCAGCCGCCCTGTGTCTTCTGGGACTGAGTAAGGCCAGCACACAGATGGGAATTCCCTGTCTTCTGAGACCTTCTAACTGCTGCCACTTTCCTCCATGTGACTGCTGAGACACCTGGTCCTAACAGTGGACAAGCTCTGACACTGAGGCTGAACAGACCACAGTCCACTGTTGTAAATGGTGCTGCAAGAACATGTAACAAAAGTGAGCAGGGCTTCCAATTTATAGAGAGAATGAACATGCAAGAGGAGCAAAGGGTAGATGGTACTAACGAACAAATAGGGAGGAATGTGGTTTCTGTTCTAATGAAATCATTCTGTTGTCTTAAGTTAAGCAGGAGAAACATTTCATTGCAATTACTTCAAGTCAAAGGCTAGCGGCTCCCCAACCAGCCAGCATAACTCTTTGCTCTGTGATCTCAGCAGCTTCAGAGGACTCAGAAATCCTTTCTCTGCACAAACATCCCGTTGTCCATTCCAAGACCCAGGATCACACACTCTGATCTTATCATGAAAATAATGAGGTATGCTATAGTTGCTGTGGCCTCATTTTAGTATGTTGAGTAGGAAGCATTGAAGAAGTTTGAAGCTTTTCTCTTTAGTCTATGGCTTGTATGACTCAAAAGAAGTAAATAGGCATACTTTTCCCAGCTCCCTGTTCAGTGAAGCCATGCTGGGAGCTTGAAATCTGCCATGGTGGGTATGTTGGTACAACAGAAATTAGGAAATGCTACCAGCCATGCCCCCACCTTCACAGACACACAGTTTATCAGCACATTACTGGGGTATTTTCTGATGTCCCTGTTATGCCATTTCTGAGCTAGGCCAATATAGCTCAGAATTTATTTCCCCACTACTCTTGTTCTTAGAACCCATCACCTAAGGGGCCGTCAATTGTTCCTATTTCCATTCAACTCCCAAATTCTCTTGCACTGTAGCTCTGTGTTTCCTTCAAGAATGCCAGTCTGGAACATGACAACTATTTTGAATGTACCTAAAGGTATCACTGAACCAGTTCATTATTTACAAATTATCTTTCCTCACATGGAATATTCAGATGCTGGAGTCATTGGGAACAGAGATGGCCAAGCAGCAACTCTGGGTTGTGAACCACATAGAGCCCCGCTATTCTTCTATGTCACTGACAGACCCTGAAACAAGGACTATTTTGCTTTAGAAACTAAGCAGCTCCACACCAGTCAGGAATGACTCTGCTTTTACTTTAGGCTGAGAGATCAGAAGGATCACATCCTCAGTATTCTCCTCTCCTGGACTGAGTGTGGCCACTCTCCATCTCAGTCCCTGGAAGTTGTCCAGAGTTCCCTGAGAATCCCTGCTCTGGGGCAGAATCACCAAGGCTCATCCTCACCAGCTCCCCACAGGCTCCAGCAGGGCTTTCCTGCCAGGTGTAGGGCACAGGAATGGCTCTGTCTGTCTCTCAGGTAGAGGGAGGCCAAACAGTGATGTTTGTATAAGAGGGACTGGGTTTCTGTGTCTCCATTAAAGTATTTGACAATATTTTCTTTGTTTTTTTTTTTTTTTTGGTTTATTTTTCCATCTCGCCAATGAGGAGAGCAATCCCTTGGTAGTTATATTGTTTTTGGCACTTGGGAAGGTTTTTGTGGTTAAGTCACATTAAGAAATTGTGCCTTTTTTTCCTGTTCAGCTGTAACCCAAGGCAGTGAAAGAAACAGCAATAATTTTGAAAGCAGTTACTTGTGTATCTTATGATAAAGGTGTTAAGTTTCATTGCCCACATCTAACTTTCAGTCTAGTGGAAATGAAAAGGCACAGTTAGGGGGCATGTGAGCATGCCATGAGAGAGGTCAATGCCAATTGAGAAGTCTGTGCCAATCCCCAGTACTGTGGGATTGAAGGGGAGGGAGAGATGACCTCTCCTTCAGACCATGGTCAACAAGGAAGGAGAGGGAGTTCATCCATGGGAACCTGAAAAGCAGCAAATCCCAGGGGCATCTAACTTCAGGTGCAGGAGCAAATCCTTGGAGAGGAAAATGGTCCAGTTCAGCTGTCACGGGAGACAGGAGAAAGCAAAGTCATCTAATCCACAGTCCCCTGGCTGATTTGCTTCCTTATGATACTATTTTGCATCAGCGTGTCCTCATCTCCCGCTGCTCCTCTGCCTCTTCCAGTGTCATCTCTTCCCTGTTTGCTGCTCAGATCAGTGGATGTGCATTGTACAAGGTGATCATTTCCTATAGCAGTCCCTTTGCTACTCTTAGTTATATCCATCCTTATTTTCTGCATTAGGTACTGCTCCCTCCACCATTGCTTATTGTCTTGTAACAGGTCTCGTTTTATATATTTCAATTTTACTTTTTATTAATAGACATTTGACTTCATCTTTTGCTGATCTATACTTTTGGGGTAACATTGTCATTTTTGGAGGATGTTTTTGTTTATCTTTAGTGATTCAGATTAAATAATCTCTTTATACTTCAACGTCTGTGTCTTCTTACTATTTAAAACCAAATATTATTTCCTTTCATTCCTCTCATTCTGTTCCTCTTTCTTTAGATGGTAGTTTTAAGGGAGAAAAAGTTTGGCTATAACTGAAGCTATGTGATAAGAGTTATTCAGAATGAGGGTGGGATATCAAGATTGGTAACTCAAAGCAATAATTAGGGTTAGAACTAATGTAGGACTTAGGGTTTAGGGAAGCTGCTCATAAAACCTGCGGGATGGCACCTCTGGAATATTCTGGCAGCTCACTCTGCAGACACTTCCCAGCATTCCTTGGGCCATTACAGAATTAAACAATGATGAAGCTTCACTTATTGGCCACAAGATGGCAGTGTGGTCCACTGCGATGTAAAGGGCTCTGGGCAGTCTGGGGGAGCAGCCTAGGAGGGAAAAGGTTAAGAAAAATTAGGGTTTGTATTCAATATTATGCAGATGTTGCAGGAGTTTTCAGTTATTGCTAGGCTACCTACAGCTATGCAAGAGGCAGGAAGTCCCTCTAATCTTTAATCAGATCTACAGTTGAAGAATTTTGGCCAGGCAGCCTTGGTGTCGGGGCATGTGCAGACAGAGGAGCAACTGCCTCAGAGGAAAAGGGAAAAGTGAGAGGCAGGCTGTGCCCTGAGCCCAGTGGGTCTCTGCTGCACCTCATCTTCCCTGCAGGTCTGGCCAGGCAACAGCTTTAACCTGCTTGAGTGATCTGGGATTCTCCAAGTTCATAAGTCTTACTGATAACATCAACTTGGCTGAGGTTCCATTGGAAATCAAGCACATGTTCTCTGGAGGACAAAAAGTATTGACAAAAATTTCTGAAACACCTCAGTAAACAAACTATTGAAGGAAAATATTAGTAGATGCACCAAACTGTGCCGTTAGAGATGAAGATAATAGACTAGTAGAATTTTATAAAGGAGACTATAAATAAGTCTCTACTAAGTATTTGTGGGCATCAAGCAGTGTCTGAGTCCTCTCAGGGTAGATTAAGGAAGGAATTCAGCTATTATCATGACTTTGGCTTGGATGAAAATCCATGAAGTCCTCAATTGATTTTCTTGTAAAATATTACAGAATAATATTGAGCAAACATTTTATTTTTCTCCAGCCTGTATCCCTCTTTAGCACTAACAGGTAAAGCAGACACCTAGAGGCACGGTTTCTTTAGTTGGGATCCATTAACTGTAGGACTGGGAGGTCCATAGCTGGGCTTCACAGGGAGTTCAAACCCCACGTGCAGGGAACTCCGTGTGTCTGTGCTGTGCCCAACTCCCGTCTGTGAGGCTGAAAAGGGGGAGTGCCGGGTCTCCCAGTACCCCACTCACAAAGTGGGGAGCAGGCTGCTTGCTGGGCAAAAAAATCAATTCAAAAATTGGCCAATCTGTTCAAAGCCAAAATGAAAGGAAAGTCTGAATTGTGAGACTGATGAATACCCAATTTCCCAAGTTATGAAATTTGTAGCAGCTCATGGTTCTCAGAATGATTTCAATAGCATATGAAGATATTGTAAAAAGCTTTTGTTTGTCTACAGCTTTCCTTGATTTTGATCCTAGTTGTTTTTTGGCCCACTCATCAGTTGAGCTTATTTTGATGCCAAATTTCAATGTTGCCACTTCAGTCACCAAGCACTTCTCACATTCTCCATAACTTACACAGATATGTGTGTTCCTGTCTTTTCTTATTTTTGTGTGATTCATTTTTAAATTGGGCTGTGCAGAATACAAGCATACATTTGTAAGTGAATCCCATATTTTATGATTTAGCTGTTTACTTTTTAGTAATACTTTTTATTAAAGTATAATAGAGAGTAAAACAGAAATATTAATACAAGGACATCCTGGTACATTTTGACAAATGCATATGCCAGTGCAATAGTAACTGAAATGATTATAAAAAAAATTCTGTCATGCAGGAAAGTGTCGTCATGCTCCTTTCCAATCAATTTCTATCCCAGAGATAAAAATTGTATTTATTTATTTATTTAGAGACAAGAGTCTCACTCTGTCACCCAGGCTGGAGTGCAGTGGTGTGATCTCAGCTCACTGCAAGCTCTGCCTCCCCGGTTCACGCCACTCTCCTGCCTCAGCCTTTGGAGTAGATGGGACTATAGATGCTTGCCACCACACCCGGCTAATTGTTTGTATTTTTAGCAGAGACGGGGTTTCATCGTGTTAGTCAGGATGGTCTCGATCTCCTGACCTTGAAATCTGCCCGCCTCAGCCTCCCAAATTTTTGGGATTACAGGCATGAGCCACCGCGCCTGGCCAAAACTTTTCTTATTTTTATCACCACTGACTAGCTTGGTCTATTCTTGAACTCCATATAAATGGAATCATATAACATTTTATTGAGTTATTTTCCTCCAAAATTAGTATTTCTGAAGTTTATTCATATTGTTGTATCAGTAGGTCATTTTTTCTTATGACTAATATTCCATTGCATAACTATACCACAACTTGTTTATCCATGCTCCCGTTGATGGATATCCACGTTACTCCTGTCTTCAACTATTATGAATACAGTTGTTGTGAACATTCTTGTGGAACTCTTTCTTGTGGACATATACATTCTTTTTTTTTATTTTATTTTAGGTATAAACTTAAGAGTGGAAATACTGACTTACAGTGTAGATGTGTGTGCTATGCTTGCGTGTCCTCACAAAAGCTCATGTTGAAATTTGTCATTGTAATGGTATTGGGAGGTGGGACAGCTATGACTAGGTCATGAGGGATCTGCCCTCAGAAAGAGATCAATGCCGTTATTGTGGGAGTGAATTAGTTGTCTTGGGAATGGTCTTCTGATAAAAAGTATAAATTCAGCCACTTTCTCTGTCTTGGGTGCTTGCTTCCCCTTCCTTCTGCCTTGGATAACAGCAGGAGGCCCTCAGCCGCTATGGCCCATTGATCTTGGACTTCCCAGTCTCCAGATCTATAAGCCAAATAAATGCCTTGTCTTTATAAATTACCCAGTCTGTGGTATTTCTCTATAGCAGTAGGAAATAAATGGAAAGAAAACATGGTGCTGAGAGTGACGCTGTTGCTGTAACAAGTACCTGAAAATGTAGAAACAGCTTTAGTTAATGGGAAATGGCTAATGGATAGAGGTTGGAAGAATTCAGAGAAGCAGACTAGCAAAAGCCTAGATTGCTGAAAACAGAGCATTAAGGGCATTTCTGGTGAAAGCTCAGGGGGAAATGAGGAACAAGGTATCAGAAATTGAAGTAAATGCCATCCTTCTCATAAGTAGCAAAAACCTTGGCAACATTGTGTCCTGTTCTAGGACTTTATGGAATATAAAATTATGAGCCATTAGCTAGGATATCTGCTGAAAGAAATATCTAAGCTGCAAAGCATTCAGGCCACTGTGTGACTACTTTTAGGCACCAGGCAATTTAACCCAGCAAGAAGGCAGCCAAGGGAATAGATTTTGCAAACCAGCACAGATGGTGACACTACCTCCCTCTGCTGTCCTGTCTCCCATAAGCCAAACTCACTCTGAAGTTAGAGAAAAGAGGAGACAGTTAACATGATACACTGGAGTCAGCCTGTGAAGGCAGGGTGGATCTGGAGGGATTAACATAAACTTTCCAGAGCACTACATATAGGATGGCCTTGAGGGTGTTGAGTCCAAAGCTGGCTAGGTCTGTGGTGTGAGCTGATAAGGCCCTAGATTTATTTCTGGGGAATCTGCACTCTTAATAATTTACAGACAACACAGGTCTGCTTTGGATCTGATCAGATGGACTAAATCTTGGGGCCTCTGTACCGCTGGCCACTCAGGAAATGGGTTGGGAATGTTGCCTGGGACAGGAAAATATAGTAAGAAACCTTGGTGTGAATCTAGCTTCAGAAAGATGATGTGAGGAGAGCAAGGAAGAGCTGGAAACTGATGGTTTAATCACAGGCTCCTCACCATCTGCTGATAGGCAGGTGTGCGAGCTCCAGCATGGAGCACCGCAGCACTAGGTCAGAGGAGGGTGATAGGGTGATGGGGCAGCCTGTGAGCTGGGGCAGTTAGGCAGAGGAGCAACTGTATCACCACAGAAGCTTCTGCCTTCACCCATCCCTCCAGCTCGGCAGGACAGGTAGAGAGTCCAGTGTCCGTGGAGCACTAGACCTAAGGAAGGCTGCATAGGGAAGACACAAGACAGTGACATCACAGCATACCCCTCCCATCAGGAAAATCAAGGCCCAGAACTCACTCAGCTCTTTCCCAGGAGGACCAAGCCCTGAATCAGGTGCAGTGCTGCCTGCCCCACTGTGCCATGGGCCCCGGGCTCCTCTGCTGGGTGCTGCTTTGTCCCCTAGGAGAAGGTGAGTCCCGGGCACAGGACAGCTGCTCCATTCTCAGCTTTCCCACCCCTGTGTCCTCCACTTTACCTTGGGGAGGACCTCCAGGCTGTCTCCAGTGCTCATTATACATCTGCTTTTCCCACAGGCCCAGTGGACGCTGGAGTCACCCAAAGTCCCACACACCTGATCAAAACGAGAGGACAGCACGTGACTCTGAGATGCTCTCCTATCTCTGGGCACACCAGTGTGTCCTCGTACCAACAGGCCCTGGGTCAGGGGCCCCAGTTTATCTTTCAGTATTATGAGAAAGAAGAGAGAGGAAGAGGAAACTTCCCTGATCAATTCTCAGGTCACCAGTTCCCTAACTATAGCTCTGAGCTGAATGTGAACGCCTTGTTGCTAGGGGACTCGGCCCTCTATCTCTGTGCCAGCAGCTTGGCACAGCCCAGCAGAGTCACTGACATTCTGTATATAAACTTCCGCCTTAGCTTTGACTTGAGAACTGCAGGCCCCACCCAGGTTTCACTCCTTCAAGGGAAGCTTTTAGTTGTTTGGAAGGCATGTCTTGTGTCCTACTGAGGGCAGACCTTTCCCAACCAATAGAGCCCAGGTTTCCTGTGCCCTGAGTGTGCCTGCTTCTGTGCTGCAACTTCTTGTAGTTTGTCACTTCCTGGATAACTTCAGTAGAAGAGTGACTGTTGAGCCCCAGATACGTGCTAGATTCTTCGTATTTGTTACATAGCTTAAGGGCTTTCCACACTCTTGCACATCAAACATTTCTATTCTTCCTTTATAGATAGAAGGCTCAGGGACATTGAGTCATTTTCCCCAGTGTCTCTTGGCTTGTAAGGATCAGAAGTAGGAAACAAACTAGTCCATCCATTTTCCACCTACCCCCCTGCTCCATCATCACCTTCTGCATCCTGGTCAGTAAGTCAGAGCCCTCGCACTGCCCTCTAGTGACCAGCAGGGCTGCAGTAGACGCTCAGATGCCTTCAGGGGTCATTACTATGGCCTCTTCATTAGCAACTTTGAGGAATGTTAAATTTAACACTTTTTAAAAATCATTTATATGCATTCCCTTTGTCTTTCCCCAGTCTGCAGCTTATGTTTTCACTTTTATGGTGTTTTTTTGATGCACAAGAGTTTAATTTAATGCAACAAAAACTAAAATCAATTTTGTTTGTGTGTAGACAAAAACCGCTTTCTTATATAAATGTCTAAGCGTAGTTTTATCAATTTATTCTAGTAAAATTTAAGCTTGGATTTTCACCACTAAGAATAAATGTACCTGAAGTATATCTTATGTAAGAAATAAGATAGAGACCTAGGAATGGGAGGGAAGGACATATGTTCAGTGAAGAAGTAATAGCCTGTCAAAGAGAGCCCTAAAGTAGACCCCCAGAGCTGATGGTGGAGAGGTAAGTGGAGGGCAAATGATCATGAACCTTGTCCGTTTGTTACCTTGTAGAAGAAAGGCAGCCAGGAGTGGAGACCACATGGGTGAAGGTTTATGACTTGACTGTAGGTTGAAGGTGGCAGCAGGTAGAGGGAGGACTAGCAGGCAGAGGGCAGAGTCACTGGCTGGCAGGGGCAGTGGCATCATCAGTTGACTCTACTGACATCCAGGAATTATGTTCCCAATGCGCAAGTTGAAAAACTCCCCACAATTTGCCTATTATTCCTTGACCCTGCCATGACCACCAGACTCCTCAATGGTTTGGCCGTCTGCCCCCTGAGGGCAGGTGAGTCCCCTAAAGCCTTTTCCTTGGCTCACCACATCCCAGCCTAAGCCTTTACCTCAAGTCTACATTATTGGGGTCCCTCTTTGGGCACTCAACTTCCTTCTATCATAGACTTCACAGAAGCTGGGACAACCAGATCCCAAGATACCAGAGAACAAAGGCAGGACGTGAAGTGACATGGAGATGCCTGAGACTGCCATCCATGACTACATGTGTAGGTGTTAATAGGAGCCAAGGCTGGTGCACAGCTGATCCGTCCCAGCACACACTATACAGAATCCCTGAGGGTCTGTGACTTTTTCTCAAAGCCAAATATGTGGCCTTGGTGTCAGACAGCCTCTCCCAGACCTCTGTGCCCTCTTGCACCAGCTTTCACCCCACAGCCACCTTCCTCTGCACACAAAGCTCAGTGGTAGATATAGTTGGCATTGTCTTCATGAGATTTTGATCCAGGCAGTGGAAGACATTGTCCCATAGGAGTTTCCCCAACACTGCCCAGGCTGGGACTCTCAGATTTCTGAGCAGCCTGTGCATGGGAAACTCTGCCCTGTACTGAGCTTCTCTCCCAGGGCAGTCTCAGCTGGACAAGGGAATGCACATCACGGTGATGTGAGCAGATGCAGCCTCTCTTCCAGGCTCCTCCTCCAGCTCTGGCCTCAGAAGTCCTCTTCCTCAGTTGCTCTCAGAAAGGAAAGTTGATTTCAAAATTGTATATTTGCAGACAGCACTGACAACACAGGTCTATGTTCTTTTCCCTGTCAGCCTTCACAACTCTATCTTCCCCACACCATGCTCATGTCAGTCCTCAGCCTCCTCCAAGTGATGTCTGCTCCTAGCTATCCTCTCATCACTCTGCACCCTCACCTCCATGTCAACCACAGACGCCTGAGTTCAGGCCATTCCTCATGCATCATGCTCCTCCCACCAAAGGCCTTTGCACTCCACACTGTATTCTCTGTATCAACACGAGTCTCTTCTTTTTGTTCTTTCTCCAAATCTCAGTTTAACTACCACCATCTCTAGGGAGACACTCCTTCAACAGTTTTCCTAGGCTGCACCTCCCTATTGTAAATGCTCACAGCTTATAATATGCATTAATATTCATAGTTTTAGCACCATAGTCATTTCCCTGACTTTGTGTGGCTATTTCACACTTCTCTTGCATTCTAGACTGTAAAATGCATCATTGTAGAAATTGTGGATGTTTTGTTCCCCATTTTATTGTCAGTACCAACAGCGGTTCCAGGTGCCAGTGACCAGTCTTGAAAGAATAAAGAAGAGATATTGAAAGGCCCTCTGAGTTCCCACAGACTATTCCAGAAGTCTGGATGCATTAAATGGGAACCTCTATCCCTTCATCTCCTAGGATTAAATGAGTCCTGGAAACAGATGAGAAATCCCTGTCATGCATGAGTAACTGGATCCCAAGCCTTTCTGCACGACTGAACTTCCTCACTGCCCATCGCCCTCCTGGCTTGTCTCCTCCTTCAATCTCCTTCCCTCACAGGTGTCCTGGATTTGGGAGTCTCACAGACACAGGGCACCTAATCACTCTGAGAGAGTGATCAGAAACATAATGTCAAACACTGGCATTAAAAGGTGATGGAGAAGAAAACAAATGCCTTCCCCATTCTCTTAGGCAAAGTTTTCCCAAGGCACAAATATCTTTTTGGGTGGCTTTGAGGCCATGGTGCCTGACACACTGAGCTATATTATGGGTGTTCATTTCCATGAATTGGTGGGCAATGCCAGAGACACAGACCTCATGGTCACCAGCTTCCTCCAGCCCACACCTGATTTTGGTGCAGGGCGCTGAACAGAGACCTTTGCTTGTTACCCTCCTTTGCCAGTTAGGAAAGGCTGATTGTGAGGCAGAGGCTCCATTTACAGAGCAGGGCTATGTGTTAGTCCCTGAAGAATTGTGAGAGCCATTCTGGGTGGAAATAATCAAATATATAATCACCAAGGATGGCCCACGGATAGACAGAAGCCCCAATTTTGCCAGAATGATTTGCATCTATGCTTTAAAGACAAATGCAGTTTTATCTCCTTAGGCAATAAAGACCAAAAATAGACTAGCTATTTTAAATAATTGAACCTTAAACAGACCAAAGTCAGAACATCTTCCCTAGGGACAGCATTTTCTTCCACCCACTCACTAAAGCTGTATTTGAGAAAGCTGTGTGCTGTTGATAAACACTGCAATATCGTTACAATCGACATCATAATAATACTGCTACTTGGATCAGAAACAAAGAGCATTTCTAAAGCTTGAACAATGTATAACTGGAAACGAGCTCTCACTGAGTTTGGAAATGCAGGCACTAGAGGGTGCTCATTTCTCTTCCTTTTCCAATCAGGGGGCTATTCAAAGGCTGTTCTAGAACAAGGGGTGAGATCCTCCACTTCCCCGTGGTGATCAGGCTTTCAGAGGTAGAAGCCTTATTAGTTCATAATCAGCCGAACTGACCTCACCATCAAATGTATCGACCTGGATGCTCACCCTCCTCAGCAGTCAGAGACTGTGTTCACCAGGAGCTTGTGCGCTTTTACGGAGCACATTTTATCCTCGGTTTATTCGGAAACATGGGCCTTTATAGGGGGTTCCATAAACAGAAGCTTTCTATATTTTGTCCATTTAGACACTACAAAGTCTGACACCAGATGAGAGGTGTTGCTTAAAGCTTGTATGTGGTGAAGATTTTTTAACAAATAATATATAAAGAAAATGTCAATAATGCTCTCAAATCCAATCCCAACTTCCATCGGTAACCAATACTAAAGCTCTGGTGTGCTTTGCACCTCTCTTTTCTGTGTTCATGCACACCTTTCTACCCAAGTACATCTACAGAAAATGGGTTCACCTGTACACTTTACCGGCCACATGCATACTCTTTTCTGTTAATATACCCTGGTCTTTATTGTTCCAGATTGATCGATACACATCTAACTTGCTCTATTTGCTGCTTCATATTGCATAATGAGGGTAGACAGGTACATTCGTGCTGTCATCTGATTCCCAAATTCTGCCAGATCTTTTCTAAAGTGACTGAGTGGTCTATTTATGCTTCCAAGTTCTCCTCACCCCAGCACCCAGTTGATGATTCCAGCTTTTCCATCACTCATGGTCCTAGCAGGTCTGAGAGCTCTATCAGTTCTCCTGCATGAGGAGGCAGGGAAGGATAAAAGGACAGACCTTTATCAAACCTACCAGAAACTACACAGTATCTCAGTTCATCCTCATAAAGCATTAAGGGGAATGTTTGTCTTGTTTTATAGATGAGTCTAGATGAGGTTAGAGTCTAGGAAAGTTAATGAATGGCCTTGCCCATGGTCTCAGAGCTAATAAATGTTGGAGGCAGATGAAGGACAGTTTTCTTGCTTCTGTGTGGAGTTGATAGAGGGGTCACTGGATTTTGAGGGAGGTGAAGTCCAGAACCATCTGGGGTTGTCTTCAGATCAGATGCCAGGGTGCAGGAGAGTCTGTGTACCCTACAGCACTGTAGGTACAAGCATCATGGTGTTGGCAGTGGGGAGGTACAGGGGGTAAGTGTTTAGAGGCCTGGAACCAGAAGATCTGAGCTTTGAGAAAATAATCCCCATCACAAGATGTAGCAGAGATACTGATGTGGATACACTAGGCCAGGGAGCTCTGTGAGGAGCTGTTGTTAAAATGAGGGAGGGAGGAGAACCAACTAATTGGTCACTTCCTATATGTGAAATGTAGAGGAAAACAATATTAACTAGAATCCTATCTCATTTTAGTCAGTTCTCCTTTGTAAGTAGTTGGAAGGTGGGATAATTTATTTTCAAGGTTAAGTAAGCATCTATACATCTCCTTTACCTTGTGAAGTCTGGTGGCGAAGCGAAAAATGGTACAGCCAATGGAGTCACAGTTTAATAAATAACTCAGAGTTCAAAGGGAGACTCTTATGGGCCAGAAATTGGTAAATGTTCCTGCATTCTAAAATTAGGAGGATCTTATTTTCTTTGAATCGGCAGAGAAGGAAGCACAGGCAATGGGGAGGGACAGTTGGGAACACGGCAGAGTGGCCACAGGATGTCGAAGACAAAGGACATGTAATATCAAATTCTAAGCTGTGAAGCTGTGATGCAACCCTCCACCTTCTCCTAATGGATTTTTTAGGTCTCAGCACAGATGCCCACCTGAGGGAGTAATTTCTTTGGAAATAAAGGACAAATAGCTCGGTTAATAACAAGTCCACCTTACAAAGCACACCTGGAAATGGAAACAAGATTATTCCTAAGGCCTTTTCTACTCTAAGAGTCTCTAACTTGGTGGCAAGGTGAGAGGTGAGGATGGGGGTGTTTTGATCCACACGTGATGAGTACCATGAAGCTCTACCATGAAGCATATAGTGTTGAGTGTGAATCAGAGCCCTAAGAATAACTCCCTTTACGTTGTTGTGCCCTCTGCCATCCCAAACCCACCCCACCCATAATTAAGCAGCCACGAAAATGAGGGGAGCCAGAAGGAATCAAACCCTGCTGCTTGGTTCAGTAGACAGAAGGACCTGGAGGAAGGGTGTTGGCTGGGTCTAGGAGAAGATGATGAGCTCAGAAAATAGACAAGGAGAAACCCCAGGGGAAAACTTGTGAAACCCCGGAGGAATCACAAGATATGTTATTTGAGCTCCTTTTAAATTTTATTTAATACTAAATTAATGGCAGGAATCCTGCACAAAGGGATATTCCCTATGAAACATGACATCTCAGATAAAAACAGAGCATTCTTCCTTACCCTAAAGTCTGCCCTCTCTCCCCAAGTCCCTCATGCATCAGGTCACCTTTGTGCCCATAAGTCATGGGCAGCGCTGTGTGGTCAACATCATCCACACCTAGAGGACAGTCAGCAAAGTGAGGTGGTTCTGCCTGCTGTGGTCTCACCCCAGGCATGGAAAGCAAGAGCCCTGGGAGCAGCGGAAGGTACACAGCTGGGTTTCTCAGGAGTCTCATCTGTCAGTGAATTGACAAGAAACAGAGCAAAACGACTCCTCCAATGTTGATGAGCCTGCCCCTGGGATTTGGAAACTTGATAACAGAGAAAACCAATATAGACAAAGGATTTTAAACAGGATTATGGTCAATTAAGCAAATTAGAAAAGGATACTTGAAGGAGTATTTGGGACACAGAAGTCAAAAACACTAGGAAGACATGAGGTGTGTCCCTAAGACTCTAGACTACAGCACTGTGTAGATAACTAACACTTAACTATTAATTATATCATTGAAGAAATAAAATTTACATTGAATTACAAACTGTTTCCAAAAGGTCATGAAAATCTTGTAGACTTGTTTCAAATCACACAAATGTGTTCTTCTCATTCTCAGCTCTTCACTGGTGCATTTATTTTGGATTTGATCATCTGGGGAAGAGGTGTGGCCTCTCCTGAAAGGAGGGCTCTGGGCCCAGGCAGGGAGACTGAGGTCTCAGAATGACTCCCTTGAGAGTCCTGTTCCCCTTTCATCAATGCACAGACCCAGAAGACCCCTACGTCCTGCAGCCCCTGCCATGAGCATCGGGCTCCTGTGCTGTGTGGCCTTTTCTCTCCTGTGGGCAGGTGGGTCCTGGGCAGAGCCCCTTGCGTGGATGTCAAGGCCCATCCCCTTTCCACTGGGGCTGCAGCATCAGCTTTGTTCTTCTCTGCAGGTCCAGTGAATGCTGGTGTCACTCAGACCCCAAAATTCCACATCCTGAAGACAGGACAGAGCATGACACTGCAGTGTGCCCAGGATATGAACCATGGATACTTGTCCTGGTATCGACAAGACCCAGGCATGGGGCTGAGGCGCATTCATTACTCAGTTGCTGCTGGTATCACTGACAAAGGAGAAGTCCCCGATGGCTACAATGTATCCAGATCAAACACAGAGGATTTCCCGCTCAGGCTGGAGTCAGCTGCTCCCTCCCAGACATCTGTATACTTCTGTGCCAGCAGTTATTCCACAGCGCTGCAAGCCTGTCTCCTCTCTGCACATAAAGGCACAGAGGCTCTGCCCTCCTCCCACCCAAGACTCAAGGATGCCCTGGGCAGAGTTCTCTGCACCAGGAACCTTGGAACCCAGAGTGGCCCCAAGTGGCCAGGACAGTATGAGTCTCACTCTATGCCAGGTGCCACTTCAGGCAGTCTCAGCCAGGCCTGGAAGTGGTCCTAGGTTCTCAGATGTCTCCTTTGTTGCTCTCTCTGGTATATCCTCCAAGCTGTCCTTTTTGTGTAGGGCCAGGGCTTCCCCAGCTCCTACTTTCCTACTCATTATCCTGAATCCAAGGTGCCCAGGATGAAACTGGATTTGTATGTCAGATTCATCTATACTCCCATCTCTCCCTGGTGACCCTGTTGCTTCCTCTCTCTATGGTTTCCCCCAGCCCCCATCCTCACGTGATCTCTCCTGTGGCCCACCTTTCCCATCTGGGTAGTCACCCTCCAAGTCCTTGCTGGGTCTCTCCTCCCCTCACCTCCCCGCCCCTTTCTACTGCAGCCATTAGGGGAGCCCCTGTTCTGTGCCTCCTTACTTCCCATCACAGAGACTTCAAAGTCCATTTCCTCTGCCCTGGGCTGGAGCCTTCCTTCCTCTAATGGCCAGCTCCTACCTGTGCTTCAGATCTCAGCATGATCCGCCCCTCCTGCGGGAAGCACACCCTCACCTCCCTGCTGAGATCAACTTTCCTCTCATAAGCTCTCACAGAATCATATGTCTGTTGGTAACCTTTAGCACAGTTGGACTTTCTCAGGTACTTATCTGATTATTTTTGTGCTCCACCCAATTTTTTTTTTTTTTTTTAGACAGAGTCTTGCTCTGTCACCAAGCTGGAATGCAGTGGCACCATCTCGGTTCACTGCAACCTCTGACTCTTTGGTTCAAGCAATTCTCCTACCTCAGACTCCCGAGCAGCTGGGATTACAGGCACACACCACCACACCCAGCTAATTCTTGTTTGTATTTTTAGTAGAGATGGGGTTTCACCACGTTGGCCAGGCTGGTCTCGATCTCCTGACCTCATGATCTGCCTGCCTCGGGCTCCCAAAGTGCTGGGATTACAGGCTTGACCCACCGCGCCCGGCCTCTCCACCCAATTTTTAAGCCCATGGGAGCTAAGAGTGTGCCGGCTGCATTTACCAATATTGGTGCCTGGCATGTGGGGAGACCCATTTCACAGAGAATGGATGAGTGAATGAGAGGCTGAGTGAGTGATGAGTGGGTGGACGAACAAATAGTAGGAACAAGCTACATCTACTGTAAACTGGCAGAGATCTAGCATTAAGTACAAGAAAGCCCACCCCTTTGACTGCTGGGCTCAGGTCGGTCTTGGAAATTGATGGGGAATCACTATCATGGCATCCACACCTGTGTCAAGGCTTCCTCTTGTGGCTGCAGCACCTGACCTCCTCCAGGTCTCTGTGCTCTCCTTCAGGATCTTTCCCCACAACAAATCTAGACAGATCAGAGATCCGCTTCAAGAATTCCATCCTTAAAGGTTGTTCCTTGAAACCACTTCTGGTAAGAAAATCTCCATTAGGTTTGCATCAATAAAACAGGGCCACTACAAGTTTGAGAGTGTAACAGATTTATGATCAGAATTAGACTTTATGCATATGTGGGAGGAGCTGAGGAAGACAAGGTCTTGAGGAGAGAAGTCAGAAGGTGAGGGAGCCAGTCAGTAGTCAGGGCTCCTGAAGCTCTGGGCAGGACGTGCTGGAGTGGCAGGAACATGAGAGGATCAGAGCATATCAGGCCATGCAGTGGGATCTTGAGCTGGGAGCACAGGAAAATGCCAAGGAAATCTGTTTCTGGGAAAGCTGTTCCCTCTCTATGGGGGCCACCCCTGCAGATGCACTACCAAACACTGTGGGCAGCCTGGCTGCTGTTGGCCAGCATTTGGGAAGATGAACTGGACACAGGGTGCAGAAGGAACAGGACTTCCTAGGTCTGTTGGATGCCTCTATATCTGCTGGTCACTGACTCTCACTGTCCAACCACGATAACCTGCCAATTGTCATAGTGACTGTTTTATATCTGTCTTCTAAATGTTACAAAATGTATCCTTGACCATCTGTAACCCAGAATGATAAAAGAAATGGCATTCTGGTAAATACAGGCTCTTGCCATTGTAGAGTTGACCTAACACAATCCAGCACAGGATGGATTCTCCCAGATTAAGGCATTGGACCTAACACAATCCAGCACAGGATGGATTCTCCCAGATTAAGGCATTGGATCACACAACTGCCCCAACCCGCCACAATCCCTGGTCTTCTATCCGGGGGACACCTGTGCTGCCCAGGTGAATGTGGACACAATTTGTGTGTAGATGTTCCAGACGCTGGTGACTAACTTTTCTTTTAATCCTGTGCCTGAAGTCTCCCTCCACCCAGAGAGTCTATATGTGTATATCTGTCTGTCTATCTATCTCTATCTCTATCTCTCTCTCTCTGTAATTTCCACTTGGAAGAAAATGTCATGATGACTACATGTTACTGGGATTTATTTATGAAAAGGATTTTATTAAAAAGAATTAGAAAATTTGAATCCTTTTCTGAATTTTTCCTTGGGACTGTCCTGAGAGCATTTTTGACATGACCAACCTTTGTCGTGTGTGTATTTGGCAGCCTAGAGTGCAGCAGAGAGTTATTGGCCCCACATATTTGCGAGTTAGACTGGAGATGGCTGTAAAAATGACTGACTCTTAGTGTTATTCACTCTCAGTCTGGGCCTCACTAGAATGTCACAGACTACCATCGAACAAATAGATTCCCAGTATGAAGAATATTAGGACATAGCAACGAGGAAACATGAGCACAAGCAACAAACGTTTGAAGTGCAAACCTGAAGACTCGAAATTTTGGCATTATAAGATATGAAAGTTTGGAGAGCTACATTTAAATGAACATGAGGGGGAACTGAAACAAGGAAAAAGAGAATGTCTGAAACCAACAACTTGCATAAAAATTGTCAAATAGTATATCTAGGAATGCCTCATACAATCACTGAAAACAAAATGGAAAGGCAAGCAGTTGATAAGCTCCTCCTATAGAGATTTTTAGTGATGTCAAAGATGGATCTGCAGGAGTGATCTAGAATGCAGCACAGAAAATAAAAAGTGAAATATGAAAGAAGTTAAAGAACAAGGAAGAAAAAAATGGATGTTTCCTATGTATTAGAATATGCATATTTTTCATAATTTCTCATTCTTTTCTTGCATATGATTTATGTTTCAAAAAGATAAATAGGAAGAATGTTATGAGGTGATATTTATGAGATGTTAGCTGAGAATTTTTAGACGTGTTTCAGGACCTAAGTTCAGAGTTTCCAGAATCAAAATGAATCTCAAATAAGACAGTCAAGTCATAGGGAAATTGTAGAACATGAGGGAAAAAGAGAAGATTTTGAAAGCAGTCAGAAAGGAAAGAGAAATACGTCCCATAGAATAGATGGAGAACAACAGTAAGTCAAGATAGTAGTTAAAAATAACCATTAGCTCAATTATCATTCTCCTTCATTTAAGGTGAGATTGATTAAAAAAACTTTTAGAAGTGGAATATGAAAAATGACTGCTGTGAGTTTGCTACCAAGGTCTCTTTACTGAATTACAGTTAAGAAAGGTGGGAAATGATCCCAGAAGAAAGGCATGAGGGCAGTTCGTGAGGGAACCCATGTGATGGGACAGTCCCATTGGACACGTGTGACTGTGGGAATGGAGGAGGCTGGGGCATCAGTGAGGATGGCAGAGGGGACCCTGAATTGCAGGATAGACAATGAGCTCATGCCTTGGTGCCTTGTGTTGGGGGTGCTGTTAGTGCATCGACAGGACATGCCCAGCAGACAGAGGAGTGGCTGTAGGATGAGAAGGTGAACTCAGAGATGTAGTGTGAGGCCCACGGGTCCAGACAGCATGGGAGCCCAAAAAATGAACCATGCATTGATAGTGGTAAAAAGCTGATACATATTTAAAGCAGCACCCAAGTGTGTTCTAATAGAAATGCTGTGACCCTGAGGTCCTGGGGATTGAGAGAGGAAGTGATGTCACTGTGGGAACTGCCCTGTGGAGACAAGGACGGCCCTTATCCTCTGCTTCTGTTCACAGTGACACTGATCTGGTAAAGCCCCCATCCTGGCCTGACCCTGCCATGGGCACCAGGCTCCTCTGCTGGGTGGTCCTGGGTTTCCTAGGGACAGGTGAGTCCTCAGAACACCAAGTAGTTTCATTTTTTCTGTTTGTAGGTGTGTGTGTGTGAGAGAGTGGTTGTGTGTGTGTGTGTGTATGATGACTACAAATATTTTCCTTATTCTGTTGCCAAATTCTATTTCCACAGATCACACAGGTGCTGGAGTCTCCCAGTCCCCTAGGTACAAAGTCGCAAAGAGAGGACAGGATGTAGCTCTCAGGTGTGATCCAATTTCGGGTCATGTATCCCTTTTTTGGTACCAACAGGCCCTGGGGCAGGGGCCAGAGTTTCTGACTTATTTCCAGAATGAAGCTCAACTAGACAAATCGGGGCTGCCCAGTGATCGCTTCTTTGCAGAAAGGCCTGAGGGATCCGTCTCCACTCTGAAGATCCAGCGCACACAGCAGGAGGACTCCGCCGTGTATCTCTGTGCCAGCAGCTTAGCCACAGCATGGCACAGTTGCCTCCTTCCTGTTCACAAACCTCATCCTTCTCTCTCCTTGCAGCTCCTAGAGACCCTAAACAGAGGCCTCTCTTTGCTCCTCACTTTTCATGGGAAAGAATTACATCTGGACTTCAGCTGTTCTTTGGGTAGAAAGAGACCACAGATTCATTCCTGAAACACAGTGACTGAAAATGTAGGTGGTGAAAACAATCATGGGAGTCCTTGGAGCCAGCTCACTGCTCCAAGCAAGGAGTGGGTGTCTTAGTCTTGGCCTTCAGGGCAGACATGCATCTTCTATAGGTCTTGGAGGCTGCTGTGCTGCCCACATCCATGAGGTTGTCATGGGCAGGAAACACGCTCTTCTCCTGCATATGTTGGGGCATCTGGAAGGTCTGAGGTTACATCCCAAGGAACATCTTTCTTCTGAAGCCTCTTCTATCCGTGTCACATTAGAGGTTTTCTGCAACAAAATATCGAACCTCTCTTCCTGTTTGAAGTAAAGGTCTTTGCAACTTTTGAAATCCTTACTTGATAAATACAGTCAGGATAACAATAAGACTTCATTTCTTCTGCCTACTTTAAGCCAGGTGTATCCTTCATTTTATTTCCATTTGCTATTGCTGCTGTCCTGATAGACAGAAGTATGCATTCACCACCACTGCCAGTTCACCTTGATTCTCTCAGGAAATCTGATTTCTAGACTCTGAGGGTTTTCATTGCTGTCCAACTCATTTGATTTGAAATAATTTTTCTGAGGCCGTTAAGAAGTGTTATATTTATAATATTGATTCTATTGCTGTTTATTTTTCATATTATATATTGTTATATAGTACTTGTTATAGATAGAAGTACAATGATTATATTGCAATAGAATCTTCCACCTGTCTGTGGGTGCCGCTGCAGTTTGTATCTATGAAAGCGAATGCACTGGTCAGAGCTGATGTGATTATGAATCATGGGTTTCTGAGAGTCCTCGGCGACAGACCACTTCTCCCAGTCTGGGACTCAGTGTCCCAGACACAGCCATGATAGAGGTGCCCTGAGTCTTTCCTAGGTAGGAGGGGCATCATAGCCCTTCCCAATTCACTGATCAGAAATTGTGGTTGTACAGATACCAAGTTTCTTTCCTCAGAGAATGACGGTCTCTGGCAGGCAGTTGCTCTGGACCCATTTTTTATTGTGCCATCATGAAATCCCTCCTTGCTCAGGTGCCCTGTGTCTCCTGGGACTGAGTAAGGCCAGGGCACAGATGGGAATTCCCTGTCTTCCTAGACCTTCTCTCTAATGGCTGCCACCTTCCTCCACTTGACTCCTGAGACATCTGGTTCTAACAGTGGATAAGCTCTGACACTGAGGCTGAACAGAACACAGTCCACAGGTGTAAATGGTGCTGCAAGGACATGTAATAAAGTGAGCAGGGCTTCCAATTTATACTGAGAATGAACATGCAACAGGAGCAAAGGGCAGACATTACTAATGAACAAATAGGGTTTCTGCTCTAATGAAATCATTCTGTTGTCTTAAGTTAAGCAGGAGAAACTTTTCATTGCAATTACTTCAAGTCAAAGGCTAGCAGCTCCCAACCAACCAGGATAACTCTTTGCTCTGTGATCTCGGCAGCTTCAGAGGACTCAGAAATCCTTTCTCTGCACAAACTTCCCTTTGTCCATTCCAAAACCCAGGATCACACACTGATCCTATCATGAAAACAATGAGGTGTGCTATAGTTGCTGTGGCCTCATTTTTAGGGTGTTCAGTAGGAAGCATTGAAGAACTTTGAAAGCTTTGCTCTTGAGTCTAGGGATGTGCTGGAGCCAGCTTGTATCATTCAGAAGAGCCAAATAGGCATACTCTTCCCAGCTCCCTATTTAGTGAAGCCATGTTGGCGGCATGAAATCTACCATGGTGGGTATGCTGGTACAACCGAAATTAGCAAATGCTACCAGCCATGCCCCCACCTTCACAGACACCCAGTTTATCAGCACATCCCTGGAGTATTTTCTGATGTCCGTTATGCCATGTCTTGTGGGCCCAAAAGGGCTCAGAATTCACCTCCCCTCTAGTCTTGCTCCTAGAAGCCATCATCTAAGGGGGCCTCCATTGTTCCTATTTCTGTTCTACCTCCAAATTCTCTTGCCTTGTGGTTGTCTCCTACAAGCATGCCACTTTGGAACATGACAATTATTTTGATTGTGACTAAAGGTATCACTGAACCAGTTAATTTTTTATGAATTATCTTTCCTAGCATGGAATATTCAGATGCTGGAGTCATTGGGAACAGAGATGAGCATGCAGCAACATGCAAGTTGTGAAACACTTACAGCCCCGCTATTCTTCTGTGGCACTGACAGACCCTGAAACAAGGACTATTTTGCTTTGGAGACTAAGCAGCTCCGCACCAGTCAGGAATGACTCTGCTTTTACTTTAGGCTGAGAGGTCAGAAGGATCACACCCTCAGTATTCTCCTCTCCAAGGCGGAGTGTGGCCACTCTCCATCTCAGTCCCTGGAAGTTGCCCAGGGCTCCCTGAGAATCCCTGCTCTGGGGCAGAATCACCAAGGCTCATCCTCGCCAGCTCCCCACAGGCTCCAGCAGGGCTTTCCTGCCAGGTGCAGGGCACAGGAATGGCTCTGCCTGTCTCTTAGGTAGAGGGAGGCCATACAATGATGTTTGTATAAGAGGGACTGGGATTCTGGGTCTCCTTTAAAGTATTTGACAGGCCAGGCAGGGTGGCTCACGCCTGTAATCTCAGCACTTTGGGAGGCCGAGGTGGGTGGATCATGAGGTCAGGAGATCGAGACCATCCTGGCTAACATGGTGAAACCCCGTCTCTACTAAAAATACAAAAAATTAGCCGGGCGAGGTGGTGGGCGCCTGTAGTCCCAGCTACTCGAGAGGCTGAGGCAGCAGAATGGCATGAACCCCAGGGGGCAGAGCCTGCAGTGAGCTGAGATCGCGCCACTGCACTCCAGCCTGGGCAACGGCGAGACTCCATCTTAAAAAAAAAAAATTTGACAAAATTTTCTTTGATTTTTGTTCTATTTTGCCATCTCACCAATGAGGAGAGCAATCTCTTGGTAGTTATATTGTTTTTGGCTCTTGGGAAAGTTTTTGTGGTTAAGTCACATTAAGAAATTGTGCCTTTTTTCCCTGTTCAGATATAACCCAAGGCAGTGAAAGAAACAGCAATAATTTTGAAAACAGTTAGTTATGCATCCTATGATAAAGGTGTTAAGTTTCATTGCCCACATCTAACTTTCAGTCTAGTGGAAATGAAAAGGCACAGTTAGGGGGCATGTGAGCATGCCATGAGAGAGGTCAATGCCAATTGAGAAGTCTGTGCCAATCCCCAGTACTGTGGGATTGAATGGGAGGGAGAGATGACCTCTCCTTCAGACTGTTCTGAACAAGGAGGGAGTGAGAGTTCATCCATGGGAACCTGAGGAGGAGCAAATCCCAGGGGCATCTAACTCAGGGTGCAGGAGCAAATCCTTGGAGAGGAAAATGGTCCAGTTCAGCTGTCACAGGAGATAGGAGAACGCAAAGTCATGTAATCCACAGTCCCCTGGCTGATTTGCTTCCTTATGATCCTATTTTGCATCCGTGTTTCCTCAACTCCCGCTGCCCCCTGCCTCTTCCAGAATCATGTTTTGGCTCTTTGGTGCTCAGATCAGTGGATGTGCATTGTACAAGTTGATCATTTCCTGTACAAGCCCATTGCTGCTCTTAATTATATCCATCCTTATTTTGTGCATTAGGTACTGCTCCCTACACCACTGCTTATTGCCGTGTAATAAGTCTCATTTTGTGTATTTCAGTTTTACTTTTTATTATTACACATTTGACTTCATCTTCTGCTTATCTATACTTTTGGGGTAACATTGTTATTTTTGGAGGACATTTTTGTTTATCTTTAGTGATTCAGATTAAATAATCTCTTTATACTTCAACGTCTGTCTTTTATTTCTATTTAAAACCAAATATTATTTTCTTTTATTCCTCTCATTCTGTTCCTCTTTCTTTAGTTGATAGTTTTAAGGGAGAAAAATTTAGACTATAACTGGAGCTACGTGATAAGAGTTATTCAGAATGAGGCTGGGATATTAACATTGTTAACTCAAAGCAACAGTCAGCATTAGAACTAGTGTTGGGATGAGGGTTTAGGGAAGCTGCTCATAAAACCTGCAGAATGGTACTTCTGGAATATTCTCTCAGCTCACTCTGCAGACACTTCCCAGCATTCCTTGGGCCATTGCAGAAGCAACAATGATGAAACATCACTTACTGGCCATAAGATGGCACTGTGGTCCACTGGGATCTAAAGGGCTCTGGGGAGTCTGGGAGAGCAGCCTAGGAGGGAAAGGGTTAAGAAAAATTAGGGCTTAGATCCAGTATTATGCAGATGTTGCAGCAGTTTTCAGTTTTGCCAGACTACCTACAGCTATGCGAGAGGTGGGAAGTCCCTCTAAACTTTAATGAGATCTACAGTTGAATAATTTTGGCTGGACAGCTTTGGTGTCAGGGACAGGTGCAGAGGAGCAACTGCCTCAGAGAAAGCTAGGGGCAGGATGTGCCCTGAGCCCAGTGCATCTGCGCTGCACCTCATCTTCCCTGCAGGTCTTGCCAGGCAACAGCTTTAACCTGCTCAAGTGATCTGGGATTCTATAAGTTTGTAAGTCGTACTGATAACATCATCTTGGCTGAGATTCCATTGGGCACCAAGCACGTGTACTCTGGAGGACAAAAAATATTGATAACAGTTCTAAAACACTCAAGTAAACAAACTACTGAAGGAAAATGTTAATAGATGCACCAAACTGTACTGTTAGACTTGAAAATAATCAACTAATAGAATTATCAAAAAGAGACTACAAATAAATCTTTACTAAGTATTTGTGGGCATCGAGCAGTGTCTGAGTCCTCTCAGGGTAGATTAAGGAAGGAGTTCAGCTATTATCATGACTTTGGCTTGGATGAAAATCCATGACCTCCTCAACTGATTTTCTTGTAAAATGTTACAGAATAATATTGAGCAAACATTTTATTTTTCTCCAGCCTGTATCCCTCCTTAGCACTAACAGGTAAAGCGGACACCTAGAGGCACGGTTTCTTTAGTTGGGATCCATTAACTGCAGGACTCGGAGGTCCATAGCTGGGCTTCACAGGGAGTGCAAACCCCACGTGCAAGGAACCCCGTGTGTCTGTGCTGTGCCCAACTCCCTTCTGTGAGGCTGCCAAAGGCGGAGGTCCGGGTGTCCCAGGACCCCACTCACAAAGAGGGGAGCAGGCTGCTTGCTGGGCAAAAAAATCAGTTCACCAATTGGCCAATATGTTGAAAACCAAAAAGAAAGGAAAGGCTCAATTGTGAGACTGACGAACACCCAATTTCCCAAGTTATGAAATTTGTAGCAGCTCATGGTTCTCAGAATGGTTTCAACAGCCTATGAAGATATTTTTAGAAAGTTTTTGTTTGTCTACAGCTTTCCTTGATATTGATCCTCAGGTTTTTTTCAGCCCACTCATCACTTGACCTTATTTTGTGGCCAAATTTCAGTGTTGCCTATTTCAGTCACTGAGCACTTCTCATTCTCCAAATCTTACACAGATATGTGTGTTCCTGTCTTTTCTTCTTTTTGTGTGATTCATTTTTAAATTGGGCTGTGCAGAATACAAGCATACATTTGTAAATGACTCCCATCTTTTATGCAATTTAGCTGTTTAATTTTTAGTAATACTTTTTATTTAAGGTGTAATTAATACACAGTAAAACACAAATATTAATACAAGGACATCCTGGTACATTTTGACAATTGCATGCGCCAGTGCAATAGTAACTAAATGATTATTAAAAAACTTTCCATCACTCAAGAAAGTGTCCTTATGCTCCTTTCCAATCAATTTCTATCCCAGAGATAAAAACTTTTCTATTTTTATCACCACTGACTAGCTTTGTCTATTCTTCAGTTTCATATAAATGGAAACATATTTTTATTATTTTTCTTCAAAATTAGTAGTTTTGAAGTGTATTCATATTGTTGTATCAGTAGGTCATTCTTTCTTATGACTAATATTCCATTGCATAAATATACCACAACTTGTTTATCCAAGCTCCTGTTGATGGATATCCACGTTATGTCTGTCTTCAACTATTATGAATAAAGTTGTTGTGAACATTCTTGTGGAATTCTTTCTTGCGAACATATGCATTCTTCTTTTTTTTTTTGATATAGATTTAAGAGTGGAAATACTCATAGTGTAGACACGTGTGCTATGCTTGCGTGTCCCCACAAAAGCTCATGTTGAAATTTGTCAGTGTAATGGTATTGGGAGGTGGGACAGTTATGACTAGGTCATGAGGGATCTGCCCTCAGAAAGAGATCAATGCCCTTATTGGAGGGGTGAATTATGTCTTGGGAACGGTCTTCTGATAAAAAGGATGAAATCAGCTGTTTTCTCTGTCTTGGGTGCTTGCTTCCCCTTCCTTCTGCCTTGGATAACAGCAGGAGGCCCTCATCAGTTATGGACCCTTGATCTTGGACTTCCCAGTCTCCAGATCTGTAAGCCAAATAAACCTCTTGTCTTTATAAATTGCCCAGTCTGTGATATTTCTCTATGTCAGCAGGAAAGACATTGAAAGAAAAAATGGTACCAAGAGTGAGGCTGTTGCTATAATACCTGCAAATGTAGAAGCAGCTTTGGTTAATGGGAAGCGGCTAATGGATAGAGGTTGAAAGAACTGGGAGGAGCAGACTAGCAAAAGCCTAGACTCCTGAAAACAGAGCATTAAGGGCAATTCTGGTGAAGGCTCAGGGGGAAATGAGGAACAAGGTATCGGAAATTGAAGTAAATGCCATCCTTGTGGTAAGTAGCAAAATCCTTGGCAAAACTGTGTTCTGTTCTAGGAATTTATTGAATATAAAAATTATGAGTCATTCGCTAGGATATCTGCTGAAAGAAATATCTAAGTGGCTAAGCATTCAGGCTAACGTGTGACTACTTTCAGGCACCAGGAAATTTAACCAAGCAAGAAGGGAGCCAAGGGAATAGATTTTGCAAACCAGCACAGATGGTGACCCTACCTCCCTCTGCTGTCCCATCTCCAATAAGACAAATTCTGTGCTGTTAGCTGTTAAAGCCCTAGAATTATTTCTGAGGAATCTGTACTCTTCATAATTTACAGACAACCCAGCTCTGCTTTGGATCTGATCAGATGGACTAAATCTTGGGGACTCTGCACCACTGGCCACTGAGGAAAGGGAAGAGAATGTTGCCTGGGACAGGAAAATATAGTAAGAAACATTGGTGTGAATCTAGCATCAGAAAGATGATGTGAGGACAGCAAGGAAGAGCAGGAACCTGAAGTTTAATCAGGCTCCTCGCCCTCTGCTGATGGGCATGTGTGTGAGCTCCAGCATGGAGCACCGCAGCACTAGGTCAGAGGAGAGTAAGAGGGCGATGGGGCAGCCTGTGAGCTGGGGCAGTGTAGGCAGAGGAGTAACTGTATCATCACAGAAGCTTCTGCCTTCAACCATCCCTCCAGCTCTGCAGGACAGGTAGAGAGTCCAGGGTCTGTGGGGCACTAGACCTAAGGAAGGCTTCCTGGGGAGGACACAGGACAGCCACATCACAGGATACCCCTCCCATCAGGAAAATGAAGGCCCAGAACTCACTCGGCTCTTCCCCAGGAAGACCAAGCCCTGAATCAGGTGCAGTGCCGCCTGGCCCACTGTGCCATGGGACCCAGGCTCCTCTTCTGGGCACTGCTTTGTCTCCTCGGAACAGGTGAGTCCTGGGCACAGGACAGCAGCCCCATTCTCAGCTTTCCCACCCCAGTGTCCTCCACTTTACCTTGGGGAGGACCTCTGGGCTGTCTCCTGAGCTCATCCTCCATCTGCTTTTCCTGCAGGCCCAGTGGAGGCTGGAGTCACACAAAGTCCCACACACCTGATCAAAACGAGAGGACAGCAAGCGACTCTGAGATGCTCTCCTATCTCTGGGCACACCAGTGTGTACTGGTACCAACAGGCCCTGGGTCTGGGCCTCCAGTTCCTCCTTTGGTATGACGAGGGTGAAGAGAGAAACAGAGGAAACTTCCCTCCTAGATTTTCAGGTCGCCAGTTCCCTAATTATAGCTCTGAGCTGAATGTGAACGCCTTGGAGCTGGAGGACTCGGCCCTGTATCTCTGTGCCAGCAGCTTGGCACAGCCCAGCAGAATCACTGACATTCTGTATATAAACTTCCTGCCTTAGCTTTGACTTGAGAGCTGCAGGCCCCACTCAGTCTTCACTCCTTCAAGGGAAGCTTTTAGTTGTTTGGAAGGCATGTCTTGTGTCCTACTGAGGGCACAGCTCTCCCAACCAACAGAGCCCAGGTTTCCTGTGCCCTGAGTGTGCCCACTTCTCCGCTGCATCTTCTTGCAGCTTGTCACTTCCTGGGTAACTTCAGTAGAAGAGTGACTGCTGAGCCCCAGATGTGTGCTAGATTCTTTGTATTTGTTATGGGCTTAAAGCCTTGCAACAATCTTGTACATCAAGCATTCTTATTCTTCCTTGACAGATGGGATGCTCAGGGACATTGAGTCATTTTCCCCGTTGTCTCCTGGCTTGTAAGGATCAGAAGTAGGAAACAAAGTAGTCCATCCATTTTCCACCTACCCCCCTGCTCCATCATCACCTTCTGCATCCTGGTCAGAGTAAGTCAGAACCCTCACACTGCCCTCTAGTGACCAGCAGGGCCGCAGCAGAGGCTCAGATGCCTTCAGGGGTCATTACTATGGCCTCCTCATTAGCAACTTTGAGGAATGTTAAATTTCACACTTTCTAAAAATCATTTATATGCATTCCCTGTGTCTTTCCCCAGTCTGCAGCTTATATTTTCATTTAATGGTGTTTTTTGATGCACAAGAGTTTAATTTAATGCAACAAAAACTAAAAACAATTTTGTTTGTGTGTAGACAAAAACCGCTTTCCCATATAAGTGTCTAAATATATTTTTCTCAATTTATTCTAGGAAAATTTAAGTTTGGATTTTCATCACTAAGAATAAATGTATCTGAAATATATCTCATGTAAAAAATAAGGTGGAAACCTAGGAATGGGAGCGAAGGACATATGTTCAGTGAAGATGAAATAGTGTGTCAAAAAGAGCTGGAAAGTAGACACCCGGAGCTGATGGTGGAGAGGTAGGTGGAGGGCAAATAATCATGAACCTTGTCAGTTTGTTATCTTGTATAAGAAAGACAGCCAGGAGTAGAGACCACATGGGCAAAGGTTTATGGCTGGTCTGTAGGTTGAAGGTTGCAGCAGGTAGAGGGAGGAATAGCAGGCAGAGGGCAGAGTCACTGTAGGGCAGGGGCAGTGGCATCATCAGTTGACTTTACTGACATCCAGGAATTATGTCCCTAACACACAAGCTGAAAAACCTCCCACAATTTGCCTATTTTTCCCTGACCCTGCCATGGCCACCAGACTCCTCAGTGGTGTGGCCTTTTGCCTCCTGGGGGCAGGTGAGTGCCTTAAAGCCTTTTCCTTGGCTCACCACATCCCAGCCTAAGCCTTTACCTCAGGTCTACATTATTGGGGTCCCTCCTTGGGCACTCAACTTCCTTCTATCATAGATTTCACAGAAGCTGGGACAACCAGATCCCAAGATACCAGAGAACAAAGGCAGGACGTGAAGTGACATGGAGATGCCTGAGACTGCCATCCATGACTACATGTGTAGGTGTTAATAGGAGCCAAGGCTGGTGCACAGCTGATCTGTCCCAGCCCACACTATAGAGAAATCCCTGAGGGTCTGTGACTTTTTCTCAAAGCCAAATATGTGGCCTTGGTGTCAGACAGCCTCTCCCAGACCTCTGTGCCCCCTTGCACCAGCTTTCACCCCACAGCCACCTTCCTCTGCACATAATGCTCAGTGGAAAATATAGATGGCCTTGTCTTCACGAGACCGTGATCCAGGCAGTGGAAAACGTTGTCCCATAGGAGTCTCCCAACACTGCCCAGGCTGGGGCCCTCAGATTTCTGAGCAGCCTGTGCATGGGAAACTCTGCCCTGTACTGAGCTTCTCTTCCAGGCCAGTCTCAGCTGGACGATGGAACGCACATAACCATGCTTTGCGTGGATGCAGCCTCTCTTCCAGGCCCCTCCTGCAGCTCTGACCTCAGAAGTCCTCTTCCTCAGCTGCTCTCAGAAAGGAAAGTTCATTTGAAATTGTATATTTGCAGACAGCATTGACAATACAGGTCTATGTTCTTTTCCCTGTCAGCCTTCACAAGTCCATCTTCCCCACACCACACTCACGTCAGTCCTCAGCCTCTTCCACGTGATGTCTGCTCCCAGCTGTCTTCTCCCTTCCTCTGCACCCTCACCTTCATGTCAATCACAGATGCCTCAATTCAGGCCCTTCCTCATGGGTCATGCTCCTCCCACCAAAGCCCTTTCCACTCCATGCTGTATCCTCTGGCTCATCAGAAGTCTCTTCTCTTTTGTTCTTTCTCCAAATCTCAGTTTAACTACCACCATCTCTAGGGAGACACTCCTTCAACAGTTTTCCTAGGCTGCTCCTCCCTATTGTAAATGCTCACAGTTTATAATATGCATTAATATTCATAGACTTAGCACCATAGTCATTTCCCTGACTTTGTGTGACTATTTGACACTTCTCTTGCATTCTCCACTGTAAAAGGCATCATTCTAGAAATTGTGGATGTTTTGTTCCCCATTTTATTGTCAGTACCAACAGCGGTTCCAGGTGCCACTGACCAATCTTGAAAGAATAAAGAACAGATATTGAAAGGCCCTCTGAGTTCCCACATAGACTGTTCCAGAAGTCTGGACACATTAAATGGGAACTTCTATCCCTTCATATCCTAGGATCAAATGAGTCCTGGAAACAGAGGAGAAATCCCTGTCATGGATGAGTAACTGGATCCAAGCCTTTCTGCACTACTGAACTTCCTATCTGCCCATCGCCTTCCTGCCTAGTCTCCTCCTTCAATCTCCTTCCCTCACAGGTGTCCTGGATTTGGGAGTCTCACAGACACAGCGCACCTAATCACTCTGAGAGAGTGATCAGAAACATAATGTCAAACACTGGCATTAAAAGGTCATGGAGAAGAAAACAAATGCCTTCCCCATTCTCTTAGGCAGAGTGTTCCCAAGGCACAAATATCTCTTTGGGTGGCTTTGAGGCCATGCTACCTGACACACTGAGCTATATTATGGGTGTTCATTTCCATGAATTGGTGGGCAATGCTAGAGACACAGACCTGATGGTCACCAGCTTCCTCCAGCCCACACCTGATTTTGGTGCAGGGCACTGAACAGAGACCTTTGCTTATTCCCCTCCTTTGCCAGTTAGGAAAGGCTGATTGTGAGGCAGAGGCTCCACTTACAGAGCAGGGCTATGTGTTAGTCCCTGAAGAATTGTGAGAGCCATTCTGGGTGGAAATAATCAAATATACAATCACCAAGGATGGCCCACGGACAGACTGAAGCCCCAATTTTGCTGGAATGATTTGCATCTATGCTTTAAATACGAATGAAGTTTTATCTCTTTAGGCAATAAAGACCAAAAATAGACTAGCTATTTTAAATAACTGAACCTTAAACAAACCAAAGTCAGAACATCTTCCCTAGGGACAGCATTTTCTTCTACCCACTCACTAAAGCTGTATTTGAGAAAGCTGTGTGCTGTTGATAAACACTGGAATATCATTACAATTGACATCGTAATAATACTGCTACTTGGATCAGAAACAAAGAGCATTTCTAAAGCTTGAACAATGTAAAACTGGAAACGAGCTCTCACTGAGTTTGGAAATGCAGGCACTAGAGGGTGCTCATTTCTCTTCCTTTTCCAATCGGAGGCTATTCAAAGGCTGTTCTAGAACAAGGGGTGAGATCCTCCACTTCTCCGTGGTGATCAGGCTTTCAGAGGTAGAAGCCTTATTGGTTCATAATCAGCTGAACTGACCTCACCATCAAATGTATCGACCTTGATGCTCACCCTCCTCAGCAGTCAGAGACTGTGTTCACCAGGAGCTTATACGCTTTTACATAGTACACTTTATCCTCGGTTTATTCCAAAAAATGGGCATCTATAAGGGGTTCCATAAACAGAAGCTTTCTGTACTTTGCCCATTTAGACACTATAAAGTCAGACACCAGCTGAAAGGTGTAACTTAAAGCTTGTATGTGGTGAAGATTTTTTAACAAATAATATATAATGAAAATGTCAATAACGCTCTCAAATCCAATCCCACCTTCCACTGGTCACCAATATTAACACTCTGGTGTGCTTCTTTTCACCTCTCTTTTCTGTGTTCATGCACACCTTTCTACCCAAGTACACCTACAGAAAATGGGTTCACCTGTACACTTTACCTGTCACATGCATACTCTTTTCTGTTAATATACCCTGGTCTTATTGTTCCAGATTGGTCAATATAGATCTAACTTGCTCCTATTAGCTGCTTCATATTGCATAATGAGGGTAGACAGGTACAATTGTGCTCTATTGTCTAATTCCTGAATTCTGCCAGATCTTTTCTAAAGAGACTGAATGGCCTCTTTAGGCTTCCAGGTTCTCCTCACCCCAGCCCCCAGTTGATGATTCCAGCATTTCCATCACTCATAGTCCTGGCAGGTTTGAGAGCTCCATTGGTTTCTCCTGCATGAGGAGACAGGGAGGGATAAAAGGATAGACCTTTATCAAACCTACCAGACACTACACAGTATCTCAGTTCGTCCTCCTAAAGCATTGAGGGGAATGTTAGTCTTGTTTTATAGATGAGTCTAGATGCAGCTAGAGTCCAGGAAGGTTAATGAATGGCCTTGCCCATGGTCTCAGAGCTAATAAATGTTGGAGGCAGATGAAGGACAGTCAGCTTGCTTCCATGTGGAATTGATAGAGGGGTCACTGGAGTTTGACAGAGGGGAAGTCTAGAACCATCTGGGGTTGTTTTCAGATCAGACACCACGGGTAGTATGGTCTGTGTACCCTACAGCACTGTAGATACAAGCATCATGGTGTTGGCAATGGGGAGGTACTAGAGAGGTAAGTGGCTACTGGCCTGGAACCAGAAGATCATAGCTTTGAAAAAAAATTATTCCCAGCACAAGATGTAGCAGAGACATCAATGTGGATAAACTAGGCCAGGGAGCTCTGTGAAGAGCTGTTGTTAAAATGAGGGAGGGAGAAGCAACTAAGTGGTCACTTCCTATACATTAAATGTAGAGGAAAACAATGTTAACTAGAATCCCATCTGATTTTAGTCAGTTTTTCGTTTAAGTAGTTGGAAGGTGGGATAATTTATTTTCAAGTTTAAGTAAGCATCTATACATCTCCTTTACCTTGTGAAGACTGGTGGCGAAGGGAAGAATGGCAAGGCCAATGGAGTCACAGTTTAATAAATAACTCAGAGTTCAGATGGAGACTCTCATGGGCCAGAAATTGGTAAATGTTCCTGCATTCTAAAATTAGGGGAATCTTATTTTCTTTGAATCAGCAGAGACGGAAGCACAGGCAGTGGGGAGGGACAGTTGGGAATACGACAGAGTGGCCACAGAATGTCGAAGAAAAAGGACATGTAATGCCAAATTCTAAGCTGTGAAGCTGTGATGCAACCCTCCTCCTTCTCCTAATGGTTTTTTTAGGTCTCAGATGCGCACCTGAGGGAGTAATTTCTTTGGAAATGAAGAACAAATAGCTGTGTTAAATCTTAATAACAAGTCCACCTTACAAAGCACAACTGGAAATGGAAACAAGATTATTTCTAAGGCCTTTTCTACTCTAAGAGTCTTTAACTTGGTGGCAAGGTGAGAGGTGGGGGGTGGGGATGGTGTTGATCCACATGCGATGAGTACCGTGAGGCTCTACCACGAAGAATACATTTCTGAGTGTGAATCAGAGCCCTAAGAATAATGCCCTTTACGTTGTTTGGGACCAAACCCACCTCACCCATAATTAAGCAGCCATGGAAATGAGGGGAGCCAGAAGGAATCAAACCCTGCTGCTTGGTTCAGTCGACAGAAGGACCTGGTGGAAGGATGTTGGCTGGGTCTAAGAGAAGATGATGAGCTCAGAAAACAGACAAAGAGAAATCCCAGGCGAAAGCTTCTGAAACCCTGGAGGAATCACAAGTCAAATTTCTCCCAGAAGATGGTGGCAGTGACTCACCTTCAGGTACAACTGGCTGGTGCTACAGAGCTAAGATGGACTTAGTGTGTTGGCAGTTTGCAAAATCTGGGCCATTTGGTCATTTTCTTCAGTGACTTTTTAAAGTGAAGTTTTACTTCCAACATTGGCCTGATGTGTGGGTCTGTTCTTATGGGGGTTAGGGTTAGAGTTGCTCCATTACTTGAGTACCCATGAAGTATTATTGGTCATAGAATGAGCAGGATTATCAGGAGTAGAAGGGGTAGGGAGAGGGAGAACTGTTAAGTGAAGCAGTAGGGTTGAGTGAAGAGTATTTTAGACATATGAGTACATAGAGGGATGAAAGCCCAGCTAGCCCCCAGCCCCCATAGAAGGAAGATCAAGATTTGACAACTAGGAGAGGCATGATTACACCATGCAGCTTGATCAAGGACTGAGAAAGCTTTCTAGACAAATGACAGGTAATGACCCACACTGTGAATCGGTATTGAACGTGAGATGTCAATATATATTCATATATCCACTTATATATCTAAAATAAGAAGTCCTTACAAACCCTGAAAACATAAACCCTCACTATTACAGGATGTGCAGGTGATTTGGATCCTGTGAAGACCCTCAAACAGGATTAAAATCCAGTAGGCAGAGGTCTCTGATTCTTTGTTAGCTACAGAGGAAGATGTGCTATGATGGACACCTAGGGGGTCTGGGGGTCTTCCCATCCCCTTCCCAGATCCACACCTAGAGGAATGTCAGGCAGTACAATTCAGAGAACCACCAGAAAAGCTGTGAGAATAGGACTCCAATCTGAATCCAGCTTCTCTCAGCTCTGCACCCCTTGCTGTGTAGGAGTCAGTGCAGGAGAAAGCTGACTGGGTGAGAAGAGAAGGGATCCTGAACCATGCCAGAGGAGACCTGTGAACTGGGAAATGAGCAGCAACAGCACCACCACAGACACACACTCGCCAGGCACAGGGAGAGGACAGATCCTGGCCTCTTGTAGCACCAGAGCTCTGAACGCCCTCTACCTGCTCAGTCTCCCATGGGATCTAGGCTCTTCTCCTGGGTGCTGGACATGCCTTGGTTTCTCAAAACCAGGTGTGTCCTGGATGCACCTGGGGGAATCTCAGCTCTGAATATGCCAAGCCTTGCCAGAGGAACCATGTATTTTGAAAACCCACGGGGTCTGTGTTAAAAACAACAATTTCCCTCTCAGAGCATGATGGGATTCCATGTTCCTGCTTAGTTGTGCTTTGTCTCCTGGGAGCAGATGGCTCTGGAAACCTCTGAGGGAAATCCCTGTCCCTGCAACTGCTGTGCCTCAGTTCCAAACATTCCCCATGCAGTCTCCTACGTCCTAGCTCCAGGTTCTATCTCCATTCATGAAACTGTGCTCACACAGACCTCTTGAAAGCAGGTAATGGGTATGGAGCAGCAATAGGTGTGAATACATCCTACTTTATGGCATCATCTATGGGAAGCAATGTCAGCTGGAAATGCACCAGCATGAATTTTATACTATTGTGATGTAGCACTTCTGAGATTGAAGGTACAATGGCATATTCCAAGCTGGTCAACCAAACATCTCACTCCATCAGCTGGACACACATCCCCTAGTGGGGTGGGATTCTGTGGGTCTCCTTTTGCCAGCAGCAAAGACCTTGCTGAACCATCTCCTCTGCTTTGCTTCAAACTTTTCCTCCACTTTGCAGGATCTTCTCAAATCTGGGTCTAACTTGCCTGCAGTGAGAGGAATTGTGACTATTGTCCCTCATATGAAAGAGGGTGCCCATGAAGTTTTAAGAGTTAAGTTAGGAATGAAAATGAGAAATTAATTGCTCATAATGCAGACTGTTAGGAACCCCAAGGATTAATTCAACTCCCTATTTTTTAATTGTACTACTCCCATCACAATGTCAAGGGTAAAACAGTTCTGACTTTTTCTAAAGGCTATGGAACATTTATTGATTTCAGAGGTGACTTAGAAACACAGGAGGTGTCGTGATAAGTAGTAGAGACAAAAAAGAAAAAGTATTGAGATTAATGAATTCATATGGGGAATTGTTTAACTGTTCTTTTTTTAACCTTTAGAATGAGTTGAAGATCCCAACTTAGCTTGGTGCCTGCTGGAGGCAACGTTTCTTCCCTTGCCCCTCTGAGCTGTGAATTGAAACTCTTTCGGGAAAAAGACGCGGCAATTCTCTCCACTTCCCAAACACCTCCCACTCCTACCCAGACCGTGGATGGGCAGGAAATGCAGGAACAGAGCCAGAAACAGGAGATCTCCAAGGAAGGTTGACAGTCAGCACTGGGATCGTCTGTGTAAAGTGCTGCTGAAGCAGCCAGGTGGCATGTCCAGCCGACAATGCGAAAGGAAAAAGTGAGAAGACTTCCCGAAGGCGGAGGGTGGAATGCGGGCAGCAGCCCCCTGGAGGGCTGAGTGGGGAAAACAAAATGGACCTCACAGAAGCTGTGTGTGTGGAAACCCACTTCTGACTTATCACTTGTCATGAATTCTATGCTTCATGGTGTTACACCGTTTATTGTTTCTGATGAGTGACAGTAATTATTTTCTTTCTTGCTGGTACATAATAAAGTGGTGCACATCAGAGTTGCTGCCATCTTAGACTTAACTCATCAGTATCAGGTGATCCTGAGGCTCAGTGATGTCACTGTGGGAACTGCTCTGTGGCGACAAGGACGTCCCTCATCCTCTGCTCCTGCTCACAGTGACCCTGATCTGGTAAAGCTCCCATCCTGCCCTGACCCTGCCATGGGCACCAGCCTCCTCTGCTGGATGGCCCTGTGTCTCCTGGGGGCAGGTGAGTCCTCAGAACACCAAGCAATCTCATTGTGTCTGTGTATGTCTGTGTGTGTGTGCGTGTGTGTGTGTGTGTGTGTGATGACTACAATTGTTTTCCTCCTGTTCCCAACTTGTATCTCCACAGATCACGCAGATACTGGAGTCTCCCAGGACCCCAGACACAAGATCACAAAGAGGGGACAGAATGTAACTTTCAGGTGTGATCCAATTTCTGAACACAACCGCCTTTATTGGTACCGACAGACCCTGGGGCAGGGCCCAGAGTTTCTGACTTACTTCCAGAATGAAGCTCAACTAGAAAAATCAAGGCTGCTCAGTGATCGGTTCTCTGCAGAGAGGCCTAAGGGATCTTTCTCCACCTTGGAGATCCAGCGCACAGAGCAGGGGGACTCGGCCATGTATCTCTGTGCCAGCAGCTTAGCCACAGCATGGCACAGTCGCCTCCTTCCTGCTCACAAACCCTCAGGCACTTACTTCTCCTTCCAGCTCTCAGAAGCCCTGAACAAAGGAGCTGCCCTGCTCTTTCCTCAGCAAGGAGAATGAATGCATTTGGAACTGCAGGTGTTCTTCTGATACTAGGAGGTCAGAAAATAACCTCTGAAATACAGGAACAGGGAATACTGGGTAGTAATAATTTTGACTTATGGATTTCTGGGATTCCTTATATATAGTTCAAATTTCCATAATTAGGATATAACAGAGCTTAGTCTCATGGATAGTGACTAAGTAAATATTCTCTTATAGAACTATGAAGTTTCAGCACATTTATATTAAACTACTGTTACCACATGTCACCAACTCAGACCTATAATCTACCAAGGAGTGGGGAAGCCAAACGCAAACACTGCTAAGGCCATTTACAGCTACCACCCTTGGAAGAAAATTGGAATCTTTAGTAAGAATTTCCATCAAAATCAATTTTTTAGAAATAACTATTACCCACAATAATGCACATTAACTCATGTTCATACATTGCTTTTTTTCCTTCTGAAAATCTTGTAGTCATTCTATGTTTAATTTCCTTCTTCTCCAGTCTAACTTAAAAAAATAGAAATACAAATTGAGATTGTTTCATAAGATAAACCCCACCTGGGAAGGTGTTAAAAGGACACAATTCAAAGAAAACCTGAATAAAATTATATCAACCACGTAGGATTCTTTGAGGTTTCCAAAGAAGATGTACCAGTTTACATTCCCACGAGAGGTATATGAGTTTTGGATGGAATTTTTTTTTTTCTCTCTCTCTCTCTGTAGATTAGTTTTTCCCTCTACTAATAGTTTCTCTTGACAAACAGAAGTTCTTAAGTGACAATCATTCCATGTTTCTCCCATTTCAGTTAGTGTTTTGTATTTTGGTGTCCACTTTAGGAAATCCTTGCTTACTTCAAAATGATCATGTTTTCTTACATTTCCTTCTAAAATCTTTATATTTTCCACTTTTCATACTTAGACTCACAATCGAACTGGAATTAATTCTTTGTAGGTGATATGAGGAAGAGGTCAAGTTCTATTTTTCCAAATGATTATTCAATTTACCCAATACTATTTAAGTGGTAATAGTTTCACCATCACTCGATAATATCACTTTTGTCATAAATCCATCATTATACATGTGTGGCCTTTTTTCTCGGATCTCTATTCTGTTACATTGGTCTGTTCTGTCAGTTCTCGCACTGATAATATGCTGTCTTACTACAGCTTCATCCTTATTCTTAATATCTGGTAGAATAATTTCTCAAGCTTTGCTCCTTTTTATCAAGTGTTCTTGAGCACTCTTGACACTTTTTTTCCATATACATTTTAGAATCAGCTTGCTAAATTATTCAGGAAAAAGATAACAACTGCTGGGATTTTTTTTTGTTTTTGTTTGTTTCCAACTGATTTAAGTGCATCACAGAACAAAGCTAAAAATATTAATAGAAATATAAAAATATCTACCACCCAAAAATATAAAATACAAAATATCTGGCATCAATCAAAAATTACAGACCTGCAAAGAAGCATGAAAATAGGATCTATAATGAAGAGAAGGATTAATTAATAGGAACCAACTCAGAAATGACAAATTGGCAGACAAAGACAGTCAAACAGTTACTATAACTCTGGTCTGTAAGTTCAAAGTTTTGTTGAGATGGGGAAAGGCATAATGAGATCCAAACAAAGCTTCTAGAGATAAAAATTACAATGTCTGTGATGAAAAATACGCTGGATGAAGTTAGCATCAGATTAGACATTACAGGATAAAATATTAATAAACTTGAAGAAATAACACAAACAATTCTTAATGAAATACAGAGAATAAGTGGGGGTCATCAGTAAACTGGGGGACAACTTTAAGTAGCTTAATATGTAATTAGAGTCCCAAAAGCAAATTTTTAAACTTGAATTTCTTTAAAGGATAATTGGCTATTTACACTGAAATAATTCCAACACAGTGCAGGGATTCTAATATATGCAAACATAAATCTATAACAAGACTAGCATAAAGACAGGTGAGGAATAAATGAACACATATATCATTGGAAGGTTTCCATAATCTGAGTGAAGTCACTTGAAGGCAGACTGCGTTAAAGTAGAGATGCATACTGAAAATCATAGAGCAACCACTAAGATGACAAAACACAGCATTATAGTTAATAAGCCAACACAATACAGTGTTATAAAAATGCTCAAATAATCCATAAAAACAACATAAAAAGAAAAAAGGAATATAGAAGAGATGGGATTGATAGAAAACAAATAGAAGATGATAGACCCAAAAGTAACCACATCAACAATCACATCAAATCTAAATAGTCTAAAAGCACAGATTGTACTATTGAATATTATCGAATCATATCAAAAAAACAACTATATGCTGCTTATCAGAATACTATGAAGACTCAGAATGTAAAAAAATATAAAAGTATGGAAAAAGATGTACTATGCCAACACCAATTAAAGGAAAGCCAGACTAGTAACGTTAATATCAAACAAAATAAATTTCAAGCAGAGAATATCATCTGAGATAATGAAAGTCATATCCTAATGACAAAAGTATTGGTCTATCAAGAGGTTGTAACAATCAAATATTTACGTACCTGAAAATGGATCTTCAAAATCCCAAGGCAAAAACAGAACTGCAAGGAGAAACAGACAAATCCACAATTATAATCAGAGATTTCAATAGCCCTCTTTTAGTAACTGGTTTAACAAGTTGACAAAAACAAAAGACAACTAAGGATACAGAAGATATGAACTACACCAACAACCAACTTGACTTAATTGACGTTTACAGAACACTTCATCCAACAGCAGCAGAATACATGTTCTCTTGGAGTGCGCACTGATTGTGTGCCAGCATGGACTACGTACACTGGGCCATAAAACAAGCATCCATGCATTAAAAGTATTCAAGTCAAACCAAGTGCACTCGCTGGTCACAGTGAAACTTCATTAAAAATCAGTAAGAGAAAGATTTCTGGAAAAGTCCCGAATATTTCAAAATTAGATAATAGTTGTCTAAATAACTCATAAAGCAAAAAATAAATCAAAAGATAAAAGATAATTTACAATTATTTTAATAGTATATTTTGGTCATTTTTTTTTCTTTTTGACCAAATACTGGTGAGAATGAAGATAAGTAAGACCTTTCTTTTTTATTTTTTTTTTTAAGACGGAGTCTCAATCTGTCACTGAGGCTGGGGTGCAGTGGCATGGTGTTGGCTCACTGCAACCTCCGTCTCCTGGGTTCAAGCAATTCTCCTGCCTCAGCCTCCCAAATAGCTAGGATTACAGGTGCCCACCACCATGCTCAGCTAGTTTTTATATTTTTAGCAGTGACGGGGTTTCATCATGTTGGGCAGCCTGGTCTCGAACTCCTGACCTCAGGTGATCCACCTGCCTCGGCCTCCCAAAGTGCTGGGGTTACAGGCATAAGCCACCACGCCTGGCCCAAATCTTTCTTTTTTGGGGGGAGAGTAAATTGTAAAACCGTTTTTGATGAGTAATTTAGCAGCATACATCAAAAGAGTTAATACTGCTAACACTCCTTGACCCAGAGTGTTTTTTATTTAATGAATTTATTTCAAGGAAATTGCTATATATGCATAAAATGTTTGAGAATGTTCAACAGAAAAGAAATTATTTTAAACTGAACAAATATAAAAATATATCAAAGTTGGTATGATGCTGCCAAAGCAGGACTGAGGGGAAACTGAAGAACAGGGGATAATTTTCTATTCATTCTGAGGCCAGAACTACTCTGATACCAAAACGAGACTAAGAGATTCCAAGAAAGCTGCTGACTAATATCTCTCAGGAACACAGATTCAATGATCCTTTTACCATTACAGCCTAGAGAATCTGACAATATGTAAGAGGGATAGTACAACATGGTCAAGTAGGGTTTATCTCAGTAATGCATTGTTGGTCTGACATTCAAAAAACAGACTATGTCATTTACCTTATCTGTATGAAAAATATGAAAAGTATATGATCATATCTATAGATAACTTAAGCATTTGATAAAATTCCATATCCTTTCTTGAAGAAAACTGTTATCAAACTCAAGAGTAACAAGAAATTTTCTTCACCTAAAAAAGGACATTTATGACATCCTATGGTTAAATAGAATATTTTTGCAAGCAAACTGATAAGTCAAAGATGCATATGTAATTCCCAGATCAAATACTAAAAACAGCAAAAAGAGGATAAAATAGCCTTTTCAGCAAATGGTTCTAGAAAAATGGGATAATATGGAAAAATAATGAATCTCTAGCCTTATCTCACTCCATAACCAGATGTGGGCAAACTATGGCCTCCGGGCCAAATTTGGCCTTTGTCTGTTTTCATACAGCCCAGAAACTAACAAAAATTTTACACTTTTAAATGATTGAAAAAAAGTAAAAAGTATTTTGTTACATATAAAAATCTAAGATATTCAAATTTCAGTAAACATAAATGAAGTTCTATTGGATCATGGCCACAGTCATTCGTGTATATATTGTCAATGGTTGCTTTTGCACTACAATGACAGAATTGAGTAGTCGAGACAAATACTGCATGATGCACAAAACTAAAAAATTTATTATTTCACCCTTTACAGGAAAACTGCTGACCCTTCCCATAAACAAAATTTAGTAAGAGACACAAAAAAATCCCAGATAATCGAAAAACTAGAAACTGAAAGCTTCTGGAAGAAAACATAGCAAGCTCTCTTCATGATCATGGGGTAGGCAAAGATTTCTTAAGGACAAAAGAATGTTCTAACCATAAAAAAAGCAAATTGTTCTTTATGCAAATCCCAAAAAGTTCTTCAAAATACATTACGAAAAAATAAATGTATATCTGAGAAAGGGCTGGATTCATATTATAAAGAATTCCTACACATCAATCATAAAGAAGGCAATTCACTAAAAACAAAAAGTTGACTAGAGAATTAAAAAAAAAAGATATATAAGTAGGCAGTTTCTTTTCATGAGACTAATGTGTTTATTTCTCCAGCTTAGATGATTGTTTCACTGATAGCATGTCACTGTCAGCTGCCTCCAGGAATTATCTTTGGTTAAAGGGAATGCTTTGCCCAGGTCTCACCCCATTCCTATGGCAGCTGGCATTTAATGACTGGCTGATATCTCCCTTCCTACACCATTATTTGATGAAATTTAAAATTTAAATTAAAATGAAAAATTTTTCTTTCTTGTTTAAAAAGACATTTGCTTTATGTCTCCCTCACCAACCTGTGCAAAATTTGAGTTTGAGGCAGGTAAACCTGAAATCAGCAAGAGCTGTGCTGTGTCCTGAGAGATCCTGAGGGTCTAATTTAGGAAGCACCCAGTCTCCCTAGTCAGGGTCCTTAGAGCTTCCTCATAGTGACTACACACTGGCCACTTGGGGGCACTGTGGATCCACTGAGTGGGTCACTGATAGCGCTGTCTGAGAGAGAGAGGGTTAAGGGAGACAGTCTTGATTTCGTCTCTGTATCAGGGATATTACCAGATGAACCAGAGGTACTGCTGGCACAGGAAGAGTTAATCATAGTCTTATCAGATCAACTGATATGCAACATGTATTTGTCATGACAGGAAGCCATGAACTGAAGCCTTGTGTGGCCTCTCTAGCAACCTAGGTTTGATGGGGAGTGTGATGAGGGTTTCAGCAGGGCAGCCTGGATAACCCAAGCCAGGTGGAGATAAAGGAGCATCTGCCTCAGATGAAAATCTCAGAAGCTGTGCGGATGGCTGTCTGCCCGGAAGCCTGCCCCCTCTCGCTCAGCACAGCTAGCTTCCCCTGCTCTGCAGGAAGCTGGACAGGATGGGGGAAAGCCTGAGTTAGCTGAGCTAGTCCTGGAGTACAGGGTGCCTATGGGAGCCTACAGGACGATGACATCAGAACAGTGACATCACAGTAAAAACCTCCAAAAACGGTGAGGAGGAGCAAAAGCCCTGCTTTCTCACCCCAGGAGACCAGCAACCTGAGCAGGGAGATGCTTAGTCCTGACCTGCCTGACTCTGCCTGGAACACCAGGCTCCTCTGCCGTGTCATGCTTTGTCTCCTGGGAGCAGGTGAGTCCTGAGTACAGGTGGGACATCCCTGTATCCACAGTGTTCAATTGTTGCTGAAGTGTCAAACTCTCCCGAGCTGAGTCTTCAGCTTCTGTCTCCTTCCTCCACAGGTTCAGTGGCTGCTGGAGTCATCCAGTCCCCAAGACATCTGATCAAAGAAAAGAGGGAAACAGCCACTCTGAAATGCTATCCTATCCCTAGACACGACACTGTCTACTGGTACCAGCAGGGTCCAGGTCAGGACCCCCAGTTCCTCATTTCGTTTTATGAAAAGATGCAGAGCGATAAAGGAAGCATCCCTGATCGATTCTCAGCTCAACAGTTCAGTGACTATCATTCTGAACTGAACATGAGCTCCTTGGAGCTGGGGGACTCAGCCCTGTACTTCTGTGCCAGCAGCTTAGGCACAGCCCTGGAGAATTACTGGCTTTCTGTACCCAAACCCTCCTATCTCACTTGAGGATGTAATAGGGAGAAGGAGGTGGGGGCTGCCACACAACTTTAGCCAAGCCCCAGAGATGCTTCTATTCTTTTCTAACATTTTCCCCTGCCCTGCTGAGCTCAGTGAGAGCTCCTGCACTTGTGGGCTCCAGACCCACTGGAAGTTCTCACATCTTAGCCAGTACTTTTTAATTCCTAGCAAGTGGCGGGAGCTTCTACTCTGTGCCAACATAGGGGTATATGTTTTAGTGTGTTTCCTGTTGCCATACAGAATACCTGAGACTGGGTATTTTATAAAGAAATGAAATTTGTTTCTTACAGCTCTGGAGGCTGGGAAGTCCAAGGTCAAGGACCCACATCTAGTGAGGACCTTCTTGCTGGTGAGGACTCTGCAGAGTCCCCAGGTGGCATAGGGCATTACATATGAGGGGGCTCATGAAAGATGGTCAAACTGGCTTTTATAACAGACCCAACCTCATAACTAACTAATTCCTTCTATAACCCATTAATCCATGAATGGATTAACCTTTATGAGGGCAGAGTCCTTAAGATCCAGTCACCTTCCAAAGGTCCTACCTCTCAACGCTGCTGCATTGGGAACCAAGTTTTCAATATATAAATTATTTAGGAACACAGTCAAATCATAGCAGTACACATTGCGGGTTTTTTTTTTTTTTTCTTTTTTGAGACAGGGTCTCACTCTGTCACCCAGGCTGAAGTGCAGTGGTGCTGTGATCATGGCTCATTGCAACCTTGAGCGCGTGGGTTCAAGCAATCCTCCTGCCTCAGCGGCCTGAGTAGCTATGACTACAGGGACACATCACTACAAGGTGTGTCCCCAGTTCCTCAGTTCCTACAAGGTGATGTGTCCCCTTGCCTGGCTAATTTTTTTTAATTTTTATTTTTGTAGAGATGAGGCCTTGTCATGTTGTCCAGATTAGTCTCAAACTCCTCAAATGATCCTCCTGAGTTTATGTGTTTTAATGCAAAGATAGACATTAGCATATCCACTTTATACATGTAGAAGATTTCAGTGTACCATTTTATAGATAGGAAGCTGTGGCTCATGAACTTCTCCAGTATTTCATATTTCCAAGGATCAAAGGCAGGATCCAAACCTACGACTCCATGCCTCCAAAATAAAATTTCTAAAATTCTATAGTGTTTCCTGGGCCTTGGTCAATGAGCTACAGCAGAGCACTATTCTTCCATCTCAAGACTAGCCAAGCAGTAGAAGAAGGTCACATATTATGGAATGTGGTTACTATGGCTTATGGCCTGCCAACCTCCAGGACATATAACTTCCAGCCAGAGAATATTTGTCCTGTTTTAGTTCCATATAGAATGGGGCCACAATATGTCCTAATATAGACATATAGTGACAAGGGGCATTTCTAATACATCACAGGGTTCAGTCAAGGAAACAGAATCCTCTAGGAATTCCAAGGAGAATAGGAGTTAATACAGGGAATTGGTGGTTATAAACCACTGGAAGGCTGAAAAGTGGGAGGGTCTCAGAAGGTTGAAACTTGCGCTCAGGTCCACCACTAGTGATCACAAAGACTGAAGTTGCTACTTTTGCCCAGGTCAGGGACTGCTGGAAATAGCTGAGAGTCATAGTGGTCTTGCAGTGACCAAGAGGGTGATTCACAGGAAAGTATCCAGAGGTCATTGCAAATCCACCTGTCTGTTGCTGTCAGATAAAAGTCTTTATTCTGCTTCTAACTTTTCCACAAGTATAGCTTACTGGGGGAAACAAAACTGTTTTCAGAAACTTGCTCTCAGGAGAATCTAGGAAATGTCTTTTTCTTTTTTTTCTTTTTTTTTTTTTTTTTTGAGATGGAGTCTCGCTCAGTCGCCCAGGCTGGAATGCAGTGGCGCGATCTCGGCTCACTGGAAGCTCCACCTCCTGGGTTCATGCCATTCTCCTGCCTCAGCCTCCCGAGTAGCTGGGACTACAGGCACCCGCCACTAAGCCCAGCTAATTATTTTTGTATTTTTAGTAGAGACGGGGTTTCACCATGTTAGCCAGGATGGTCTCGATCTCCTGACCTCATGATCCACCCATCTCAGCCTCCCAAAGTGCTGGGATTACAGGTGTGAGCCACCATGCCTGGACTGGGAAATGTACTTTCAAGTCTTCTAGCTCTTGCAATAAGAGAGAGAGAGAGATTGTTGGAGGACATTTAAGGGTACTCAGTGCCAAAAGACAATCATCAGCACACCCAGCTATGCAGCAGAGAAATGGAAAGCAGGAGAATAAATTTTATATTTTCTGTCAAATTGTTCATGAAAATTTATTTTATATATATAGCTTTGCTGTTGTCATTTAGTTGTTGTTTACTTGTTAATTTATTCAGTAGATATTCCTGGAATACCTATTATGTTAAAAATTTCCTTGGAATACAGAAAATGAGATGTAATTTTTCAAATTACACATTCTGTCTTTAAGAAGTCTAAAGTCTGGCAAAATAATATATCCCTAATTATTCACACATGCATTTACAATGTATGAAAGTCATTTCAATCAGTCAGTTTTCTGGCAAGGAACAGATGACACAGTCAAAAAGGCTGAAGTGAAAACAATTTAATCGAAGGACTATGTTTAGAGGGGTAAACAGACTTAGGGACACCAAGAAGTGTTTGAGGGACCAGGGGTTTCCAGCACATTGGGAAGCCAGTACAACTAACTGTGGGGCCTATGGAAAAAGGGGTGGGAGGGAAATTCTGTGTTACTGGAGGTGCATGCAAGTAATGAGAAAAGTTTCCCAAAGGAAGGAATTCAGGACCAGAGCTAGGAAGGGGAAGCCCAGATATGCTGAACTTTCTCTTCACTACCCTTCAATGTCCAGCTGGTGTCTTCCATTGGAAAGCCCAGCTGAAAGCCTGGATAGCACCGTTTGCTGACATCAGTCTTCAGGGGCACAGTCCAGGGCAGTAAGGGGCAGGCTGGCGAGAGTCGGTTGTGGGGAACTTTGGGTGTGCATGTAGAACAGCCAGCACAGCAGCTACCAAGTGTATGATGTGCCATTTGCAGATGCATGTGCAAGTACACGGTGGACAGAGACCAACTTAATTCTACATCTTTTATGTGAACTTAGAGAAAATTGCCTTGTTGATTGCTAATAACAAGCAACATCGTTAATCCCATTTTCTCTGGGCCGTATACCAAGTACATTATTTCAATTAATTTCTTAAGAACTTCAAAAGGGAGAACAATTTACTCCCATATTACAGGTAAAAAACTGTTAGAGAATTTAGATTTTCTAAAGGAGGTACAGCTAACAAATATAGAACTTGGACTCACACCTAGGCCATACTGACTTTCAACCTATGCTTGAAGTTACTCCACCCTATACATTTTGGTAGAGGAAGATACCTTCAACATTGGAAATCTAAATGTCTCTTTTAGAAACAATGCATCTGACACAAACCATTTGAATAACATCTTTCATGTGGGAGGCTGCACGCTAAAGAGGAAGATCCTCAGAGATGAGGAGACCTCAGTAGTTCATCTTCTGATCCCTTGGGTCAGTGACTTTGAAAACATTTGGCTAAACTGAGGCCAATCATATATGTCTTACAGAGATTTTATACATGTAAATAAAACAGAGTCTAATACATAGTATAGGCTCAATAAGTCTTAGGTCCCTATGAATTTTCTGACAAATCTCTAGTCAAGCAGTTATTTACTTTGGCAATCTGGTAACAAAGGCATACACGAATTACTTTTGTCTGATTCACCTATGATTCAGACACAAAGTCATCTAAAATGCAAATATAGTAGTCTGATAATTCATTGGCAAAAGTAACACAAACAGTTGTGTCTTAAGAGAAAGTGAAAATGTTGTACCTTACAGCATTTCCTGCTTGATACTGAGTCTGATATGCAAGGTGTGATGCTCCCAGAAAGTTGTGAATTCAGAGCAATCCTGATGGATTCCATCTCCTGTTGCTCCAGCACAAACTCAATATTGTACCTTTATCCTGGTTTCCTCTCTCCCTATTTTATTCTCCCATCTCTCTTATTCCTAATTCCTGAGATCCTTTCCAAAATAAACTACTTTCACCAAAGTCCATGTCTCAAACTTTGCCTTCAGGGGCAGCTTAAAACTTTGACAGTGATAGAATGAGATGACCCTCTAAGACACTTCTCTTTGAAAAAGGCCGTGGTTTTCTTTTAGTTACACTGCCATGCATTCATTCAGAAGTCCTATAATGATATGTGAACTATCTCTTCCAAGTTCATTTTGACTCAGTCTGAGTTTCCAACAGACTCACATGGGTCTCTGCTCAGTTAAGGCTCTGAGCTTATTTGTAACTGAATAGACTAAGTTTATGTTTCACAGCTTCAGGGTCTGCATGGACTCAGAGAACCATTCATTTCTTTCTTCAGTCATTCAACAAAAATTTAACAAGAGTATGTGCGGAGTAGATCCAAGTTTTGCGGAACATGAGGCTTATAAAATTTTAGGGATCGCTTTGAAAAAGAGAATACAAAATGAGAATGTCTTGAAAAAATTCTGTGCAAGGCCAGGCACAGTGGCTCATGCCTATAATCCCAGCACTTTGGGAGGCCGAGGTGGTTGGATCATTTGAAGTCAGGAGTTCGAAATCAGCCTAGCCAACATGGTGAAACCCTGTCTCTACTAAAAATACAAAAATTAGCCAGGCATGGTGGTGGGCACCTGTAATCCCAGCTACTTGGGAGACTGAGGCAGGAGAACCACTTAAGCCCAGGAAGCGGAGGTTGCAGTGAGCAGAGATCACGCCATTGTACTCCAGCCTGGGTGACAGAGTGAGACTCTATCTCAAATTAAAATAAATAAATAAATTCTGTGCAAGTGAGAAGGCCTGAAGTTATTCTTCATTGACTTCATGGCAAATCCACTTCTAGCTAGTTACCGTGTGTAGGCACCATGTAAGTGCTTGAGAAACATCAGCACAGAAAACAGGCAAAGCTGCAAAATAAGGTGTATGTTTTCAACAAAAGAAAATTTGTAAATCAATAATGATCAAGTAATACAAATGTAAATACAAGGAAAATATTCCTGGTAGATGTTTATCTCCCCAGAGAAGTCAGAGTATTGTTGAGAATTCTATTGGTGGATCACACCTTATTTATTGATGGATCACACCTTATTTTGATAACAATTCTCAGAGCTCTTGGATTCCATGTGCCCTACTCTAAAGAATCTGAGCCCTGAGATGGAAAGCTCTCCTTTCCTGTCCTGACTCAACCATGGGCAATGATCTCTTTTTCCGTGTGCCTTTTGGTCTCCCAGGACCAGGGGAGTTCTGGGCATAGATGGGAAAGCTCTTCCTGGGCTTTCCAGGCCCCAGCCACAGCCTCTCCATCGGGGTGTTCATGGGTCCCCTCCCTGTCTCCACTTCAGATTCTGTATCCATTCTCACTGGAGCATGAGTGTAGGAATTACCCACCCAGGTTACATCAAGATGTGCAGTCACAAAAAGGGATCCTCACACTGAGATGTGTCCTGTATCTGAAATAACAGTAGTACCACTATTGACTAGATGTAAATTTTGCACCACAGCACATTTATGGTTCAATCAATATCCTCCCATTTGTATTTATAAGACCTTCTGAATGGACACAGGGCATTTCCCTATGACCTTAAAGGCACCAGGCTAGTGTACTTCTGGGCAAATATCTCATATACATCCCTAATGAGCTTCCTCTTATTTTTACACAAAAGAAAAAAAGGAGGGTGGGTTTTCCCCACATAGTCCATCCACTCACAAGCCAATCTCCTGCAGAAATACCCTCACAGATAGACCAAGAAATGCTGTTGTACCAGCTACCTAGGTATGCCCTAGCCTGGTCAGGTTGGCACCTAAAATTAACCATCACAAAACTCATGAGAACACAGAGGTCTGAGTTCTGATGATGAGACTCCTATTAGGTGATGGAGACTCAGGTGGCCTCCCCTAAAACAAAAGGAGAAGTCATATCTGTATTAGTCATACATATGTGTATATGTACATACATGTATGTATTCTGTTGGTTCTGTTTCTCTCTGAGGACGAGGTGGCCTAGATCCTTCCCTTTCTGGGTAAAGGGTGGAAGCAGTGTGGATCATTACTTAGTGTGTTCTGATAGCCATGTGTCACTATGTACTTGTTCTTTGTGTCTTCACATCTCTTCCTGTTGCATTTTAAAGCATTTTCATAGTATGTGGTGTTGCCTAGCAGAGCATTCTCATAGCAAAAAAATGTATATATATATACATATGCATATATATATTCTATTGGTTCTGTTTCTCTGGAGAAACGGTATATATATATATATATATATATATATATATATATATGTATATATATATATATATACTCTCCCTGTATATATAGTATATATATATATATATACACTCTCTCTATATATATAGTATATATATATATACTCTCTCTATATATACTCTCCTATATATAGTATATATATATACACTCTCCTATATATATAGTATATATATATACACTCTCCTATATATATAGTATATATATATACACTCTCCTGTATATATAGTATATATATATATACTCTCCTATATATATATATATATATATATATATACACACACACACTATATATATATATGGGAAGAGAGAGAGAGAAAAAGAAAGAAGAGAAGAGAAGAGAAGAGAAGAGAAGAGAAGAGAAGAGAAGAGAAGAGAAGGGAAGAGAAGAGAAGGAAAGAGATTAGGGAAATTGGCTCACGTGATTATGAAGGCTGAAAAGTCCCCCAGTATGCCAGCCATCTGCAAGCTGGAGATGAAGCAAAGCCAGTAGCATGACTCAGTCCAAGTTTGAAGCCCTCAGACCACAGAAGCCAATGTTGTGTCTCTCAGCCTGAGACCAAAAGCCTGACAATCCAGGGGATTGCTAGTGCAAGTCCCGGAATCCAAAGGTAGGAGAATCTAGAATTCTGATATCCAAGGGCAGTAGAAGACACATGTCTCATCTCTGAGAGAGAATGCAAATTCACCCTTTCTGTGCCTTTTTGTTTCATCCAGGCCCCCAGCTGACTGGATATTGCCATACACATTGAGAGTAGATCTTTCCCACACAGTTCATCAATTTACAAGCCAGTCTCCTCCAGAAATACCCTCACAGACATACCAAGAAGTGTTGCTGTACCAGCTATCCAGGTATGCCTTAATCTAGTCAGATTAACACCTAAAATTAACCATCAAACTACCAGCGGGAACACACAGAGGTCTGAGCTCTGATGAGGAGGCTCCTGTGAGGTGAACTAATGTGACAGAGCATAAAACAATATACAAATTGTATTGATCCTGACCTTAAGACTTTTTGAAACCTTCCCAGATGTCAGGTGGCTCTTTTAACAGAGGCCAGCACTGTAGGCTGACATCCAGTTATCCAGAGTTTGAGAAAAGATAAAATCTAGTAAAAGGTACTTAGAGGCAAATTTGAGGAGATGAGTTATAAAGGACACCAGACTGCCACGAGAATGTCCCTTAGACTACATAAATATTAGAAACAATTAAAACAGCATACAAATGAGGAATTGTATCCTAATGGGAATAAAATATGCAGAGAGGAATGCATTTTCTTTCTAATAACCTGCAAAGAGCATATGCACTTATGTCTTTAAAAATAGTCTACAAATTATTCCCATTCTGAGCTGTTAAATTGTATATATGTCCTATAAAATATTGTTTTATATACCATAAATTACATATATGTATATATTTGATTTATTTTTTTGGAGAATGTAAGGGGTGTGGCAGGTTAACTTTCCAGCTCAACTATTTGTCAGGGGCACTGATGTCATCGAGTCACTGAGAACCTAAGTTCTATTTCCCCAGGCAGGGCTGGGAGAGATGAGATCCTGGCCTGGACCTGAAATGGGCACAAGGTTGTTCTTCTATGTGGCCCTTTGTCTCCTGTGGACAGGTGAGGGCTGGTCACAGGTGGGCTTCCTTCCCTAGAATTCCCAAGGCCTCAATACAAGTCTTTTTCTTGGGATTACAACATCAGGGTCTGTTGTTTTCTATTACAGGACACATGGATGCTGGAATCACCCAGAGCCCAAGACACAAGGTCACAGAGACAGGAACACCAGTGACTCTGAGATGTCATCAGACTGAGAACCACCGCTATATGTACTGGTATCGACAAGACCCGGGGCATGGGCTGAGGCTGATCCATTACTCATATGGTGTTAAAGATACTGACAAAGGAGAAGTCTCAGATGGCTATAGTGTCTCTAGATCAAAGACAGAGGATTTCCTCCTCACTCTGGAGTCCGCTACCAGCTCCCAGACATCTGTGTACTTCTGTGCCATCAGTGAGTCCACAGTGCTGCATGGCTGCCTCCTCTCTGCACGTAAACAGCAGTTAGAAAGACTGAGGTTGCTCTGTGTCTATCCCCACCCTTGGAAGTCCAGGCCTCCATAGAAGTCAGAGGGCCCTGGCCAGCCTGGAAGCCATAGAGCAGGGGCCTTATGACCCTCAGTGCTGACGTCCATTCCTACCCCAGTCTCAGACCAACTGGAGGTCACCCCAACACACTTAGCTTGCCAAGTCTCTCTTCTGCAGCTCTCTTTTGCTGCTTGCAGAAAGGAAAAGGCATCATTAGTTGAGGTTAGCGATGATTCTCTTAACCCCAAAGCCTGGACTCCCTTCTCTCCCCTGTGGGCTTCAGTGACTTCTTCATCTGCCCCTTTCCCCACGCTCCACTATCCTTCCACTCATAGTCATGAACCTTCACTCCTGACCTCTGTTCCTGGCTGCCTTTCTTCTATGGGCCAATAGCCTCATGGGGCCCTCTATCATTTGCTCTTCACCTACATCTCCATCATCATTTTGCACAAGTCTCCCCTGGCTCTCTCTGCTCCAGCCATGCTCCTTTATGTTCAGTTATTTCCTCATATGTGTTATGCTGTTTCCCACCCTGGGGACGTGTGTTTTTACAAATTATTTCTTCTACACTGAACATATGTTCCTCCCTCTTATTCCTAAGTCTCTACTTCATTTCTTACATGAAAGTATATTTCAGGTACATTTACTCTTAACTATAAACAGAAAAACTTAAATTTCACTAAAAGAAATTAAGGAAAATATTTTTATCCTTTGAGTGAAGACTTTTTTAGTGGAAACACAAAAGAACACATGCCATAAAAAATAATACTGGATGGGCATGGTGGCTCACACCTTTAATTCCAGCACTTTGGGAGGCCTAGGCGGGTGGATCACTTGAGCCCAGGAGTTCAAGACCAGCCTGGGCAACATGGCAAAACCTCGTCTCTACTAAAAACACATAAATTAGCCGGGGGTAGTGGCGTTTGCCTGTAATCTCAGCTACTCTGGAAGCTGAGGCACGAGAATCACTTGAACTTGGGAGGCGGAGGGTGCAGTGAGCCGAGATGGCACCACTGCACTTCAGCCTGGGTGACAGAGCAAAACTCCATCTCAAAAAATAAAACAACAACAACAAACTGACATTAGTTGTATTAATCATGTATCGAAACACATGATAAAAAATGAAAAGTCAAGCCACAGCCTGGAAAAGGCATAAGGAATGCATGCAAATGAGGAAGAATCAGCATGACACCATTTATGTTCACAAAAGTCCCTTGGCTCCCCTACAGTTCCAGGCTTCACATGCAGTTAAAGTGCTGGGAACATATGAAGAGGTTCTGAATAACTGGATGTGTGCAGAACTGATGTGGGCAATCCCAAGTCTGGCCCTTAGAAATAACTTGTGGCAGCCACGCGCGGTGGCTCATGCCTGTAATCCCAGCACTTTGGGAGGCTGAGATGGGCGGATCACAAGGTCAGGAGATTGAGACTATCCTGGCCAACATGGTGAAATCCCGTCTCTGCTAAAAATACAAAAATTAGCTGGATGTGGTGGTGTGTGCCTGTAGTCCCAGCTACTTGGGAGGCTGAGGCAGGAGAATCACTTGAACCCAGGAGGCGGAGACTGCAGTGAGCCAAGATTGCGCTACTGCACTCCAGCCTGGCAACAGTGTGAGATTCTGTCTCAAAAAAAAAAAAAAAAAAGAAATAACTTGTGGCACTGTGAAGGGAGTCCTCAAGTAGACACAGAAATTAGCTGCAAAGACTCATGGGATATAGCATACAGTTGCACTTATGGTTAAGATTTATTACAGTGTCATAGTAAATATTCAGCAGCGGATCATATGAAGAAAACACACAGGAGGAATCTAGAGGAGTTCACACATTGGCTTCCTTATGCTCTCTTCCTCCCGGGAGGGGTCACACAGAGCTCACTTCTTCCAGCAACAAAAATGCATTAACACGTGTGCAATGTTTCTGCCTGTGGAGCTCATCAGAGACTCAACACCCCAGAGGCTTTAGTGGAGGCCAGTCATGGAGGCACTCACTGCCTAGTATGAACCCAAAATCCACAGCCCAGAAGGAAATCTGGTATTCAGCACAATACTGTTTGCAATATCAGTCTAGGCACAATGAGCTACTCCTCTCGGTTAGGAGAAACTATGTCAGTGCAGGGCACTGCTCACCAGCCAGCTTCCCAGATGTCAGCCAAATGCCAACCTCACAAGCAGGACTTTCTAAGCACCACAGTCTCAAGCCTGCTGTTGACTGTTTTCTGTACAGATACCCTTCAACTCTTTTGCCATGCCCTAATAAACCTGGGAGCTACGCAATACAGATTGACTAATGATAATATGGAAGCAGCCTGGCTCACTGGGTCATAATTTGGTGAAAAACCATGAAAGAAAGCTACTTATGGCCTGCTGGGCTTTGTGGACATGGGAAGTAAGACTTCATAGAATTAAGCCAATGAGATTTTAAGATTTATTTTTATTTTTTTTTCTGTAGCATAGCTGTTCTTATCTAATAGAGTTAGTATCTACAATGGGTAAAGCATTCTCATAACTTACTAAGACAATCCAATAAAATGGCAATACTTAGTCTAAATAGGCATTTCACAGAAAAGTAAACATAAATTAACACTAACATAAAAATAGGTTCTTGGGCTAGGTGCAGTGGTTCATTCCTGTAATCCCAGCACTTTGGGAGGCTGAGGTGGGCAGATCACTTGAGGTCAGGGGTTCGAGACAAGCCTGGCCAACATGGTGAGACCCCATAGCTATAAAAAATACAAAAAATTAGCCAGTCATGGTGGGATGTGCCTGTGGTCCCAGCAGCTACTCGGGAGACTGAGGCACAAGAATCACTTGAACCTGGGAGGCAGAGGTTGCGGTGAGCCAAGATCACCCCCTGCACTCCAGACTGGGTGACAGAGCAGGACTCCGTCTTAAAAAAAAAAAAAAGAATAGGTTCTTAACCTCACTTAGAATCAGAGTATTCCAATCTGAAACAGTAAATTATGAATGCAAACTTATCAGATTTTGAAGACTGGAAAGTCTTCAAAGAAATGATAGTCCCAAATATGAGAAAAGATGTGGACTAGTGGAACTGTATTATACTACAGAAGAAAATTATAACTGATATGGTTTTGTTCTGTGTCGCCACCCTCATCTCAAATTGTAATCCCCATGTGTCAAGGGAGGGAACTGGTGGGAGGTGATTGGATCATGGGGGTGGTTTTCCCTGTGCCGTTCTCCTAATAGCGAGTGAATTCTCACAGGGCCTGATGGTTTATGAGTGGCAGTTTTCCCTTCTCTTTCTCTGTCCTGCTGCCATGTGAGACGTGCCTTGCTTCCCTTCTCCTTCTGCCATGATTGTAAGTTTCCTGAGGCCTTCTCAGCCATGTGGAACTGTAAGTCAAATAAACCTCTTTCCTTTATAAATTAAATTACCCAGTCCCTGGTATTTCTTCATAGCAGTGTGAAAACAGACTAATACAATAATTATATCAGAAAACCCTTTCTGAGATATATTCTGACAAGCAACATTTTGAAACAAATTAGCAATATAGTTGACCCTCTATATCAGCTGATTTGGAACCCAAGGATACCAAAGGCTGACGGTAAGGAAGGTGGGCACCCTTGGATTAGGATATCAGCAGGGTTTCCTGGAACCAATCCCCTCAGGATACTAAGAGATGACTGTGTGTTTAAATTACTTGAGTTCCTTTCATTGTCTTTAGGGTCCATCATGGAGAATTGAGTTGTCAATATTTATTTTAGCCATTTTGAAGGTTTTAATTGATATTTAAAAATTAACACTTAAAAACTGTGGTTATACATATATGTATAACCATGGTTTTACATATATATATATAATATATAGTATATACATTACCACAGTTTTATATACAAATATAAAATACATATTACCACAGTTTTTAAATGTTAATTTTTAAATGTTTTATATGTACATAAAACATACAATTTTTCACCTTAACAATTTTAAAATATACAATTAAGTGGAATCACGTACATTCACAAGGTTGTAGAACCATCACTGCTGTTTCCAAATGTTTTTCATGATCTCAAAGAGAAACTACACCCATTAAGCAATAACTCCATCTTTCCCATGCTTCTCAGCTTCTGGTAGCCTCTAATCTACCGTTTGTTTATATGAATTTACCAACTCTAGATAGTTAATTGATGGGAAATTATAAAATATATCTCCCTTTGTGTCTGTCTTCTTTCACTTAGCCTAATGCTTTCAAGATTCATCCATATTGTAGCATGTGTCAGAATTTTACTCCTTTATATAGCTGAATAATACTTCATCGTGTGTATAGACCACATTTTGTTTATCTCATCATCAGCTGATGGACTTGTGGGTTGTTTCCACCTTTTGACTATTATAAATAATCTTGCAATAAACACTGGCCTACAAGTATCTGTCTGCTTTCCTGCTTTCAATTATTCTGGGTGTATACCTAGGGGTGGAATTGCTGAGTCACATGGGAATTCTACATTTGACATTTTGAGCAACTGCCCAACAGTGTTTTACAGCAGCCTCAGCATTTTATATTCCCACAACAGTGTAAAAGCTTTCCAGTTTCTTCACAGCCTTGCCAACACTTAATTTCTGTTTTGTTCTTCTTTTTAAAAATTATTACAGCCATGCTGGTAAATGCGAAGTGATACCTCATTGCGGTTTTGATTTACATGTTCCTAATAATTAATGATGTTAAGCATCTTTTTTTGAACTTTTACTTTAAATTTGAAAATTGTATTATGTATACTTCAGGTACATAACATGACATGATGAGATACACACCTATAGGAAAATGGTTACTATAGTGAAACAAATTAATATAGCCATCATCTCACATAGTTACCCATTTACTCCCTGTGGCAATAACAGATATAATTTACTCATTTAGAAAAAATTCTGAATATATGAACTATAGTTTTCATGTGGCACATTAGATCTTTAGACTTCTTCATCCTGCCTATCTGCTATCTTGTATCATTTGGCCTAAATATTCCCATTTCCTATTCCCTCCCCCTGCCATCCTCCCATTAACCACTATTTCATTCTCTCTGTATATTTGAGTTTTTACAAATTTCACATATAAATAATATACACTATTTCTCTGTGTCTGGCTTATTTCACTTAGCCTAATGTCCTCCAGGTTCATCTATGTTTGTTGTGGTAAATGGCAAGATCTCATTTTTTTTTTAGGATCAAATAATACTCCATTGTATATGTATGCCACAGTTTCTTCATCCATTTGTCCATCAGTAGACACTTAGGTTGTTTCCATATCTTGGCTATTGTAAATAATGCTGCAATGAACATGGGAGTGCAGATGTCTCCAAAAGGTGGGATTTCATTTTCTTTGTGTATATACCAAGAAAAGAGATTGCTGGGTCATATAATTCTATTTTTAATTTCTTTAGGAACATCTACACTAATTTTCTTAATGAGTGCATCAATCTACTTTTCCACCAACAGTGTATAAAAGTTCCTTTTTCTCCACACTCTTGCAACTTATCTTTTTAATAATAGCTATCTTAATGGGTGTGAGGTGCTATCTCATAGCAGTTTTGATTTTCACTTTTCTAACATTTAGTGATATTGAACATCTTGGCCATTTTTATGCCTTCTTGGTAGAAATGTCTGTTTAGGTCCTTTGCTCAGTTTAAATAGGGTTATATGTTCTCTTGCCAAAGAGTTGTATGGGGTCTTTATATATTTGGTATATTAATCTCTTATCTGACATATGGTTTGCAAATATTTTTTCCAAATCCATAGGTTGCCTTTTCATGTTGTTGATTGTTTAATTTGCTGTGCAGAAGCTTTTCAGTTTGATTTAGTCCCATTTATTTTTGCTTTTGTAGCCTGAACTTTTTGTATGATATCGAAGAAATCATTGCCAAGGCCAACGTCAAAGAGCTTTTCCAACATGTTGCATGTAATAAACTGAACTTAGATAGAAGACCTAAACATTAGATATTAAGCATCTTTTCATATATTATTGATCATTTGTATATCTTCTTAGGAGGCAATGGCTTTTCTTTTCCAGTTGTTTTTTAGTTTTTCTTTGTCTTTAGATTTTAGTAGTTTTATGATTGTAAGGCTAAATGAGGTTGGGGTTGAACTTCACTTGGGAGATTTGTCGCTGTTAGTGTTTTTAGTGCATATTCTGAAACATTTTTAATAGACTGTACAACAGAGAATAAGTAAATTCATTGACATTACTGGGAAACAGAGTTCTTACAAAGGGAAGAGAGATACAATAAGAAATAGGGAAAGACAAGGAAGAAATCTGCGGTGTTTATTTGAATTGGAGGTATCAATATGAACTTATTATTTAAAAATTATGTATTTCCTAATTCTAACCATACAATATGTAAGAAGCAATATGAAGTCGATGGACAATTGCTTTATTTCTTTGTACTTGTGTTCCCAGTAGTAATGGGCAGAATTATTGCATGTTATTTAATTTCTAAATGTTTCTAAAAGAAACAAAGCAGAAATGGCTTCTTCTAGATCCAGAGCAGGGAAAGTCAAAAACATCTTTTGGCAGAAATCAAGGAAGTTTCATGACCCAGAAAACATAGAAAAAAGCCACAGAACCAGTTTCATGGGGCTCCCAGTAGCCAAACACGAGTATCTAAACATTAGAGCATAATAATGAGGACACTAAATTATAATAAATTTTAAAAATCTATAAGGCTATAATGACAATAAAAAGATGTAGGTAAGAATGTCTTCGTTACAGAATAATGCTAGTTACTAAATTTCATTAGAAAATCAATGTAGCCATTAATGTAGTTACAGACAGAGACCATCAGTTGATGTCAAAACCAACATCTGAAAGGTTATTGGAGACCAAGATATCTATATTGTGTCAAAGTATCACTCCACTAATTGCTTATTAACTATAAAATATAAATGATATCTTTGCAATGGAGAGATCTGATGTCTGTGATGTTAAATTTAGTATCGCCAAAAATGTGTAAAGACAGCATTATATGTTCTTGTAATTGATCGGATGCAATGGGAAACACACATCAACTATGGCATGGTATTTGCCAAAATATTTAACCTCTGATAATGTGGAAATTCTGATTGGGGGTCATTTTACCAGTCAGCTGACATGGACTCTTACAAAAATCAAGACCATGAAAGTTGGAAAATATAAGTGGGCCAAAGAGATGTCTAGTTTAAAAGTAGCTAAAAAGACCTGACAACCAAAAGAAATGCATAATCTTTGATAATGTCCTGTAGAAAAAAAATTAAAACCAAAGGACACATTGGTACAACTGGAGAAAGGGGAATGTGAAGCATATATGAGAAAATAATGTTATATGAATATTAAGTTTTTGAGTGTAATAAAGGCATTTGTGGTTTTCTAAGATAATGGCCTCTTTTTAGGAGAGACATACTGAATCGTTAAGAATAAAGTGTTTTATTTCAGAAATTGAGGGTAAAATACACAAAAAGAGATAAAGCAAATGTCAAAAGATGTTAATAATTGAAATACATTTTAATATTCTCTTTGTTGTATGATTCAGCTCTTCCAAAAGTGTCAGTTTTTTAAATAAAATTAGAAGAAAAAAATCTTAAGATCTTGAAATGTTGGCATGATTTCAGTTTTGTGGTGGCTATTTATTATATTCATTTTCAATATCTTTGAAATATTCTATAATTACCATAAAACAAACACACAAGATAAGGTTTCTTTTAGCCCTATAGTGTACTTTTTCTATAGGGACAGGCTATGATTTTTAAAAGTCCCCCCAAAAGATAAGAGAATTTATAGTCTGAGGACAAAATAGCTGATATCTCTGAGATGAGCACAAAACTTAGCTAACAATGCATGTCAATAAGCTGTTTAGTAAATACACAGGACTGTTTTAACTGAAACAGGAGATTCTGAGTTCCCTACAGGTTGGTCAAGAACTCACAGATGTTGGGGAATTGCCTGAATGTAAGCAGAGGAGTGGTAGTGCTTGTCCTAAATTGTGGTTGGATAATATGTGTTTGTGTAACAGGGAGGGGGCTCTAGCAGGACTGAAACACTGTCTGTGGGGAGGAGTCTCTAGCAGGACAGAAGGATCACATGGAGCTGGAATGAATTCCCTTCAGTCCCCCACAAACACTGTCTGATAGTAGCCCTGATCTAATTTCCATTGTTTAGAAGTCCCACCACTCTCCCTGAGCCATGGCTGGAGGGCCTAAGCCCAGTGGCTCTGAACCATTGGCCATCAGGAGGCACTGAGGTTTGATGGCGTCCAAATGTTTTTGAAACAGGGCTAAGTATTGCCTGAGAAGTTGAGTTTAAAGGAAAAGTGTGGCTTCATCCTAGCATTCAGTATCTAGTTTGCAGGTGTTTTGAGTGGTCAATGGAAACTCATCTTTCTCCACTGATGCCAGTGGGTTCTGTTCGGCAGTGAAATCTGAACTGTAGCAAACCATTGAGTGGAGAATCTTCTGAGCCCACTTGAGGGGTAGATGGAGGAGAGCCAGGAGCCAACCTGAATGCTCACAGACCCATGCAGAGGAACAAGTGCCTCCTTGGGAGAACATCAGAGAAACCTTAGCACCTAACCTATTCTAGTGTGTCCTGGACGATGGACAGGAGAATGTAAGGGGAATGTAGAAGATGGGAGTGGACAACTGTAGATGTTTCCAGATATCTCAAATTGCAGTAACACCACAAATATTCTTAACAAGAACCAGATTTTCCAGAACTCTGGCATTTCCTTCCCTGAGCAATGAGACGGCCCTTTGGGCCCTGACACAATCATGGGTGTTTTTTGTTCATTTGTTTTGGTGCTCAGGAAGCAGGGGAGGCATGAGAATACCTGGGGAATGTCTTTCCTAGAAATAGGATGCCCCAATTTCAAGTATTTCACATGCAGCTTGATAGGTCCTGTCTCCAGCCACCCAGCCTCCACTCTCTCAATGCTGTTGTCATCCAGGGCCCTAAGCTCTGGTCACACGGATGGAAGAGGTAGTGACACTGTGATGTGAAGACACTTTCCACCATGAAATTATTAATTGGTGTCAATATAAGGCAGGCTCCGACTAGCAGCTTTTCTACCACAATGATAGACAATTTATATGGAAAAGAGATGGTTCTGATAATTCTACACTCACAGGTCTTCACCTGATAACCTTGACATGTGTCCCCTAGGTTTTAGGAACTTGGATTTCTTTAGGCTGAGTTGTACTATTCCCTTTCTCTGAACACACATGTCATTGGTTAGTTCATTCATATTGATTCTCAGGGCTTCTCCAATCCCTCAAGCCTTCCCACTCTACCACTCAGATAAGGAGAAGTGTGTCTTAACTAATGTTGCATAATTTTTTAAAAATTGCTGGATACTAACACTGCAATTCAATTGTAAAATATGATAGAGGTGTAAGTGTTTTAGATCCCAGAAGTCCTGCTCAATTTTGCATTTATTGTTAGATATTCACCCTGATATTTTCAGGAATTAGAGTGTTCTTCACCCATTTGGGTTAAGATATCAGAACTTACTTTCAATTCATTGGTGACCAGAGACTACAGGCAGAATCATAGTGAAGGCTTGATACATAATACATAATGAAGATTGATAACAGCAAAAAGGGAACTAGTCATTGGCCTTCAGATAAAATGAAACCTCCCAACTTTGTGCTCAGGGAATTATTTTACCCCTTTAGGTTAGAGTATGTCAGCTAGTTCAATGCAGTTCTAGGATAAAGCTGTGTCAATTACCCTAGAGGACTGGGAGCATGGAGGACCTGGTAGAAAAGAAATACCCAAAGAGAAGGAAAATTACACATAAAATCAAGAGGTCACTAATTGATATATCTATTTTGAGTTGCCTTTGAGACTTCCACGTAGAAACATCTAGCACAGGATAGGCCTAGAGATGTAGTGACAGATCTAATTCCCCAAGCCCTGAATATGTGAGTGAGGACGCTTGGATGAACTTCCAGTCTATGAATACATTAAACAAACTTTTAGCTCTGTTTTAGTTTACAACAACTGTTTTCTAAGAACTTAAGCATTTGTGGAGACAATGATGTCACTGTAGGAACTTCTCTGTAAGGACAGCAACATCCCACTTCCTCTGCTCCTGCTCACAGTGACCCTGATCTGGCAAAGCTTCCATCCTGCCCTGACCCTGCCATGGGTACCAGGCTCCTCTGCTGGGTGGCCTTCTGTCTCCTGGTGGAAGGTGAGTCCTAGGAACACCATGATCCTCACATAATCTCCCAGTGATTATTCTAGTCATTTCCTTCTATTTTAAAATTCTTTTTCCCCCACAGAACTCATAGAAGCTGGAGTGGTTCAGTCTCCCAGATATAAGATTATAGAGAAAAAACAGCCTGTGGCTTTTTGGTGCAATCCTATTTCTGGCCACAATACCCTTTACTGGTACCTGCAGAACTTGGGACAGGGCCCGGAGCTTCTGATTCGATATGAGAATGAGGAAGCAGTAGACGATTCACAGTTGCCTAAGGATCGATTTTCTGCAGAGAGGCTCAAAGGAGTAGACTCCACTCTCAAGATCCAGCCTGCAGAGCTTGGGGACTCGGCCGTGTATCTCTGTGCCAGCAGCTTAGACACAGTGTAGCAGAGACACTTCCCTCCTGTGCAGAAAACCGCAGGACTCTCTCCTCTCTACTCAGCTCACAGCAGCCTTTCCTTATTCCTCATCCTCCCAGGAAAGAAGTGAGTTTTCAGATATAGCTAGGATTCATATAGTGGGAGGAAATGAACTATTTCTTACAACATGAGCGCTATAATTGTTGCTTGAAAATGTGTCTCAGGGATTTGAAACACTTCTTGGGGACAACTCAAGAAACCTAAAGTGACTTATCAGAGATTGAGTCCTCAGGGGTAGTGATGGTTTATCTCCCATAAAAGTATGTGATCATGAAACATGTACAATAAACTTAATAATACAGATAGTGATTATACCAAGCAGCAAACAGCAGGCTCCCCTTATGTAGTTGTCAGCATGTGAATGACTTGTTACCCTTAGTGACACCCCGGCTGTCTAGCAAAGTCTCAACACACAGTATGTGTTTGGAAATCTTTTTCCTTCTGTTTTATTTTTGGTAAAGTATGCTAATAATGATGTTGTTAATGATAGTGATTATAATTTCAGGTATGTTATTCAGCCCTTTTTCCAGTTCAAAGAAATGCACACAAATGGATACCCCGGCAACCAGGTGCAAATCTTAGCTCCAGATGAATTCTACTTCTCCTGAACTCTCTAACTCTTCTATGTAATCATCCCAGCCCAAGAATATATCTAGACCTGGACCAGTCAGTTCAGAGGACATTTCTACGTGTCTGCCTTGTATATTAAAAGTTCCTTAGTGGATTGAAATATTCCTTGTAAGAACTTCTGAAGCAATCAATTGCCCTCTCTGATAATATACACTCTGTGTGTCTAGCTCCATATTCATTACTCTACTTCTGCCTAAACTCTCTAATACTAGAAATCTTTCTGAAGTATTGGTTAGAATTACTTAAAAAGCAGCATACTGGAAATTGTCTGAAAGCACTGTCACTGTCCATTTGCCCCTCCTGACTTCCCTCCCCTCCTTATCCAATCTAATACCTGATGGCAAGTCAGGCTTTATTTCCATTTGTTCATTGCACATCTCCCTGTCCTTTATTCCTGTAATAAAACCTCACTGATGTGATGGATTAAAATGACCACTCACTCACCATCTCCTTGTCAAAATTTCTATTTTTTTCTTTTCCCAATCTGCTATGTTAGTTATAGTTAATAACTCCCTCATAACATTTTCTGAGATCACTTTTTATTATTTGAATATAGGACACACAGTTGTTTCAGAGTCTGTCTGATCATTTTCACCTCTAAGATCTTCATAGGATATTTTTGTGATTTTCTTTTTGTGCTGCTTCTCAGTTATGGTACTTGAGTTTTCATGGCATTTGTATTTCTCCTTACCAATCTGATGATGTTTGACACTTTGCCAAACACTATAGTTGTAGAAATAATTTTGGGGGTAGGATGGATATTTTTCTGCAGAGATCATTTTTCTGTGCTTCTGAAAGTGCATGTAGATATAAACAGTCAGGCTCCCTGAATCACAGTTTAAGGCTTGAGGTGTCCTGGAGCATCTGGAGAACAGGTTTGTCTCTGGCTTATTGTTACTAGTGGAATTTGGCAATGACACGTTCGGTATGTTCTGGGCTTTGCCTTTACCCCCGTGGCCTGTGAGTCAGCTTCCTGAGTGCTGAGTCAGGATCTGCAAATGCCCGCTAGGGCAAATGGACTGCTGTGCTCACCTCCCGGAGCTCTTGCCCTCACCAACATTCCAGCCAAATTATTATTATTTTTTTAGGACTTTAACTAAAATTTTTAATGTTGTTTTTGATATTTTTTTTCCAACTATGTAGATAACAACAGAAAGAGTGAGTGCCATTATCCTTAATTATTGGGATTAAGGTGAAAATAACTTTACCTGGAATTCTAATTTTCCTTGTATTTTAATGTTAGATTCTTTGTGATTTGTCTAATATTCAACTTAAATGGTATAGAGATGTTAAACTCTGATATCAAATACTTTAAAAAAACTTATCAAGACCATTCATAATCCAATTGAGACATATCTTTGTTTGGGGCATGTTGTTTTTAGAGTATTCTTCTACTGTTATTTATTTCTATCACATAACCTCTGTGTTCCATTGGACCATATGGCAAGATGGGAAAGACAATCAAGAGAATGCTGAGATCTGGTCAAATAGTACAGATTGGGCTTCAAATTAATTTAATTACTGAGTTCTGGGGGTGGATTTGTGCTGTTTTATGAGTATTTCCCGGGGCAATGGTCAAAATTAGAGGGAGTAACTGATATGTGGCTATTGTTTTACCCCGTTTAAAACACACCCCATTTTGTGGGGCACCCCGAAAGTAATAATCCTGTTTTAATCTTCCTATTCCTTGCCAAATCTTCTCTACAGAAGGGAAATCAGTTATACTATTTCCTCTCTTCATTTTAGTTTAGTCTCTCCTTATTTTCCCGTTTTCCTCCTGGTTCCCTAGAGAAAAGTAGATTATTTTCAACATGTGCTAAGATCAGTGAGGAACTCTCTCTTCCATGCAGGGTGGCCTGCAGTTTGGAGGGGATAGGGAATGGGTTAAATTCTGTTTCAGCATCATGTTAGCCAGCCCATCGAGTTTCACAATGAGACCTGCTGCTTATCAGTATTAAAACTGACATTATGTTTCCACCTTTCTGACTGCATTGTCAATGTCTGGGGTGTTTCTGTCCTACCCCATAGCACTAATATTATTTGTTGGCCTTTTAACACCAACTAATCATAATATCCTATATCCCTTGTACTCAGTGAAATAAAGCTCAAGTCCCTGTGTCCTGGCAAAAGAGAGCACATTTGTGCTGTTCTGGCCTACTGGCCACTAGGAGGCACTGTGGCTTCGATGTCATCCAGAGTCTATGGGGAGGAGCTGAGATTGCTCCCTGGAAGATGGTTAAGAATAACCCCGAGGTTGGACCTAAATTCAGGGAGTTGGTTTGCAGATGTCTTGAATGATGGCTGGGAATAAAGGAATTAGTAACCGACGCTTCCTCCATTGTAGAGGTGGGTTTTGCTTTAAATTGTGCTTTGAGTGGGGCTGAGTGACAGGTGTACTTTGCAGTGCATATACCTCTGAGCTCGCTTAAGATGTAGGGGCACAAGGAGCTGAGGTGGTGCAGGGCCCATGTTCTGAGCTTGGAAAACCAGAGAAGCAGTTCTTGTGTCAAAGGAGCCTTGGAGAGCCTGGCCCCAAACCAGCCCAGGCCAACCCTACCTGCTCTGTGAGAGTAGAACAGCAAGAAAGGGAGGTGCTACCCAGGACCACAGCAGAGGGACCCTGTCGCCAGGGAGATGAAAATCACAGTGATGCCACGACCATATCCACGTATGAGGCATAGTCCAGTGTGTCTCCTGGAAGAAGATGAAGCCTGGGCAGACATAAGAATATGTTTTTGAATAGGCTTCCCTTGGCCTGATTTTAAATTCCTTCCATGTGATCATGCATCTGTCTGTACCTGTATTTTGTACCCGGCTTCTGCCTCTCACCCATCAGTCCCATGGCTACTAGAAGGTATTAAATTTCTATTGACAAAAATTACCACTAATTTGGTGGCTTACAACAATAAAAATTTATTATCTTACAGTTCTGGAGGTTAGAAGTCCAAAACCAGGCTAAAATCCAGGTATTGGCAGGGCTACATTCCTTCCCGAGGCTCTCAGGGAGAACTATTTTTCTCTCCTATTCAGCTTCTAGAGGCCACCAGTGTTCCTTGGCTCATGGCCCCATTCAATCTTCAAAGCCAACAAGGACTGGGTGAGCCTTTGCTCACTCTGCATCACTCTGACACTCACTCTTCATCCTCCCTCTTCCACATTTTAGGACCCTTGTGATTACATTGGGCCCATCTGGAAAATTCAGGACACGCTCCCCATATTAAGGCCAGCTGATTAGCAACCTTCATTCCATTTGGAACATTCGTTTCTCCCCTTGCCACATAATTTAACACATTCCCAGTTTCTGGGAATTAGACATGTACATCTTTGAGAGGTCGTCACGCTGCCTGCCACACTTGCTACCTGGTTACACGAAGTAGTAAGCAATTAACTTTTTGAAGGCAGAATTATGGCCATAGTTTTATATCCTGGGTCCAACAGACCCTGCAAAAGGATAGAGCCCACATGGAAATAGCCCCTCCAGTAACACAAGCTAGTCTGCAAACCAATGCCCTTTTACTTTGGGAAGTGCTTTTGACTGCAGGGGACTCAGAAGCATGCCTCTGTGCCAACAGCAAAAATGTGCCCTTCTCTTTTGTTGGCAAGTAACTTAACCAACCAACCCAAAAAAAAGATCTTTCTCTCAGCTTTCCATAATCTCTGAGACGAAGTAGGTTTGGAGAAGTGGGGTTACAGGGGAAAAAGCCAGGTGTTAATGATGAAAAAACATTGAACTTTTCTAGGGGTAGTAATAAGATTTAATTCAAGACTAGAACATTTTAGCTGCAAATCTTCAAGAATAAGACAATATTATCCCCTTTCTGTTTTATTGTGGGACTAGAGAATGTGAGAGAGGTTACATTCCATGGGCTTTGGGAATTTAATATGGTTCAAGGATAAACACACCCAGGTTTTTCACTGCAGAGAAGAGCTTCAAATATAATCAGTTTTCAGGTCATCAGCTCAGCTCTTGTATCCCTAACAATGCAGTTGACATGCGTCTTCTCAGATGTCTAACTCCTAACTCACTGAGGGATACTTTAAGTACATATAAAGGACTAGAAGCACCAAGCTACCAGTGAGAGGAAGAGGAGAGTTTGCAGAGAAGCTGGCTTGAAATAAGACAATGAGTTCATCTTTAAATACTTGCCATTTGAGGTGCAGATGGATATAGTTGGCAGGCTCCTATGTAAGGCATGTTATGGAGAAGCTACCGTGAATTGATAATATCAAAACAAATATCCAGGGAGCCTCTGCAAGTGTGCATCTCTATTTCACACCAATTATAGTTGAGTTAATTCCTGCCTGATTCATCTCCCAGAGATGCAGCCTCCTCTTAAAGAAGTTGGGGGTGGTGGCCCATTCAGTGATGTCACTGACAGATGCATTCTGTGGGGATAAAATGTCACAAAATTCATTTCTTTGCTCATGCTCACAGAGGGCCTGGTCTAGAATATTCCACATCTGCTCTCACTCTGCCATGGACTCCTGGACCTTCTGCTGTGTGTCCCTTTGCATCCTGGTAGCGAGTGAGTCTTCAGAATATTTGCCATCATCAGGCTGGGCTTCTGCATGGATGATCTCATATATTTTCCTTATTCTGACGCCCAATTCTGTCTTCTTTCATAGAGCATACAGATGCTGGAGTTATCCAGTCACCCCGCCATGAGGTGACAGAGATGGGACAAGAAGTGACTCTGAGATGTAAACCAATTTCAGGCCACAACTCCCTTTTCTGGTACAGACAGACCATGATGCGGGGACTGGAGTTGCTCATTTACTTTAACAACAACGTTCCGATAGATGATTCAGGGATGCCCGAGGATCGATTCTCAGCTAAGATGCCTAATGCATCATTCTCCACTCTGAAGATCCAGCCCTCAGAACCCAGGGACTCAGCTGTGTACTTCTGTGCCAGCAGTTTAGCCACAGCGCTGCAGAATCACCCCTTTCCTGTGCAGAAAACCCGGTGTTTCCCCTTCTCCTTCTACCTCCCAGCAGTCCTGGGCAAAGTCTCTGCTGTTCCTCCCTCCCTATGAGAAAAAAGTGGTTTGGGGGTGTGAAAAAGACAGAAAATGAGAAGGGATCAACATAGGAAACCTTATGTTGGTTTGAGGATTACAAAATGGGTTTTGAGGATTCCTTAAAAATTGTCTCTGCTCAAAACACATAGGAGTAAGATAAACCTTGGCTACTGACACTGGAGATTTCCCTGCCCTCCTGCATTTGCCATCCCATGAGAATGGTGGGGGCTCTTGAGAAGGGCTGCATTTTCTGAACTGTGAGGCCCTCTTCATTCTCTCCTAACTCTAAGCTGCAAACAGAAATTTCCCTCACACGTTTTCTAGATTGTAAAAGAAAGTTCTTCTTTACTATGATTGTGGACGTTCCTTTATAATGCCAATTTCAACTTTACATTACTTCAGGATTTTTCACTACTCCTAAAGAGTGTCTCAAATGTGGCTAGAGCAAGCAGGTTAGTACACTAGATGTAAGCTACCTGGCCTGGAATCTAAGGATCCATTTGTCTCTGTTCTGCGTAAGATGAGCCGGGTGCTGGCCAAAGGCTGTGCACACTCACAGAGCACTGATGACGCCTCCTGGTAAGGACCCACACTGGGGTATCTAAAAGCAGACAGGCATGTCCAGTCTTCTGTTGCCCTGTTTCCTTTCTGATTATATGTCCTTAACACACAAATTTACATTTTCCTTCTTATTTATATGAGAAGTTTCTATACAATACCTGCAATCCATTCTGAGTGGTTATAATTTCTGTGTGATATTCATATTTACATGCTGATTCCTTCTAAATACCTATCATGGTATCATTGACAACTGAGGCAAAAGACCCCTATATTTTGAGTGCCCAAGGCCATTGAGGTTTTTTGGAGCTCTGCCATAAGCCCAATTCCACTGTGTCATTTTCCTATTTTTCTTTCCTTTTTTGTTTTTTGATTAGTGGGTCCTGACTTTCAAGATGAAAATAGTGCAGAATTCCTCCCTGCTGCTTCCAGATCATTTTCCTTCCTACTTCTCTAAAGCCCAGCTGCATTATAGGCTTCCTTTAGCCTGATTTTAAATTCCTTCCATGTGATCATGCATCTGTCTCTACCTGTATCTTGTATCTGGCTTCTGCCTCTTACCCATCAATCCCATGGCTACTAGAAGGTATTCAATCTCTGTTGACACAAATTACTACTAACTTGGTGGTTTACAACAAAAACTAATTATCTTACAGTTCTGCAGGTCAGAAGTCCAAAACCGGGATAAAATCCAGGTGTTGGCAGGGCTGCATTCCATCCTGAGGCTCTCGGGGAGAACTGTTTTTCTCTCCTTTTCAACTTCTAGAGGCCACCAGTGTTCCTTGGCTCATGGCCCCATTCGATCTTCAAAGTCAACAAGGACTGGCTGAGCCTTTGCTCACTCTGCATCACTCTGACACTCACTCTTCGTCCCCCCTCTTCCACATTTTAGGACACTTGTGATTACATTGGGCCCACCTGGAAAATCCAGGATACACTCCCTATATTAAGGCCAGCTGACTAGCAACCTTCATTCCATTTGGAACATTCCTTTCTCCCCTTGCCACATAATTTAACACATTCCCAGTTTCTGGGAATTAGACATGGACATCTTTGGGAGGTTGTCATGCTGCCTGCCACACTTGGTACCTGGTTACAGGGAGTGGTAAGTAATTAAATTTTTTAAAACAGAATTATGACCACAGTTTTGTATCCTGGGTCCAACAGACCCTGCAAAAGGATAGAGCCCAAAGGGAAATAGGCCCCTCCAGAAACACAAGCTAGTCTGCAAACTAATGCCCTTTAACATTGGCAAGTGCTTTCAACTGCATGGGACTCAGAAGCATGCCTCTGTGCCAAGAGCAAAAATATGCCCTTTTATGGCAAGTAAGTTAATTGATCAACTCAAAAAACAAACATTTCTCTCAGCTTTCCAGAACCTCTGAGAGGAAGTAGGTTTGGAGAAGGATTAAGGGGTTGGCAGGGGGCCGGAGGAAAGGTCAGGTGTTAATGATGAAAAAACATTGAACTTTTCTTTTCTAGGGGTAGTAATAAGATATAATTCAAGACTAGAACATTGTAGCTGCAAATCTTCAAAATAAGACAATCTTATCCTCTGTTTTATTGTGGGAATAGAGAATGGAGAGAAGTTCCATTCCACGGGCTTTGGGAATTCAATATGGTTCAAGGATAAATAAACCCAGGTTTTTTCTACTGCAGAGAAGAGCTTCAAATATAATCAGTTCTCAGGGCATCAGCTCAGTTCCTCTATCCCTAACAATGCAGTTGACATGCATCTTCTCAGATGCCTAACTCCTAACTCGCTGATGGATAATTTAGGTACACATAGAGGACTAGAAACACCAAGCCACCAGTGAGAGGAAGAGGAGAGTTTGCAGAGAAGCTGGCTTGCAATAAGACAATGAGTTCATCTTTAATTACCTGCAATTTGAGGAGATATATATAGTTGGCAAGCTCCTAGGTAAGGCATGTTATGGAGAAGCTACCGTGAATTGATAATATCAAAATAAATCTTAAGGGAGCCTCTGCATGTGTGCATTTGTATCTCAGATCTGCTATAGTTGAGTTAATTCCTGCCTGATTCATCTCCCAGAGATGCAGCCTCCTCTTAAAGTTGGGGGTGGTGGCCCATTCAGTGATGTCACTGACAGATGCATTCTGTGGGGATAAAATGTCACAAAATTCATTTCTTTGCTCATGTTCACAGAGGGCCTGGTCTGGAATATTCCACATCTGCTCTCACTCTGCCATGGACTCCTGGACCCTCTGCTGTGTGTCCCTTTGCATCCTGGTAGCAAGTGAGTCTTCAGAACATTTACCATCATCAGGCTGGGCTTCTGCATGGATGATCTCATATATTTTCCTTATTCTGACGCCCAATTCTGTCTTCTTTCATAGAGCACACAGATGCTGGAGTTATCCAGTCACCCCGGCACGAGGTGACAGAGATGGGACAAGAAGTGACTCTGAGATGTAAACCAATTTCAGGACACGACTACCTTTTCTGGTACAGACAGACCATGATGCGGGGACTGGAGTTGCTCATTTACTTTAACAACAACGTTCCGATAGATGATTCAGGGATGCCCGAGGATCGATTCTCAGCTAAGATGCCTAATGCATCATTCTCCACTCTGAAGATCCAGCCCTCAGAACCCAGGGACTCAGCTGTGTACTTCTGTGCCAGCAGTTTAGCCACAGCGCTGCAGAATCACCCCTTTCCTGTGCAGAAAACCCGGTGTTTCCCCTTCTCCTTCTACCTCCCAGCAGTCCTGGGCAAAGTCTCTGCTGTTCCTCCCTCCCTATGAGAAAAAAGTGGTTTGGGGGTGTGAAAAAGACAGAAAATGAGAAGGTTTCAACATAGGAAACCTTATGTTGATTTGAGGATTATGAAATGGGTTTTGAGGATTCCTTAAAAAATTGTCTCTGCTCAAAACACATAGGAGTAAGATAAACCTTGGCTACTGACACTGGAGATTTCCCTGCCCTCCTGCATTTGCCATCCCATGAGAATGGTGGGAGCTCCCGAGAAAGGCTGCATTTTCTGAACTGTGAGGCCCTCTTCATTCTCTCCTAACTCTAAGCTGCAAACAGAAATTTCCCTCACACGTTTTCTAGATTGTAAAAGAAAGTTCTTCTTTACTATGATTGTGGACATTCCTTTATAATGCCAATTTCAACTTTACATTTACTTCAGGATTTTTCACTACTCCTAAAGAGTGTCTCAAATGTGGCTAGAGCAAGCAGGTTAGTACACTAGATGTAAGCTACCTGGCCTGGAATCTAAGGATCCATTTGTCTCTGTTCTGCGTAAGATGAGCCGGGTGCTGGCCAAAGGCTGTGCACACTCACAGAGCACTGATGACGCCTCCTGGTAAGGACCCACACTGGGGTATCTAAAAGCAGACAGGCATGTCCAGTCTTCTGTTGCCCTGTTTCCTTTCTGATTATATGTCCTTAACACACAAATTTACATTTTCCTTCTTATTTATATGAGAAGTTTCTATACAATACCTGCAATCCATTCTGAGTGGTTATAATTTCTGTGTGATATTCATATTTACATGCTGATTCCTTCTAAATACCTATCATGGTATCATTGACAAGTGAGGCGAATGATCCCTGTATTTTGAGTGCCCAAGGCACTTGAGGTTTTTTGGAGTTCTGCCATATGCCAAATTCCACTTTGTCATTTTCCCATTTTTTTTTTTTTTTACGTGTAGGGATCCTGACTTTCAAGATGAAAATAGTGCAGAATTCCTCCCTGTGCTTCCAGATCATTTTCTCCCTCCTACTTTAAAGCCCAGCTGCTTTGTACATATTACTTTATAATATTACCCCTTCTCATTGTACCTACCTTATTACCTTCAGAAATTTTCTTTTTTTTAATCCTTCTGCCTGCTACTAATCCAGTCATCATTCTTAATACTATTCATCACATAGACAATTTATTCACTCGCGAGGCTTCTAAGTTTCTCGACTTCCTATATCCTGAGTCTTTTTCCCCTCTAATCATTTTCAGACTTGTTTCCATGATTATAGACCATTAAGGAACAACAAAGATCTTTCAATATTTCTATTTAAATTGTCCTGTCGTTCTACCACTACCTCCCTTCTGTCTATATCAGTAACTCCTATAATTCTTCTATTTCTCTGACCTCTCCAGTTCATAGAGCCCATAACTTTTATTTTTTTAATTTTTTTTTGGTCTTTCTAGGATGTTATTTATTAAAAATAGATTCTCTGTCCCTCCCCTCACCCCTGCTGGCAAAATGGCCTTTCCCAACATCTTTTCCTGCATGGATAACAGGTCTTGAGGACGCAGATGTGGCATCCTACCTAAACTACAGGCTCAGGCTTTTCTGGGACAGTGAGGCAGCAGCTCTGCCAGAGCCAAGGGTGGAACAGCACAAGACGACATCAGCAAACCCTGGTGCACCTAACTGTGGGCTGCTATGGAGTCTGGGATGGACTGGAGTTCCTCCTGCTCCAGGCCTCGGGAGACAAAATCCACAAAGAGAGACCCAGTGGCCCAGCAGCAGCCCCCTGAGAGCCCACAACTTTTTAACTCTTACGCTTTAATTCTTACATTCTTTTAATTATATTTTAAGATTTAAGACTATAATATCAACCCCGATTAAAGCCAGCTCCCTGTAGGTTCCTATGAATGGCAGAGTTGGGAGGGGCACTAAAAAATCCCCGTGGGAACTCATTCGATTTATCTGCTGTAGTTGTCATAGACTCCTCTTAGGTTCCTCTACTTCTAATCTTGGCCTCCCTCATTCTAGCCACCAACCCAGGGTCTACTCTCAATACAGAAGTCAGAGTGATCCTTTAGGTTAGATGTTGTCACTCGTCCACTAAACCATACAGTAGATTCCCGTTTCACTCAGAGAAAAGCCTACAGCCTGCATAGGCCTACGAGGTCCTCGGTGATCCCCCTCCCTGTTGTATTTCTTGCCTCCTGTCTGTTCCTCTTTCCCTTGCTTATTTTTTCACAACACAGTGGCTTTCTGGCCATTCCTCGAATACACAAGGCACACTTCTGCCTTAGAACCTTTGCTCAAGCTATTCCCTTTGCTTGGAACATCCTTCTCCCAAGTATCCCAGTCAGGCCTGCAAGAAGCCTGAATTATTCTACCAGTGACACAATCATTTTCCTAAAACCACTTTTCAATTTTTATACATTCAACAATTCTCCATTGTTCACCAGATAAAAATGTCACCTCGGGAGGGCATTTGAATTTTAAAACATTTGGACCATATCTTATCTTATTTTTGACTACTGAGTAAGATAAATGTTACTTTATCAAGTGCACTTCATACCCTTACAAAACAGTCTTACACAATTTAATGCCTGTTCATACATTTGTTCTTGCAATTTCTGCTACCTTCTTCATATTGTTCAATACTTCTAGTCACTCAAGACACTACTGAATGCTTCTTTCTCTATGAAGCAGGAAATGGTTCTATATACTCTATTTTCACAGTGGAGTAAAATAGATACACATTTTAGGAACAAAACAACCATGCAGATTATAGAAATTAAACTATTTTTTACATACTTTCGAAGGTGAGGAAGTTCAGAAGCTCAAATATGGTTAAGATATGTTTTGCTTCTATTTAAGTCCACATTCCCCACCACTTTAAATCTTCCAAGAAAGATTTCCCTCATTCAAATTAAAAACATTTTGATACAAGACTGGGGGCAGGGAAGTGCTGGGTAGAGAAGGGCGGGGTCCCTGGTGAGGGCTCCACCCTCGGGCCTGTGCCCACAGACCTAAATGAGGACAGGCGTTTCTGTTTTTGCACTCAAAAAGTTGCCTTTTGGCCCGCCACGCCTCCCATCCTGTGCCCATATAAACCCGAGACCTTAAGCGGACACGGACACAAGAGGCTGGACATCTAGAAGAGCAGAAGAATACAGCAGCAGACACCGGCAGATCAGCGATGGCGGAAGGACACGAATGCAAGGGGAGTTCAGCCAGAGGAAGTCTGCGAGAGTCCTGCCACTGGGCAGCCAACTGCAGGGGAAAACCACCGTTCCACTCCATCCCTCGACTTCTGGCTCCCCATCTATCTCACTGAGAGCCACTTACACCACTTAATAAAAGCTTGCACTCAACCTTTCAGCCCACATATGATCTGATTCTTCCAGTACACTGGTCAAGAGCTCAGGCTGTCACATTGGCCCCCTGTCCTTGCAATAAGCAGAGGGTCTATTGAGTTGACTAATGCAAGCAGACGGCAGACGGCATAGCTGAAAGAGTGCACTGTAAGTCCTAGACGCTGCCATCCCTTGGGAGCCCAAAAGCACTCCCCATGGCCTCTGCACCTGCCCGTCTGCATGCTCCCCCTAGGGGTTTGAGCACTGGGGCACCAGTGAAGTGAGCCATCCCCCTGTCACATGTCCTGCGAGGAGAATAAGGGAATTCTCCGGTTTTAACTTAATCTGTAAAAGACCTTGTTAAGAGGATGAAAAAGAAGCCACAGCAATGGATAAAACATTTGTAAACTACATATCCAACAAAGGAATATTATGACTGTTTCGAGATTTGCAGAACTGTCTATTTAACCCATAGACTCATGAGCAATAATAAATTATTATTGCTTTAACCAGTGAGATTTGAGTGAGGCTTGTTATACAGCATTACTGTGCAGGTGTCAATTGATATACTCTATATTGCAATATCGATTTCTTAAAATTGTCCTAACCATAATCCTATAGACCATTACTAATTCCAAGCTTGTTCTTTTTATGAAGAGTGTCGCTCAACTCTGATGTCTTTGTTCTGTTTAATATTTTGATTTACACATGAACACAGTTCCCAGCAGCTTTCAAACCTCCAGAAGCCCTTAACATTTCTGATTCTGAAAAATATCTTTTCTTGTTTTCAGCATTTTTTATTGTTATTTTTTATTCTTTTGTATGGGAAGGTACTCAGTTTACCATCCTGAATTAGTAATTCTTTAAACATTTTTGCAATTCCAGTAATTAGAGATATTACTGCATTAGGCATTGAAGATACCATGGTCTTTGCATTTCCTGCTTGCATATCGAGTCCTATGAACTATTTCTGGTGTCTCTGAGTCACTTCCCAGTGTGGTCATTGGCTTTTACTGAGTCTGATTCACCGACCTTTACTGAGCCTCACTCACCAACCTTTGGTCATTCTTGGACATAGAAGCACAAATTCAACAGTGTTGTTTCCCAAAATATGTAATATGCAGGGAAAATTACTTTTCATGTAAAATAGACGTGTCCTTTTAGTATTACCAGTAGATTATTCTAATTATAGACTAGTAACATCCAACAGACTTATTTGGGTTTAGTGACAGACCTATTACTGTGTTCGCTCCTCAGTTCAAATACAGAGTGTGTATTTTGCATCGTGTGGCTGCAAGTTTTGGGGTTCTCCATCATATACTTAGCTATACAATGCCAGCTACTCTTGTCTGGATATTTTCCCAAATCCTGGATGATTACAAACTTCTCCTTCACTGGTGAAATTTTTTTTTTTTTTTTTTTTTTGAGATGGAGTTTTGCTCTTGTTGTCCAGGCTGGAGTGCAATGGCACAATCTTGGCTCACTGCAACCTCTGCCTCCCAAGTTCAAGTGATTCTCCTGCCTCAGCCTTCTGAGTAGCTGGGATTACAGGAATGTGCCACCATGCCCGGCTAATTTTTTTTTTTTTTTTTAGTAGAGACAGGGTTTCTCCATGTTTGTCAGGCTGGTCTCCAACTCCCGACCTCAGGTGATCCACCTGCTTTGGCATCCCAAAGTGCTGGGATTACAGGCATGAGCCACAGTGCCTGGCCAATTTTTTTTTTTTTAATGAAGGGTCAAACCTGATATTAAGTCTTTCAGACAGTAAGAAGATAACTATTCAGGGTCTACAAGATGGCCAATTAGAAGCAGCTGTGGTCCATGGCACTCAGGGAGAGGAATGAAACGGGGTGAGTGAATTTAGCACTGTCAATTGAGATATTCAGGTTCTCACACTGGGACTGTCTAGGCAAACAACTCAACCCACAGAGAACAAAGAAAAGCAGGGGGTGTGGGGCATGATGGCCCACCAGGAGCAGCACAGAGCCAAAGGAACCCCCACCCCCAGCCAAAGGAAGCAGTGAGTGATTGTGTGACCCTGCCCAGGAAACGACTCTTCTCCCACAGATCTTTGCAACACATGGATCAGGAGATCCCCTCACAAGCCCACAACAACAGGGCCTTGGATCCAGTACACAGAGCTGCATGGAGTCTTAGCAGAGCAGCTGCTCAGGCACACACAGAGACCCAGGAGTTTTACACATTCCAGCCTCAGGATCCCCAGCAAGGCAGGAAATCTGTCCACATATAACCCTAGGAAGGGAGCTGAATCCAGGGAGCCAAGCAGCATCATTCTGCAGGCCCCACTTCCATAGCACCTCACAAGTTAAGACGCACTGGCTTGGAATTCCAGATAGCCAATAGCAACAGCCTAGAATCTGCCTGAGATAAGTATGAATTCCTGGGGAAAGGGGGTGGCCACCATCTCTGCAGTCCAGTAGACTTAGCTGTTTAAGCCTGCCAGCTTTGGAGAATACAAATGGTCTGGATGAGGAAAGGTTCCCCATAATGCAGCACAGCTGCCTTGCCAGATCATGGCCAGACTGCTTCTTTAAGCAGGACCTTGATCCATCCCTTCTCAGTGGGCAGGACCTCCCTGTGGAGGCTTCAGCCATTCTAGCCAGTGTTCTACATTGAGAGCTCTGATCTCTCCCTGGGATGGAGCTCCTGGCAGGGAGGGGCAGCCTCCATCTCTGCAGTTCAGTCAACTCAGTCCTTCTAGCCTGTTGGCTTTGCAGAATCCAAATGGTCTGGACGAGAAAGCCTCCTCATAATGCAGCACATTTGCTCTACCAAAAAGCAGACAGACTGCTTCTTTAATCAGGCCCCTGATCCTGTTCATCCCAACTGGATGAGAACTCCCAACAGGGTCTCCAGCCACCTCCTACAGGTGTGTTCTGGCCAGCAACAGGTCAGTACCCCCCAGGGATGGAGCTTCCAGAGGAAGAAGCTGGCTGCCATCTTTGCTGTTTCACAGCCTTCACTGATGATACCTCCAGTATGGGAAAAACCGAGGCAACTAAGGTCTGGAGCGGACTTCCAGCAAACCACAGCAGCCCTACAATAAAGTGGCCTGACTAGTAAAGGAAAAACAAAAAACAGAAAACAACAAGAACAGTATCAATGAAAAGGACCCCAGAAAATCCAAGGTCAAAGGTCAGCAAGCTCAAAGATTGAAGGTAGATAAGCCCACAAAAATGAGAAAGAATCAACACAAAAATGTTGAAAACTTAAAAAGCAAGAGTGCCTTTTCTCCTCCAAATGACTGTAACACCTCTCCAGCAATGGCACAGAATTGAGCTGAGGCTGAAATGGCTGAATTGACAGAAGTAGGGTTCAGAAGGTGGTAATAATGAACTTTGCTGAGCTAAAGAAGCATGTTGTAATCCAATGCAAAGAAGCTAAGAATCATGATAAAACAATACAGGAGCTGACAGCCAGAATAACCAGTTTACAGAGGAACATGATCAACCTAATGGAGCTGAAAAATACAACACAAGACCTTCACAATGCAATTACAAGTATCAGTGGGAGAACAGACCAAGTGGAAGAAGGAATCTCAGAGTCTGAACACTATCTCTCTTAAATAAGAGGGGCAGACAAGAATAGAGGGAAAAGAATGAACAACACCCCCCAGAAATTTGGGATTATGTAAAGAGACTGAACCCATGACTGACTGGGGTACCTAAAAGAGATAAGGATAATGGAGTCAAATTGGAAAACATACTTCAGGATATGATCCAGAAGATCTTTCCCAACCTAGCAAGACACACCAACATTCAAATTCAGGAAATGCAGAGAACCCCAGTAAGATACTCCATGAGAAGATAAACCCCAAGACACATAATCATCGGATTCTCCAAAGTTGAAATGAAAAAAAAATGTTAAGGGCAGCCAGAGAGAATGGCCAGGCCACCTACAAACGGAAGCCCATCAGACTAACAGCAGACCTGTCCGTGGAAACCTTATAAAGTACAGTGGTTGGAAGCTATTCTTTAACATTCTTAAAGAAAAGAATCTCCAACCCAGAATTTCATATCTGACCAAACTAAGCTTCGTAAGTGAAGAAGAAATACGATCCTTTTCAGACAAGCAAACACTTAGGAAATTTGTCACCACAGGACTGCCTTGCAAGAGCTCCTCTAGGAAGCACTAAATATGGAAAGAAGAAAACCATTACCAGCCCTACAAAGCACACTGAAATACACAGACCAGCAACACTATGAAGCAACCACATAAACAAGTCTGTGAAATAACCAGGTAGCATAGTAATGACAGGATCCAACTTACCCATAACAATACTAACTTTTAAGTGTAAACAGGGTAAATGCCACAATTAAAAGATATAGAATTGCAAGCTGAGTAAAGAACCAAGACTCACTGATATGCTGTCTTTAGGAGACACATCTCACATGCAAAGACAAACATAGGCTCAAAATAAACGGATGGAAGAAATTTTACCAACCAAATGGAAAACAGAAAAAAGCAGGGGTTGCAATCTTAGTTTCTGACAAAACAGACTTTAAACCAACAAAGAACAAAAAAGACAAAGAAGGGCATTATATAACGGTAAAGGGTTCCATTCAACAGGAAGAGCTAGCTATCCTAAATATATATGCACCCAATACAGGAGCACCCAGATTCATAAAGCAAGTTCTTAGAGACCTACAAAGAGAGACCTGGACTCCCACACAAAAATAGTGGGAGACTTTAACACCCCACTGACAGTATTAGAAACATCACTGAGACCAAAAACTAACAAATATATTCAGGACCCAAATTCAGCTCTGGATTAAGTGGAACTGATAGATATCCATAGAATTCTTCACCTGAAAACATCAGAATATACACTCTTCTCATCATCATATGGCTCTTGCTCAAATCGATCACATATTTGGAAGTAAAACATTCCTCAGCAAATGCAAAACAACTGAAATCATGACAGTCTCTCAGATCACAGTTCAATCAAATTAGAACTCAAGATCAAGAAATTCACTTAAACCACACAACTACATGGAAATTGAACAACCTGCTCCTGAATGACTCTTGGATAAATAACAAAATTAAGGCAGAAATCAAGAAGTTATTTGAAACTAATGAGAACAAAGAGACAATGTACCAGAATCTCTGGGACAGATAAATCAGTGTTAAGAGGGAAATGTATTGCACTAAAGGCCCACTACAAACCTCTGCTCAAAGAAATGAGAGAAGATACAAACAAATGAAGAAACATTCCATGCTCATGGGTAGGAAGAATCAATATTGTGAAAATAGCCATACTGTACAAAGTAACTTATAGATTCAATGCTATTCCCATTAAACTACCATTGACGTTCTTCACAGAATTAGGAAAAAAAACTATTTTAAAATTCATATGGAACCAAAAAAGAGCCTGAATAGAAATAGACAAGACAATCATAAGCAAAAGGAACAAAGCTAGAGGAATCATGCTACCAGACTTCAAACTATACTTTAAGGCTACAATAACCAAAACAGAATGGTGCTGGTACAAGAGCAGACACATAGACCAATGGAACAGAATAGAGAACTCAGAAATAATACGACACACCTACAACCATCTGATCTTCAACAAACCTGACAAAACAAGCAATGGGGAAAGGACTTCCTATTTACTAAATGGTGTTGGGAGAGTTGGCTAGCCAAATGCAGAAAATTGAAACTGGACTCCTTCCTTACACCATATACAAAAATTAACTCAAGATGGATTAAAGACTTACATGTAAAACCCGAAACTATGAACACCCTAGAAGAAAACGTAGGCAATCTCATTTAGGACATAGGCACAGGCAAAGATTTCATGACGAACATGCCAAAAGCAATTGCAACAAAAGCAAAAATTGACAAATGCAATCTAATTAAACTAAAGAGATTCTGCACAGCAAAATAAACTATCATCAGAGTAAACAGACACCCTGTAGAATAGGAGAAATTTTTTTTGCAATCTATCTATCTGAAAAAGGTCTAATATCCAGAGTCTGCAAGGAACTTAAACTTACAACAAAAAAACAACCAGACAACCCCATTAAAAAGTAGGCAAAGGACGTGAACAGACACTTATCAAAAGAAGACATACATGTGGCCAAGAAACATTTAAAAAATAGCTCAACATCACTGATCATTAGAGAAATGTAAATCAAACCACAATGAGATTCCATCTCATGACAGCCAGAATGGCTATTATAAGAGTCAAAAAACAATGGATGCTGGTAAGGTTGCAGAGAAAAAGGAACACTTTTACACTGTTGTGGGAGTGTAAATGAGTTAAACCACTGTGGAAGACAGTGTGGTGATTCCTCAAAGGCCTAGAGGCAGAAATACCACTTGACCTAGCAATTCTATTATGGGGTACATACCCAAAGGAATATAAATCATTCTATTATAAAGATACATGCATGTGTATGTTCATTGCAGCACTGTTCACCATAGCAAAGACATGGAATCTACCTAAATGCCCATCAGTGATAGACTGGATAAAGAAAATGTGGTGCATACAACATGGAATTATATGTTGGCATAAAAAGAAATGAGATCAGGCTGGGCACGGTGGCTCATGCCTGTAATCCCAGCACTTTGGGAGGCCGAGGTAGGCAGATCACGAGGTCAGGAGATTGAGACCATCCTAGCTAACACAGTGAAACCCCATCTCTACTAAAAAGACAAAAAATTAGCTGAGCGTGGTGGCGGGCACCTGTAGTCCCAGCTACTCGGGAGGCTGAGGCAGGAGAATGGCATGAACCCGGGAGGCGAAGCTTGCAGTGAGCTGAGATCGTGCCACTGCACTCCAGCCTGGATGACAGAGCAAGACTCCATCTCAAAAAATAAATAAATAAATAAATAAATAAATAAATAAATAAATAGAAATGAGATCATGTCCTTTGCAGGGAAATGGATAGAGTTGGAAGCCATTACACTCAGCAAACTAATGGGAACAGAAACCCAAACACTGCATGTTCTCACTTATAAGAGGGAGCTGAATGGTAAGAACACATGGACACATCACAGGGAACAAGACACACTAGGGCCTGTCAGAAGACGGTTAGTGGGAGGGAGAGCATGAGGCAAGAAAAGGTAATGAATGCTGGCTTGATACCTGGGTGATGGGATGATCTGTGCAGCAAACCACCATAGCACATGTTTACCTATGTAACAAACCTGCACTTCCTGCACAGGTGCCCTGGAACTTAAAATAAAAGTCGAAGAGCTCCCTCTCCCTCTCCCTCTCCCTCTCCCTCCCCCTCCCCCTCCCCCTCCCCCTCCCCCTGCCTCTGCCTCTGCCTCTGCCTCTCTGTCTCCCCTTTCCACGGTCTCCCTCTGATGCGGAGCCGAGGCTGGACTGTACTGCCGCCATCTCGGCTCACTGCAACCTCCCTGCCTGATTCTCCTGCCTCAGCCTGCCGAGTGCCTGGGATTGCAGGTGCGCGCCACCACGCCTGACTGGTTTTTGTATTTTTTGGTGGAGACGGGGTTTCGCTGTGTTGGCCGGGCTGGTCTCCAGCTCCTGACCGCGAGTGATCTGCCTGCCTCGGCCTCCCGAGGTGCCGGGATTGCAGACGGAGTCTTGCTCACTCAGTGCTCAATCTTGCCCAGGCTGGAGTGCAGTGGTGTGATCTCGGCTAGCTACAACCTCCACCTCCCAGCCGCCTACCTTGGCCTCCCAAAGTGCCGAGATTGCAGCCTCTGCCCGGCCGCCACCCCGTCTGGGAAGTGAGGAGCGTCTCTGCCTGGCCGCCCATCCTCTGGGATGTGAGAAGCCCCTCTGCCCGGCCGCCCAGTCTGGGAAGTGAGGAGTGCCTCTTCCCGGCCGTCATCCCGTCTAGGAAGTGAGGAGCGTCTCTGCCCGGCCGCCCATCGTCTGAGATGTGGGGAGCGCCTCTGCCCCGCCGCCCCGTCTGGGATGTGGGGAGCGCCTCTGCCCGGCCACGACCCCGTCTGGGAAGTGAGGAGCCCTCTGCCCAGCCGCCACCCCGTCTGGGAGGTGTACCCAACAGCTGATTGAGAACGGGCCATGATGACGATGGCGGTTTTGTCGAATAGAAAAGGGGGAAATGTAGGGAAAAGAAAGAGAGATCAGATTGTTACTGTGTCTGTGTGGAAAGAAGTAGACATGGGAGACTCCATTTTGTTCTGCACTAAGAAAAATTCTTCTGCCTTGGGATGCTGTTAATCTATAACCTTACCCCCAACCCCCTGCTCTCTGAAACATGTCTTGTGTCCACTAAGGGTTAAATGGATTAAGGGCGGTGCAAAATGTGCTTTGTTAAACTGATGCTTGAAGGCAGCATGCTCCTTAAGAGTCATCACCACTCCCTAATCTCAAGTACCCAGGGACACAAAAACCGCGGAAGGCCGCAGGGTCCTCTGCCTAGGAAAACCAGAGACCCTTGTTCACATGTTTATCTGCTGACCTTCCCTCCACTATTGTCCTATGACCCTGCCAAATCCCCCTCTCCGAGAAACACCCAAGAATGATCAATAAATACTATAAAAAAAATAAAAAATAAAAAAAATAAAGTTGAATCAAAGAAAAAAAAAGTCGAAGAAAAAAAAAGAAGATAACCATTTGAATTGCCTCATCAGGTGGCTTGTTATGGGAGAATGTATATTTCCAAGACTCTTGAAATTAAAGAGAGTGAGCTATCATAAACAGTGAGCTCCTAGACAGAAATAATTTAGAGTATGTGATAGTAAGCACACCTGTCAAGGCTCTCTCCTTTGAAGAAAATGTAATGAGGAGGACTCTGAAAGAAATTAGAGCATGTACACACAAAGATTCAAAATCAATCAACATTATTATTACAAAAGCTGAGAGCAGAATTAAAAGAATGCCTGTGCTTGGAATACTTGTTATGGAGAATTTTAATTTGCTAAGAAAATGGATGAGACACTACAGTATTTTGAAGTGATACTTCCTTCTGATCATCAGAACAGGAGCAAAGGAAGAATATTTAAAATTGAAAGCTTTTATATAATTCTTACTGTGTTTTGGGCATTTCAAGTGGGTTCATTTTCCAAGTAGAAAATATTCAGCATCTACTTAGAATGCCTTATTTTATGGAAGAGTAAACTGAAGTAGAGAGAAGATACATAATTTTCTTCATGTCACATGGCTAGTAAATGGAGGAAAGAGGGATTCAAACACAAGAATTTGGGGACTGGATTCCTTTTAACCATTTATAAACTATTATAACCAAAATTAAAAATATAGGTTCATTAAAATGGAAGAGGAACAAGACTTCCTTAGGAATAGTTCTAACTTCTTAGAAGACATATTTCTCATATGAAAGAAAGAGGAGGTTCTCGGCCGGGTGTGGTGGCTCACACCTGTAATCTCAGCACTCTGGGAATTTGAGGCAGGCGGATCACTTGAGCTCAGGAGTTTGAGACAAGCCTCGGCAACATAGTGAGATCCCATCACTACTAAAAATAAAAAAAAATTATCTGGGGATTGGTGGTGCATGCCTGTGGTCCCAGCTACTCGGGAGGCTGAGGTGGGAAAATCACTTGAGCCTAGGGGGTAGGGGTTGCAGTGAGCCAAGAGCATGCTACTGTATTCCAGCCTAGGTGACAGAGTGAGACCTCACCCCCAATTAAAAAAAAAAAGAAAGAAAAGAAAAGAAAGAAAGAAGAGGCTCTCATATCCAGGAAAGATCAATTTTAGAGGGAAGAGGAAATGCACTCAGGGTCAACTGCTCTCAAGGAGTTATTAGAAGAGATTTATTTTGGTTGTTACTAAGGCAGGCAAGATAACTGGATGTAAAGAATCTTCATGGAGGAAAAACAAAGATACAGGATCTCAGAGGGGAGACTAGATAAACTTTACAGAGGAAGACAGGATTTGGGGATTTGTTAAGGAATGACTTAAAATCAACACTATATAAAGGGTTATATGCAATTTGGACATTTTTGAGAAGAGATGCCCTGAGACATCAATTGAAGACTCTCAAATTATTTGATGTTCAGCTCTAGCCTGTGCTTGAAAGGAGCCTGCTTAATTATTTTTAAAATTATGAGTCTTAAGAAAGTGTAAGAAAGATGGAACATATTAAAGGAAAAGCAGGCAAACAAAAAATGAGAATACCTTTTAGATACAATTGCTCAACCAAGGAAATTAAAGATATTCAATATTTATCTTAATAGTGCTTGCTTTAGAGGATCCAGACATTGTTAATTGCACATCTCTCAATAGAGAAGACCACAGAGATCAAATCTAGAATATTTTGAAAAGACTAGTGACAAGTACAAACATAAAATTTAAGAAGGAATTTAATTCTAGTGAATATTGCTAATACTACATGTGCTTGAGAAAGAACAGGACAAATTTACAAAGCCTTTCAAACTTCTAGAAATTCAGCTTAAGCTAGACCAGGCCCAGTGGCTCACGCTTGTAATCCCAGCACTTTGGGAGGCCGAGGCGGGTGGATTACCTGAGGTCAGGAGTGAGAGACCAGCCTGGCTAACATAGTGAAACCTCGTCTCTATGAAAAATACAGAAATTAGCTTGGCATGGTGGCACAAGCCTGTAATCCCAGCTACATGGGAGGCTGAGGCAGGGGAATCACTTGAACCCAGGAGGTATAAGTTGCATTGAGCCGAGACCACGCCACTGCACTCCAGCCTAGGCAACAAAAGCAAAATTCCATCTCAAAAAGAAAAAAAAAAAAAGTAGTGAGCCAACTCTTTATTCAGTAGGGGATCCTGTCCGCTAAGGAAAAGGTAATGGAAGGGCATATTCGATTCAGGAGAATGCTAGCTAGCCCAATAAGCTGCAAAGCTCAGCCCCTTCTTTACCAGAATCAAAGCTCACATTTCCACTTCAGTTGATCTGACATGAGTATTTTTCTCTCAGGTGTTTTGAATCTTAGGTCAGAAAGAGTGGTTACCCCTGCGCATGACCACTGTGCCAATGTAACACAGCATATATTACTTTGGGTCTTGACAAAGGGCTCATTTTTAGTGACTGAGTCCTTCTGGCCACCAGGAGACACTTCAGTGCCACAACCACTCACTGACACTTTAGAGTTGCTAAGAGGACTGTCAGGCCATGGGAAACTAAGAAGAAGCTCAGGCTTGGTACCTGAATCATGAGTCCTACCTGTTGAGCACTGAAAAAGCACTGGAAAGAGAAGGGAGGACCCAAAAACTTCTAAACCTGTGCGAATGGGCTAAGACCAATAGTGAGGTTGGGATTTTAGGCAAGTTTGGGATGGTTGTCAGACAAAGAAGCCACTGATATACCACTAGTACAATGCAGTTCGAATTACAATAAAAAGTTATAGGGGGTTTTTTTGGGTCAGAAAGAGAAGAAGTAAAAGAGCACACATGATTCCTATCTCCTTTTATCCTCCAAACTAACTCTCACTAACCCACAGAAATGTTTTCATAGGTGGCACAAAGGTAGGCTGCAACAATTGTGGCCAATATTATGGTAGAGAAGGACCCTGCCCTGTAATGCTCAACATATTAATGTTACGTGAGAGTGGGACAGGGTCATCTCTGTGACAGTATAGTCACAGAAGCCTCTTCCTGCTCAAATAAGTGGCCTTCATTAAAAGAAACACAGAAGAATCTTGTTTCATAAGCTAATGCCAATCACTGAGACAGCAACGGTTTCAGGAACATGAGGGAAGCTGTTGGAATGGGCTTTCCTTTAAACCTAGCCTGGTTCCATCATGCTGATGTGGTGGGGGCTTTAAGTCAGGGCCTGAGAAGGACAGCCTAACTGTGGTATAAGTCAGAGGGCTCCTCATTCCTCATAAGCCGACAAATACATTAATATCATCAGAAAAATTACCAGGGCCTGTGGTGTCCCAAATTCTGATTTCATTTTCCATTGAAGATCAGAGCACAGAGGAAGGAGATACCTCACTCATGTGCTCTTCTTGTTATATGCTCACAGTTTCTTTGTTTCATGACTCTGTACCCTGGAAGAGGTTAGACCTGGATATGCTAAAAAAAAATTTTTTTAATCCCTATCCTAGAATATTGTGGCCTTGAATCAAAGTGTTTTCTATGTTTGTGTTTTCATCTTCCTTCCTAAGCCCTATATCTAGGTTTTGCCTTCTCCATCCACAAATCTCAGGATGCTATGGAGTCTGAAGACACCTGATTGCAGAAAGCACAAGACCCCCCACCAGCACACACACATACACAAACAAATACAGGACCAGAAAGGAGTGGTTACTGCTGATTCTCTAACATTACAAAAATATCACGGTTGTAACTTCTCACCCTGCCAGTCATATGTTTCTCTGTCACTTGACATACTCCCCTCTTTGGGGTGTTGGAGGAAAAATCTCTGTGCCAACAGCAGAGACATGGAACTAGTGTGTCACATCCACTCTATGAACAGAATTCTTACTACTATTTATACCCTAAAAAGCAGGCCATTTTCTAGAGTTTCACCCCCTCACCAGAAAGAATTTATTTGTGAGTATTGGTTGACTTACTATAACAAGAGACTCAAGTGTTAATCATTAAAGGAACCTGTTAGTGCTTTCTTAGAAGTAAGAGGAAGATCACATTTAACTGGAGAGTGCCTTATTGTGGTTTTCAAGGAAGGTCAAAGCTCTTACTTATCACTGCTCAATCTTCACCCATGCCCAAAGAATTAACATAATTTTGAACCTTACCCTGGAGAAGCGAAATGGGACCTTGTCCTCCAGAAATGCAGAAGACACTGTGCTGTGGGCTGGGGGAGTCACGGAGCACGAGAGTATCCATCTCCAGCCCTCACTGGAAATAAAATCTGCACAGTTCTATCTCTTTCCAGGGCAGCCACCTTGTTCTCTGCATGAGGAGCATGGAGGTCCAGATGCTTCCAGGAGGGATCTGGGGCAAAGCTCTAACTAAGCAACACATTATTTTGATTTTGTGTGTCTGGGATATAAGGATGGCCGGTAAGGGGAACAATAAAGTTCTTGAGATTTCACAAGTAATTTATTGATGTCCAGAATTTGAGGTGCTGATGGTACACCTAAGTGGCAATATGCACCAGGCAGATCAATATGTGACGCGTCAGAGAAAGCAGAATGGGTGATGTGATGTGCAATGCCACAGAAGCACTGCAGCCAGGAGAGGTGACAGCTAATGGGGATGTTTGGAGTCTTTGAGTGAACCAAACACATCCCAGAGTAATTGTAATTTATTTCAGTCAATCTTCTGTACAGACTTAGCATTCACCTTTGGAGGAAGGTCCTTTGAGCAGGGACAGAGATGGTGATGTCACTGACAGTCCCCCTTTTACTCTGGGTGAGAGGTCTAGAATCCTCAGCTCCTGTATTCGTGCCCACAAGGGCCTCATCTAGGTGAAGGCTCCACCTGCCCCACCCTGCCATGGCCACCAGGCTCCTCTGCTGTGTGGTTCTTTGTCTCCTGGGAGAAGGTGAGTCCCCACAAATAAAGCACCTGCATTTTTGGATATTGCCAGTTATGATTCCAATTATGTTTCTTATTCTGTCCCCAAATTCTATCTCTTTTCACAGAGCTTATAGATGCTAGAGTCACCCAGACACCAAGGGACAAGGTGACAGAGATGGGACAAGAAGTAACAATGAGATGTCAGCCAATTTTAGGCCACAATACTGTTTTCTGGTACAGACAGACCATGATGCAAGGACTGGAGTTGCTGGCTTACTTCCGCAACCGGGCTCCTCTAGATGATTCGGGGATGCCGAAGGATCGATTCTCAGCAGAGATGCCTGATGCAACTTTAGCCACTCTGAAGATCCAGCCCTCAGAACCCAGGGACTCAGCTGTGTATTTTTGTGCTAGTGGTTTGGTCACAGCGCTGCAGAATCACCTGCTCCCTGTGCAGAAACCCTGGTGCTTCCTCTTCTCCTCCAGTACCCAGCAGCTCTCAGCAGCCTTTCTTGCTCCTCCCCTAGCACAGGAAGTACATAGGTTTCGTGTTCCACATGTCCCTAGGCAAGGCAAGAACAGGTCATAAGGACACATCACGTTAGGAAACTTTTGGTAGGAAGTCAGTGGGTGTGATGGTTCCTGGGATTCCACACATACTTCTCACAAGGGTGCCTGAGTCCAAGTTTGAGGGCGAGTGTCACAGACTGGAGCTTTCAAGTGATTGAGTGAGCTTAAAACTGTGCAGCCATTGCACATGGATGCTTATCTCCTTTGCTGCTTTCCGTTATGGCTTCTTTGCCATTTCTTTTCTCTTCTACCTTAAAACTTTCAACATCTTTGATGACTTCCAACATCAATATTGGCTTCCCAGTTTTTTCACTTGCTCACTTCAAATGATCATTTCCTTCACCTTGTGTCAGATATTCATTTCCACTTTCTTTTTCTAGATTCCAATGACAAATTATTTGAATTACCCCCAAATAGTTTCCTCAAGCATCCCATTGTCTCATGCGGGCTTCTCTTTTCATCTCTGGTACTACTTCTGCAGCAATTCTTCAACCCCATCAGGACCACTAATTGACTTCTCCTGCAAATATTGCACCATATATCATCTCCTCATGTACTATATTCCTTATCTGACTTAGACTATGTGTTCCAAGGTGATTGTGAAATTTTGCATATGTCTTCAGCTCTTTTCTTTTTCTGTTTCTTACCTGGAAAATAAAATGGGGCCTACTCTGTGCCCCTTTCAATGACACAGAGAACATAAAATGTCCCTTACCCTTGTCAAGCAGTATTATAACGATACAGTGTGTCTTGAGGTCTGTAAGTCCCTCTATGCATATAAAATTATATACTTTTCTTCTATTAAAATAATTTGTTACCTTTTAATGAGTTCATCAGTTTCATCTTTCAATTATAGTTATACTTTTGACAATTATAGAAGTACTAAAAAAAGTTATGCACCCAGAATGTATGATTCTATCACTTTTATGTGTGTGCGCACTTCACTTCATACGTACAAAAAAGTTAAAAGAATGCCGAATAGGCATATTTATCCATTCTCTTGTAGGAATGATAAAGATGAACTTCCAAGGGGAAAATATTTTCAAAATAATCCATGGCACATAAAATTATTTAAGAAAAAATAAATCAATAAATATCCCTGTTAAGTTTATATATAGTTTTATATGCTTGGGTAAGGAAGAAAAAAAGTTGTGATATATTTTGCTGGTTATTTGGAGTGATAAAATATAGAAAGAGCAGAAAGAACATGATTAGCTTTGTCTTTGTTTAAAATTTTTGCTTTTTAAATTTGATACACTATTTACCATCAAAATTTAAAACAACACCACTGCTATAAAACAATATACAGACAAACTAAAAAGAAAAAGGAATTTACTATGTAAAAAAAAAAAAAAAAAAAAGCGAGAGCTTAGAGGCAGAGTATTAAGGGGAATTTAAAATTATAAAGACCTGTAAGTTTTCAGAGCGGTATAGGCCTCACAGCTGGAGCTGGGATTTTAATGTCCATATGAAAGAGATGACAGAAAACAGCCAGAATTACATTGCTTGCCTTAATCCTGGAGCTTCAAAATGCTCCCAGGCTTTATAAAGTAAAAGTATTACACCCCAAAGACCCAGAAACATAATTGGAAACTGGATGTTTGGTCAGGCCTTTGGGTGATAGATAAAAAGGAAAAGTTAGGAGAGAAAAATTGAATCTTCAGACTGTGTCTCACATGTGTTTGGAATGAAATATACTCTGCATGGAATGTACACCATATACCCAAAAACTGACAAAAAGGTCCATAACCATTAAAACCCTTGGAGACCCTGGCATTAAGAGATTCAATACGGTTCTGGAGTAAACTTCTGCTTCCAACCAAGATAGATTAACGGGAATTAGATTTAACTTCTTGCTTGAAACAGCTAACACCCCAACCCCCACCCTGTCCCCCTGCACACACACATTCACACAACATGTGGAATAACGGTTGTCAAGACATTGGAAGTAGGCAACAGAAGACAGTGATCTCTGAGAGATGGAAACAACCAAGCTGAGAACTATGACTGTCTTAATACCTGGAGGGAGTTTCCAGGCCCTGGGCCAGAAAGAGGAATCCAAGCAGAGCTGGGTGATCTCACTGAGCTGAGTCAGAGTTGGAAATACAAGATCAAAGCAGCTAGATTTCACATGACAGGCCATTGAAAAGGCGATTGCTGCACAGAGAGAATCCTGGAGACCTTCCTAGGGTCTCCCTTAACCCTTCAGCTGTGCTGTAAGCAGTACATGTGTGAGGAAACTCCCTAAGGTTGGAGAAAGAGCCACTCAGCAAGATTAGAGGAAACAATGCCTGGAGCTCACAAAGGGCTGAGAGTAATATATACATATATTACTCTCATATATATATGTATATGTATATTTTTGCATTGAGAATGGGAAACTTAATAATTCATGGGTCAATCAGTAGAGGTTTCAGATGACTTATGCCTCAGTATAAAAGCAAAATAAGCCCTTCACTAAATAAGCCACATTTGGCTCCTGGCCTATGTGGGTGAGACTTCAAAATATCAAACTGTTTCCGAGTAACTTAAGTCTCAGAGCAAAACTAAAGAATATTTCTAATGTACAAGAATACCTGTTCGGAGATATCAGTATGAATTTATTGTTTTTAAACGTATAGATACAATGGTAAAGAAATGAATACATACCTGTGTGAATAATGGGTTGGTATATATACATGTATTTCATACTTCTGTCCACTTAGAAGACCACTAGTGCACAGATGTTTGTTGCCAAATATTATTCTCCAATTAAAAAAAAATGAAAGGTGGTTCTAGGACCCTGAGGTAAAAAATACAAGAATGTTGTAATGAGGTTTTCCAAAAAAAAAAAAAAAAAAAAAAGGATGGGACATATCTCAAAAGGACAGAGGAATCAATCTGAAAGAGCTTCCCCAATGACTAAGGCTGGAACAATTTGTAAAAGAAAATTCACAAGTTCACACTGAGAATGAAACGATTAAATAAATAAATAAATAATAAAAAATGTGAGAAAGGACAATCTCTTACTGAAGAATTCCAAATTGCATATGTAGAAGAAACAGAGGGAAATAGAAAAGTCACTGTGACAACACCACTGTGAGTAACTGCCACACATAAAACCCAATAGTGAGTGCTAAAATTAGTGGGTGTAGCTAATTTTAATTATTAATTAATAACTAATAACTTTAATAACTAATTAAGAAGAAATGGATCATTTGTACAGTCACAAAGTGTCATCCCCAAAATATTAATTAATATGGTGGTTTTAACATATGCCCACACATTCTTTTATACTCATCCCTCTAGATTCCCCTCTCCTGGATTCAGTGGCCTGCCTCTAATGAACAGACATGGGAAATAGAAAAATGGTAACCGAGTGACCAAAGTAAATAAACATGACCCATAATAAGTCTTGTTAACCTCATGTGCATTCTCTTATGATGCAATGTTGTGATGTTATCATGTGACTACATATCTGTAATATTCCTCCCCCAAATCTATAATTCCTGTCTAATAATGAGAAAGCATCAAACAAATCCAAACTGAAAGAGATTCTACAAAACACCTGACCAGTAATCTTCAAATGTCAATATCGTTAAAAACAAGGAAAGAGCTGTCACAAATTGAAGAACACTAAGAAGATATGACACTTAAATGCAGTATGGGATCCTGGATTAGGTGCTAGGGCAGGAAAAGGTCATTATTAGAAAAACTGGGGAAATCTGAGTACAGTCTAGCTTAGTTGTGCCAATGTCAAATTCTTAGTTTGTGTGATGTTAGCACTAGTGGGTGTTGGATGAAGGATATAAAGTCACTTGGTAGTATTGTTATAGCTACAGGACATCAATTCTCCAGCTTTGGGTCACCTGAGTCCCTATCAAGCCAATTTGTGAAGCTGCTGTTAGTTGTCCTTACTCCCCAGTCTTGGAGCTCTCAGTTAGACCTAGAATCAACCTCTTCTTCCTCTTGACCTCTGCTTCACTGCATCCTAAACGTGGTGAGGTGGAGGGGTGGTGAGGGAGGCTGAGCAGAAGCCCATCATTCAGAAGCCCATCACTAGAGCTTCTCTGATGATTCTCTGAGACAGGGGCTCCCTCTGTAGTCTCCTTTGTGCACAATCCCAAGCACGCTGGGCCACACAGACTCCACCAAAGCTAGTTTTGTGAGGAGGCAAATATTGAGGCTCCATTGTGAAGAGAATGTCCATGTCAGATTTAAGTACAAAAGATTAAAGTTGATGCATTACTATTGCAGGAAAATGATACCTGTGAGAATTTCCAAAAGCCAGATTTTGTATTGTGTGGCTGGCTGAGTAATACCCCTCCCCACAAAGACATTCACATCCTAATCCCTGGGATCTGCCTCTGTTTCCTTAGATGGTGAGAGTAGACTTTACAGATGTGATGAAGTTAAGGATCTGGAGATAAGGAGATTATTTTGGATTAGCCTGGTGGCCCTCAATGCAATTACATGTGTCCTTATAAGAGATAGCCAGGGGGAGATCAGACACAAATGGAGAAGAGAAGGCAATGTGACCACAGGAGAAGAGATTAGAGTGAGGTGACCACAAGCCAAGGAGTGAGGCAGCCACTAGAAACAGAGGCAAGGAACGAATCCTCTCCTATAGCCTCCAGGGGGAATACGGTCCTGATGACACCTGGATTTTGGTCCATTGATACTGATTTTGGACTTTTCCAGAACTGTGAGAATAAATCTCTGTCATTGTAAACCAGCAACTTTGTGGTAATTTTTATAGCAGCCACTCAAAATTAACACACTCCAATATGTCCAGTTAACCTGAGACTAGGCCAAGAAACTCATGTTCTTATAATATTTTCTGCAAACCTTGCTGTCATGTTTTTATCTGACACCCATCTCAAACTATAATGAAAGAAAATAATTTTGAGACTTCAATGTCCCCCTGTCTGGGGTGTGCCTTCCATAGTTCATTGGAAAAGTCTAGTCTCCTTTCAAGATTTTATTCCAGCAGTACCTCCTCTTGAAAGAATTTTAGGCATTGTTTTATGTTCTCAGTGCACATAATAAAAAGAAAAAGACAAAGACTCATGTCTACTTGATGTTTACATTTTTGCGGGGAGGGAGAGACAGAGATAAATAAGTAAGGCATATAGTGTATTAGCAGGTGATACCTGCAATGCAGAAAAGAAAAGGCAGACTAAGGTGAGGGAGACCAGGACTGTCAGAGTAAGGAGCGTTGAAATGACAATACATTGTTCAGAGTAGGGCCCAATGAGGAAGTGACCTTTGAGCAATGATTTCAAGGAGATGAAGGAAAGAGACATGTAGGTATCTGGGGGAAAAGAATTCCAGGCAGAGGGAGGAGCCAGTACAAATACCCTAAAAAAATATTTTAGGACCAATGAGGAGGCCCATATGACTGAAAAATTAAGGAAGGGAGTGGTAGACTTTATTTCCAAGCGGTAATGGGGCAGGATGGATCATTTAAGACCTTGATGGCCTTAAGTGCTTTGTTGTTTTGTTTTCTTATTCCAAATAAAACTGGGAGCTAGTAGATGATTTGGAGATGAGTGACATGATCTAGCATGTTCTAGAGGGCTGAGTTTGAGAGCTAGTTCAGAAGTAGGTGAAAGCAGGGAGATCAGTTAGGAATCTATTGCAGTAATCCAGGAAAAAGATGATGGTGGCCTTGTCCTGAGGGTTAGCAAAGAAGGTGATGAAAAAATGGATGGATTCTGAGTGTATTTTCATGATAGAGCCAGTTGAATTTCCTAATGGATTGGCTATAGGGTGGGAGAGAAAAAGAGGATTTGGGAACCACTCTAAGGTTTTCAGCTGGAAGGCTGTTGGTGGAGTAAAGTTGAGGATAATCTTTCATGTTTAGAGCATGCTGTTTGAGAGTGGTGGGGGGAAAATGTTGATTGGAGTGCATTAGAGAGATAATGGGAAAAGAGAATTTGGAGGTAAGTATTGATCATTAGCAATAGCAACAATAGCTACCGTAGATTAAAATGCCCCACAGTCTATGGGGATGTGATACATGAGGGAAGACAGGGCCAGATGGGATGAGGTAGGATCCAGACATCAGACTCAGGAGCTACGAGTGGTATATATAAGGTTAACACCTAGTCAAATGCATAAACAGGTTGATTTTAATTGATGTCAGTTTTTCTCCATTGCCCCCTCTAGAGGCAATCTTCTTCAGAGAACCCTGGCTAGGTCTTCTATGTTTCATGTCCGTAGAGGGAGCTCCTGAGACTGTGGACATTGGCTAATATGCTGATGTCACTGGAGGCCACATCTTACAGGGCCAAGAGACAGATTTGCTTTCCTTTTTCTCATGCTTGTAAGCTCCTTCATCTGGAAATGTGATTTACCTGGGTCCTGCCATGGTTTCCAGGCTTCTCAGTTTAGTGTCCCTTTGTCTCCTGGGAGCAAGTGAGTCTTCAGGTACTTAAATATCTGTGCTGTACCCTATCCCAGTCTATTCATGTCATGTATTCTGTTTTTGTCTCTTCCCACAGAGCACATAGAAGCTGGAGTTACTCAGTTCCCCAGCCACAGCGTAATAGAGAAGGGCCAGACTGTGACTCTGAGATGTGACCCAATTTCTGGACATGATAATCTTTATTGGTATCGACGTGTTATGGGAAAAGAAATAAAATTTCTGTTACATTTTGTGAAAGAGTCTAAACAGGATGAGTCCGGTATGCCCAACAATCGATTCTTAGCTGAAAGGACTGGAGGGACGTATTCTACTCTGAAGGTGCAGCCTGCAGAACTGGAGGATTCTGGAGTTTATTTCTGTGCCAGCAGCCAAGACACAGTGCTTCACAGTCGTGCCCTTGCTGTGCAAAACCATAGCCTTCTCCTCTCAACTCACAGCTGCCCAAAAGGAAGGCTTTCCCTGTGCCTTCTCCCCCAAGGGAGGGGAGATAAAGAACCAGAATTAACTCATGAAATACAAGAGTATTCCAAGAAGATTTGGGTGAAAATACTTGTGGTTTGGGGGATCTCTGAAGTTTTTTAAACAGAACTCAAACTATGTGTTTCTCATATTTATTTTTATTTTTTAAAGTGTATGTTGCCCTGGTTATAAAGCAGACTTCTTGCCTATCTTGCTGCTCTGAAAGGTTTGTGACTCTGACTGTGAGGCCACATCTTTATATCCCTTCTTATAGTAAGAGAAACAAGTCTTTCTGATGAAAATAAAAATAGTGAATAAAAATGCATTTACTACTGGCTTTTAGGATGCTCAATGATGATGCTAGCAATGGTGGTAGTGGTGACGTTGGTAATGGTGGTGATGAGTTTAGGTTGCTTTTGTCTAGCATTTATAAATTTCCAACCACTTTAAAACAATCTCATTTTAGAGTGGAATAGCTAAGTCCATTATCAGAGGTTAATGCTAATTTTCTGTTCACATAGGGTCTGAGTTTTTAATGTAAAAAATATAGTTAGCACTATAAATAGATATCTGTCAGCCGATACAGAACATTTTTTAAGATCACTTCCAGTTGCTGCAATAGGAATATGTATTCCTATTTTTTTTCTTTTTTCTTTTTCTTTTTTTGAGACGAAGTCTTGCTCTGTCGCCCAGGCTGGAGTGCAGTGGCAAAATCTCAGCTCACTGCAACTTCTGCCTCCTGGGTTTAAGCGATTCTCCTGCCTCAGCCTACCAAGTAGCTGGGATTACAGGTGCCTGCCACCATGCCTGGCTATTTGTTGTATTTTTAGTAGAGACGGGATTTCACCATGTTGGCCAGGCTGGTCTTGAACTCCTGACCTCAAGTGATCTGCCTGCCTCAGCCTCCCAAAGTGCTGGGTTTACAGGTGTGAGCTACTGTGCCCGGCCTTTTTTTCTTTTTGAGACAGGGTTTCATTCTGTCACCCCGGCTGGAGTGCCATGGCAGTGTGATCACGGCTCACTACAGCCTCGACTTCCTGGGCTCAAGCAGTCCTCCTGCCTCAGGCTCCCTAGTAGATGGGACTATAGGTGTGCATGACCACACCCAGCTAATTTTTGCATTTTTTGTAGGGACAGGTCTCACTATGTTGCCCAGGCTGGTCCTAAACTTCTTGGCTCAAGTGATCTTCCTGCCTTGGCCTCCCAAAATGCTGGGATTATAGGCATAAGACACCATGCCTGGCCTGGAATATGTAATTTTTAATGAGACCTAATGGTATAATACATTCTACCTGGTTCAACTGCCTTCTTTTAATATCTGGATTCCAATATTCTGCTCATGTTTCAGCCATGTTTTTGCAAACAGTCCTGAAATTCACTCTAATAATAAGTTTCATTTTCCCAGTCTGATTGTTATTTAGCACCTCAAATTATTATTGAACTCATCCTAATCCTGATTAGGCAAATGGATAGTGAGAAAATATTACAAGTGGGCTTGGATTTTAATTTTTTCAAACAATTTAAAACCCATTTTCCTTTTCTAATGATCAAGATCCAATTTTTAGATAATCAGTACTCTCTCTTTCTATGTGGACATGTAATATGAATAGGTATATTGTTTCTGTCACAGGCATCGCAAACTCATATCTTGCTTGAAACTTGTCGATGAACTCCTTTAGTATGACAAGAACAAAGAGAAATAGATTTTTAAAGCATAGCCACATATTGGACATGAGTTTTTCTTCAAAATTTCAGCTGCAGAACCCTAACTGGTGCCTTTCCTTTTATTGTGTTATGTAATCTAAGGTCATAATAAGTAACTAAATTATTGATTTATTTTTCCACTCTGTAATCTCTCCATTATATTTAAAAATAGCAGCTATGAAGCAAAACAAGTTCCTCGTGGGTACATTGCCTCAACTCCAAAATCTAACAAGCAGAAGTTTAATTCAGTGCTTTGCCATTTCATACTATAGACACCGAATGTCCTATCCTATAAGGGGCACACAGTGGTTCTCTTTATAGTTCTGTTAGCTCAAGTGGTATCTTTAGGTACAATTTTTAGAATTTTTTTATTTGTTAATCTTTCTTAAGGTATGATTGACAGAAAAAAATTGTAGGTATTTAAGGTATACAAGGCGATGTTTTGATATACATATACATTGCAAAATGATTACCACACTCAAGTTAATTAACATATCCATCACCTCACAAAGTTACCTTTGTATGTATATGTATGGTGAGAATGATCTACTCTCAGAAAATTTCGAGTGTACAATAATCATTAACTATAGTCACCATGCTGTCCATTAGGTCTCCAGAACTTTCGAGCACACTCCAAAACATCAACTTTTATTCTGATTAAGCCTCAAATATGTCTTCTTGTTGCAAATATTAGCTATTTTTAGATTAGCTATAAATAATGAAAAATGCTAGCATAAAAGATGGAAAGAATAAATGCAGATAAGGGCTCTAAGGTCTTTACACTTTCCAGGAAGTGATAAAAGCTGCAATTTAAATTATACATGAAGAAGTCAAGGATGGCAACTCCTATAAACAGCTGATACTTCAAACCTGGAATGTCTAGTGCTAAGCAGCCCGGACCCCTGCACCCAGCACACCTCTCTTTGGCATGATAGGAGGATGAGGGATCCAGGTCTTCTCCTCCCATGCTGCCCTTGGCCTTTATGTTTTGCCTTTCATTAGTAAGGCTTCTCCCTTAATTATCACCCTATGACAGGAAATTCATCCTAAGCCTGGACACGTGAGAGATGGTAACTCTGAAGCAGCCCCCTGGGCATGACACCAAATGAGGCCACACCCAGAACAAATTGCAAGAAATAACAAGGTATTTCTTACAGAATCCCTAAGAGAACATGTCTGTCTGCATTTAAGTGTCTACAGTCATAAATGCACAGCATATGATTGGATCAGATGGAACTGAAAGACTTTCAGTGCTTCATGGTGCCCATAACTCTCATTGTCCTGAAGTGGTGTTGGCAGTGGACTCAGCAGGGTGCCGTGAGGATGGTGAGGCTACACACATACGATGCTGACCAAGCTGGCTACACAGATGGGCCAAACTCACCCTGTGATGGTAGACAGAGCTTACCAATGGGGTTCCATGAATGGACAATGGGCATGCTGCTGTAATAATCCCTTCGACCATGATGGAAGTCAGGCAAGACCCAGGCCATGGGAACATTGAAAACAGTCACCTCTAGCCTCAAGTATTTCCTACTGTTTGCCACACTGTGCCTACAAATATCATTTATGATACAGCTTAAAATTTTCATGTTTATGAAAATTATTATCAGCCTTATCCAATCTGATATTTTGAATGAAATCACATTAAAACCATATATTAATTTAAGAACTGGCATCTTCATAATAGTGAGTCTTCTACAGTTTCCTAGACCACTAAAAAATCATGGATTGCTATCTCAGACTTGAAATGGGTGATCCTTATTCTTCTCTCAGTCAGAACAGTGAAAGGTACAGATTCATGGCAGCTAGTCCAGCTTCTAAAAGTCAACTTCTAATTGTCTACTTTAGGACAAAAAAGAAATAATATCCTTAGGAAGGCCACCATGGAATTCATTCTATCTGAACAATCCTTACATAATATCATTTCTTATAATATGTCCTCAACATCGTGCTCTGCATATATTTCTCCACCATCTCTAAAAATCCTCTTAGCCCAGGCCTCCTCAAACTTTAATGTGCATGTAAATTATGACCTTGTTAAAATGCAGATTCTAATCCAATCAGTCAGGGTTGGAGCTAAGGTTCCCTGTATTTTGAACAAGAGTCCGTCCAAGTGATGCCAAAGCTGCCAGTCCATGGACCACAATGAGCAGCCAAGCTCTAGATGACACCTACAATAATTACAGGTGTAAGGCCCCTCTTCTCAAGTATCATTTTGCACAGTTCCTGGACTAGGTCAGATACAGACCCTACTTACCACATGTATCTCTGTATTCCAAGTATTACGTAATCATCAGTTTTCCTAAATCTAGGCACCAATATTTTAACATATATTTTCATGGTATAAATAGAAATTAATTTTCTATAGTAAATACACTAATACCTAATCACATTCATGCATCTTTAATGTGAGTAGCAAAAAGCCAAGGCACTATCTTAATGGTTATTGAGTGAGACTTTAGCAAATACTATCTTTATGGAGAAACCTCTGGGCTGCTTTTTAGGATGTGAGAAAAGTGAGGTAAAGTGAGGAGAACTGGATGAACACGGGACAGAGACAGGGACAGGGGCAAATATGGGGACACCTGTCTCAAGGAAGCAGCAAATGATATAGAAAATAAATATCTGTTCCATCCCTGTTCCAGACAAGCCCATGTACCTGCCAAGTAGGAAGCTGTGTATCACATTGCAACAAGGAATGACCCCGGCCCTGGTAAAGTCAACAGCAACAGTCATCACAGGCCAATCTGCCTATCAGGGACTGGAGACTCTCTAAACTCCCACCTCTCAACCCAGGAATCAGAGCCTGAGACAGACAGATGCTTCATTCCTGTATGGGGTGGTATTCCTGCCATGGGTCCTGGGCTTCTCCACTGGATGGCCCTTTGTCTCCTTGGAACAGGTGAGTACCGGGCAGAAAGGAAATCTTTGAGCAAAGCTATCTTGTCCTCAGTCTGCACCTTTCATTCACAGCAGTAACACTGTTCTCCTTAACTCTGACTCCAAATTTGTCTTCTTTCTCTACAGGTCATGGGGATGCCATGGTCATCCAGAACCCAAGATACCAGGTTACCCAGTTTGGAAAGCCAGTGACCCTGAGTTGTTCTCAGACTTTGAACCATAACGTCATGTACTGGTACCAGCAGAAGTCAAGTCAGGCCCCAAAGCTGCTGTTCCACTACTATGACAAAGATTTTAACAATGAAGCAGACACCCCTGATAACTTCCAATCCAGGAGGCCGAACACTTCTTTCTGCTTTCTTGACATCCGCTCACCAGGCCTGGGGGACGCAGCCATGTACCTGTGTGCCACCAGCAGAGACACAGAGCTGCAGTGCTTCCTGCTCTCTGTTCATAAACCTCATTGTTTCCCAGATCCAGGTGCTTTCTCTAGGACTTCTCCCTCACCACCTCTTACAACAATAGGAAGTGGGTTGGTGGCTGTCAATATCTGTAGACAGAAGTTGAGCACAAACCAATAAAAACCATTGACAGTTATGCCAAGAGTGGAAAAGTGGTTACACATGCCTGGCATTCAGTTGGTGGTATTTTCCCAGGATCACATTTAGAACCCATGCTGTCCTTTTCAGAAGACAAATAAGAACTTTTTCTTTCTTTTTTTCTTTGTTTTAATCTAAGTCAGAGGCTTAGAAATATAAGAGGTGATATGTGAAGAATTATGGACACCCAATGTCTATAAAGTCCAGTCTCTGGCATTCGATGAACTCTTATAGGATTTAATCCTCCTGGAGAATCCACATGTTTTTAGCCTAGACCTGGAGCAACTACCTCATTAATGGGAGAATGAAAGCACAAGTATCCCAAGATAAAAATTTCTCAGAGGTAAAACCACATTGGAGAGAAAAAAAGAGAAGACCATACATTAATCTGCTCATATCTGGAGCTGGAGGTACTATTGAGATGAGCAAATGGAAACCATAAATACATAAAGAAATGATATTGAAAATAGAGTACATTTGGAGATGAAGATCATGGAGCCATCTGTATAGAAGAGAGTAATAATGTCATTAAGGTGCATAAGAGTGCCAGCAAATGTCAATAAGAAAAACTACAGGAGGGAAGAAGATGGGAGATCCTGCTCCCCTTAACAAAGATAAATAAAATGCTGAGTGAGAAATATTGCAACCTCATAAATTGTCACATGGAAGTATGTATTTATAAATTACCTTATAATTAACATCCCTCAATGAGAATGATATTCTGAGAAAAAAAAGCAGAAAATATAGTTATATGGCTATCTAAAAATGTAAAATTTTGCACATTAAATTAAGATAATCTAGGAAAAATATGACAAGACCTATTACAAAAGAGCTTTTACAAATTGTTTGCTTTAATGATATTAATAACATAATGATAGCTAACATTTACTAAGCACATATTACATGCTAGACCTTAAGTCTTCTTCACATATATTTATAGTTCATGTTAGTTTTATAACAACCTCAGAAAGTTAATACTATAGTAACCTCACTCATTTATCCATGAGGAAACTGAGACACAGACAAGTAACTAGCCCTTTATCACGTATCTCGTTTGTGGTGGAGCCAGTATCAAAATGTAGACAATTTACTGCTGGAGCTCATTCTGTCTTCGGAGTTTACATGGATTCTAAGTCAGACCTTCAGATAGGAAGGTAAATGGTTATAAGCCAGAAGATTTCCACACTCTCACCAACATTGCACTGGCTTTTCTTTGGGTCTTGGCCAGAGGGTGAGCCCTTGTGACTATGCTTCACTGGTTGACTAGCTTTGAGTTGCACCGAGGACCAACATAGAGAAAGAAGGTCTTTGGGATAAACCTGGGAGGATGAAGGGTAAAAAATGCAGAACTTAAATCTTGATCCCAAGGGATCATTTAAAGATGAATGAGTCTCCCTTAGAGGATGAGAAATTAAACATAAACTCTTTAACTTGCAGAGATGCTGAAGTGTTTTCCTCAAGTAGTAAACTTTGAATCATGGTTATATGCATGGGAGGGAGCCTATGGGGATGGAACATGGATGAAAAAGTGACAGGATGTTCAGGGGGCAGGTGCGGGCAGAAAATCAGCTGCCTCCAAGAGTGGTGAGAGAAGCTGTAGAGCATCCTTTATCCAGACTGGCACAACATGCAGTCCAGAAGGCTGTGAGATACGAGGAAAGGGTCACCATAAACTGCAACCTGACTATGTCAAAAATGACACTTGGAATCCGAGAGTGGGTACGTGTGGTGGTATCACAGATATACACCCACCCCATCCCCGCCCAACTGGGAGATAAGAGACTTACAGGTTTAGCACTTTCACCACTGGGACTAGAACCCTGGATTTAGCTAGAGGCTGGCTTAGACCTTTTCATGGTTCTTCTGTATGAACCACACAATTTAGAACCATACTATTTAGAGATGATCAATTTATACGACCTGCATAAAGCCTGTCTTTCCAGAAGAAGCTCAGGTTCAAAAAAAAAATTGATTCCTCTCTTGTCCTTCTCAATCTTCCCTCCTTCCTTCTTTCCTTTCTTCCTGCCTGCCTGCCTTCCTCATTAAGGATAGACATGAACTAGTCACCTGTATACTCTCTGAGGTATGCTGTTAGTGCTGACAACACATTAGTTCAACCTAGAAAAACTAACCCTGTTTTATTTTATCTTATCTGAGAGTCTGAGACCCCTCTTTGATCCTTAAAAACTTGCCAATTTCTTGCCAAGCAAATATGTGCAGGGTTTTAGAGAGCCGTAGGTAACAGAGACAAAATAGAAACAACACACAGAATTTGGAGGCAAAGCCTTTAGATCTCTAAAGCTTGAGGCCCCACTGCTGCTCTAAGCCTGCCTATGGCACCAGGTTCCTCTGCTATGAGTCCCTCTGCCTCCTGAGGGCAGTGAGTCCTGGGCGTAGATAGTCTGTCTGCCTTGGGCACTCACACTGTAGTCTGTTTCCACACCTTCCTCTGGTAGTCCAATATTCACCCCCATTTTCCTCTCTAGCCCCTGCTCCTACACTCTAGTCCCACAGACTCTGTGGATATCCTAATCACAGAGACAGAAACAGAGGTGACACTCAGATGTGAGTGATGAAACTTACAATGCTGTAAACAAGACTCAGGACTTAGACTGCCTACTGATGTTCATTCTTGTGCCATTTGTTCAGCAAATATGTATTTAGGAACTCCTGTATAACAGACCTTGTTTCCGGTTCTGGAAATAAGGTAATAAACAAACCAGAGAGACTTGTTTTAAACTCCTGGAATTTATAAACCAAAGAGATGTATGTGATGAGAACAGTACGACTCTGGATAAGAAGGAACCTGTTACCTTAACACTGGCCAGTGCAAACCCAGTCTGGCAGACATCTGTGATCCTCTAGACTTGTAAGGAATCCTATAGCTGTATAGCTCTTTGCATTTAAGGGCAAAACTAGACAAGACAGAACCTCACTCTCATGAATCCATGCCCTAAGAAAGAGAAGAAACTTCCCTCATAGGAACATTGGTGCAGTCTCGCAGTTTTCTTATCAAGTAGGAAAATTAGAACTGCTAAAACTTTGTGCCAGAATTTAAGACAAATAAATTGCCTGGATCATGCATTATTTACAATTATATTTACAATTATATACAGATATTTTCCCTAATATAAATCTGTTGATGAACCACTTATGTGGCATATAAATAGGACTTATTAAAAGTTAGATGCGGTGCTTTAGAAGATATATTAAAATTATTAGAGTCTGACTTAAATTTTTAATAGTAATACAAAATATAAAGTACCACAGCCTTGTTCAGAAGAAACAGGATTTCTGAAATCCACCAGAATAGCTTTCTAAAAGCCAGTATCTTATGGCCTTTAGTGGGCTGAAATACTTATAATGATGGATTGGAAAAATGGATGTTTGAGTGCATAAGGTTCACGAGTATAAGAAACAATTGGTACCTCCTAACTATAGATTGTCAGTTTCAGAGGATGAGAATGAATGTGCCCTCATCCTCATTTTAATTTTGAAAGACAATGCAGATATCCCTACTATAGAATCATTTTTTACATCACCACCTATAGAGATTAACAACAGTAGATGTTTCCAGCTCCCTAAGAGGCCAAGAAGTATTAACCCAAGGTCAGATTCAGGTAATTGATCGTGACTCACGAATTTTCAGAGATCCACAATGGTTGTTTTTAAATTTTCAGCAGTTATGTCTTTTTCTCTGGGGAGAGGGTATTCAAAGCTCCTCATGAGGCCATTCTGGACTACTTTTCCCCTCCTGCCCCCTGCCCATAAAACAGTTTACAGAAATAGGTGTCCAGACCGTGGGCTGTAGTTCACCAACTCCTGCTCTAGCCTAATTTTGTCTCATTACTAGAGCATGGCCATTCTGTGGATGCCAGTGAAGCCTTTCTGGGGTTTCTCTCCAATGCCTTTTAAAGCTTTTTCCTACACAGACACAGTTTACTGTTTAGCCAAAAAATTAAGATAATTCCTCCAGACATCTGGAGTTCTTGTGCAGCTTCCTCCTCTCTGGTGGTCTTTCCTTAAAAATTCTAGCTGCCTCAGCCCCCGCTGATTTTGTAACCTGTTTCCGCAACTCAAAATTTGCCATGCTCTGTTGCTCTCTTCCCCATTGTGTATGTGCAGAAATTGCCCCCATGTTTTGGTGTTTTGGCAGAATCCCAGTCCTGTGCTGTCTGCTTTCCAGTGGCTGAATACAATTGTTTCACATATTCTCTTAATTTGTGTTACTTGTATAGAGCAGGATGCTAAAGGCAATTGGATTCTACAAAGTGATCACGTCACAGAGAAGCCGCCGACAGAGGTGGAGAGAGCCACACAGATAGCCAGCTGCCTGTGCTGCCTGCTCTTCCCCTAATTCTGCCATGAGCCCAATATTCACCTGCATCACAATCCTTTGTCTGCTGGCTGCAGGTAAGTCCCTGTTCTGCAGTTGTCAGCTCCCTGCTCTAAGCCTTTCATCCATGTCATCGAACTCCCTCATGGGCTCAGTCTCCAACTCCTGTCTGCTTTCTTTACAGGTTCTCCTGGTGAAGAAGTCGCCCAGACTCCAAAACATCTTGTCAGAGGGGAAGGACAGAAAGCAAAATTATATTGTGCCCCAATAAAAGGACACAGTTATGTTTTTTGGTACCAACAGGTCCTGAAAAACGAGTTCAAGTTCTTGATTTCCTTCCAGAATGAAAATGTCTTTGATGAAACAGGTATGCCCAAGGAAAGATTTTCAGCTAAGTGCCTCCCAAATTCACCCTGTAGCCTTGAGATCCAGGCTACGAAGCTTGAGGATTCAGCAGTGTATTTTTGTGCCAGCAGCCAATCCACAGTGTTAAATATTAGCTAATCTTAGGACACAGACTCATCACGGACTCAGCTCAGGAAGCAGGTGGTATACTAGGTTGGAAGGAAATAACAGAAACTAGAGCTAGCTTAAGCCAAAGGGGAATGTATTATAAGGCTAAATGTATGTCCCATAGAACCACAAAGCAAGAACACAGGAACTTCCCAGAAATAAACTGCAATGAAACCTTAGAACCGGTGGCTGGCGCCTGTAATCCCAGAGCTTTGGGAGGCCGAGGCGGGAGGATCACAAAGTCAGGAGATCAAGACCATCCTGACTAACACGGTGAAACCCTGTCTCTACTAAAAAAAAAAAAAAAAAAATAGCCGGGCCTAGTGGTGGGCGCCTGTAGTCCCAGCTACTCGCTACTCGGGAGGCTGAGGCAGGAGAATGGCGTGAACCGGGAGGCGGAGCTTGCAGTGAGCCGAGATCGTGCCACTGCACTCCAGCCTGGACGACAGAACGAGACTCCATCTCAAAAAAACAAAAAACAAAAAAAAACCTTAGAACCATGGCATGGCTGATTGACAACTCATTTTTTATATACCTTGTCGGCCTCATTCTTTTATTATAAGTTGTCTTTTCTGTTTCTTAGGTCTTACAGTGATTAGAAAATTGCAGATTTAGGTGTTAGCCCTCCAGTCAATTGAGACCAACGTGACTTTCTCTCATGCTAGATTACAAATCCAGGGTGCAGGGGGAAAAAATGTGATCCTGCTTTACTCAAGAATGGGCTCGTGGAAATCCAAGGGAATTGAATTATTTTGAACAAGATAGTATCTGGGAGTCTGTCCCTCTGACCTTGTGGACCAAGGATTTCAAGGGGTGGAATCCAGTCAGAACATCCAATAGGCACCCATCACAAGTGAGAAGTTGGGGATAATACATTTTCTGGAATATAGAGACCTTGGGAAAAGAGAAGAGTTTGGAGAGGGGATCAAAACCTTATTATTTAGAACAATATCAGACCACGTAAAGAGTCTGGTTAATCTCTCTTTAAGAAATTAAACCGGCCAGGTGTGGTGGCTCACGGCTATAATCCCAGCACTTTGGAAGGCCAAAGCAAGCAGATCACCTGAGGTTGGGAGTTCAAGATCAGCCTGACCAACATGAAGAAACCCCATCCCTACTAAAAATACAAAATTAGCCAGGTGTGGTGGCACATGCCTGTAATCCCAGCTACTTAGGAGGCTGAGGCTGAAGAATTGCTTGAACCTGGGAGGGGGAGGTTGTGGTGAGCCGAGAGCGCACCACTGCACTCTAGCCTGGGCAACAAGAGCGAAACTCTGTCTCAAAACAATAAATAAATAAATAAAATAGAAGGAATAAAAAGAAATTAAACCTAGATAACACAAAAAGCATGTTCATTTTAAGTGTGACAACTTCAGATCCTACAAATTCACTAATTGGCCTCTATGGCACTGAAGGAGAACAGATTAATGTACTCTTGGTGTAAAACATATTAATGCACAGAGAATTAAAAGATCTTCAGGTATATGATTCAAATTGTAATGAGGGGCAATGTACTCAACATCAATATTCCTAATGAGGCATTATGGTATCAACTGTACCTAGGCAGGAGACTACACTTATGTTGAGCAGTTATAGAATTCAAAATAACTCTGTTAAAATTTGATAATCCATTCTGTTCACAGATCTGGTCACCACCTAGCATTCGCTTTGAGAGAAGTTCCTTTATTCTCTCCAGTTACATCTGCTCTTATTTCAGTATAAGTTGAACCCAGTTGTCTTACTTCCAGAAGTCCAAAGTTACTTCTTTTCTTGGGAAAAAAATTTACTGTGACTCCTGGAAACAGAAGTTCTCACTTTATCATTTTTCTGATCTATTTAATATTATACCTTCTCATTTTAAGTTCCTTTTCCCGCTCTCCAGAAGTGAGTGTTCCTTAGCGTTCTGTTCTCGGTCCCCCTCAAGCCCAGTCTTGCTGTTGGTGGTCTACATCTTTGCTTTTGTCACAGGGAAGTCACTCCTCTAGATGCTATCTTCAGCTTTTTCTTGAAATATTTCCATTCTACCAAAACTGTTCTCCTAAAGATTAAAATTACGTATTTCCCAGACCAAAAGACGCATGTGTGTTTCTTTGCCTGCTTGATCTCTTTGAAGCTCTTGACAATACTGACCATGCCCTAAGTCCTGAGCATTAATTTTTGCTCAGTTTCATTTACATCATTTTCAACTAGTTTCTCATTTTCTCTCTATTCTTTTTGTTTTCAATGCAGCTCCCAGAAACTAAATCTATCCATTTAATATTCTTTTTCCCAGGAAAATTCTTCTCATTCTATTTAAAGTGTAATATTCTAGTTTAATGGGAAAGTTTTTTGTTGTTGTTGTTTAGCCTTTTAAAAATCTCTACTGAAAAAATTTTGGATATGAAAATTAGCCAGGCATGGTGGCGGGAGCCTGTAATCCCAGCTACTCAGGAGGCTGAGGCAGGAGAATCGCTTGAAACTTGGAGGCGGAGGTTGCAGTGAGCTGAGACTGCACCACTGTGCTCCAGCCTGGGCAATGGAGAGAGACTCCATCTCAAAAAAAAAAAAAAAAGAAAAGAAAAGAAAAAATTGTGAAATGTGGTCTGAGACAACTTTTCTCAGTGTCACCTGAGGCATGGGTTAAACAGGTATATTCTAGGACAGGTTCAGAATTTCAGAGTCGAAATTTCTTGTTGGTGGACTTTAGGAATACGTATCATTGCTCCTGAGTATTTCTGTTAGTGCTGAAGTTCTGCCCCAAGGACTTCGTAAGATTAATAACATCGCAAATCTTCTGTAGTGCTTTAAAATTTTGTTCTTCATTTTTTTATTCTCACTTTCTTCTCTTTCCTTTTCCACTTCCTCTTATGTTTTCCTTAATCTTCAACTTTCCTAAGCACCTGCAAGTGGGATTGGAGCCTTGTTTAACATCGTCCATGTAGCAAAATAAGGATGAGGCCAAATATTTGAACCAAGGATCCCCATCTCCTATGGAAGGTGCCCTGAGGTTGTGGGTGTTGCTGGGGACATGATGTCATGGCCAGATCCTACATCATGCGGCCAAGGGAACCCAGAACTTTCACTGCTCTTTGCTACTGCACATCAGAACCCATCGCTGGGAGTGTCTTGCACTGCCTGACCTCACCATGGATATCTGGCTCCTCTGCTGGGTGACCCTGTGTCTCTTGGCGGCAGGTGGGTCCAGGTATACTTAAACATTTGCATAAAGATGTTTTTGGCTGGGCGTGGTGGCTCACAGCCGTAATCCCACCTTTTTGGGAGGTTGAGGTGAGTAGATCACCAGAGGTCAAGAGTTCGAGACCAGCCTGGTCAACGTGGTGAAACCCCTTCTCTACCAAAAAATACAAAAATTAGCCAGGCGTGGTAGTGTGCTCCTGTAGTCCCAGCTACTTGGGAGGCTGAGGTGGGAGGATCACTTGAATCTGGGAGGTAGAGGCTGCAGTGAGCAGAGATCACGACATTTCACTCCAGCCTGGGCAACACAGAGAGACCCTATCTCAAAAAAAAAAGATGTTTTCTTTGGGCTTCCCTTCACCTTCTATGGCTTCCGTCTTCTTCCACAGGACACTCGGAGCCTGGAGTCAGCCAGACCCCCAGACACAAGGTCACCAACATGGGACAGGAGGTGATTCTGAGGTGCGATCCATCTTCTGGTCACATGTTTGTTCACTGGTACCGACAGAATCTGAGGCAAGAAATGAAGTTGCTGATTTCCTTCCAGTACCAAAACATTGCAGTTGATTCAGGGATGCCCAAGGAACGATTCACAGCTGAAAGACCTAACGGAACGTCTTCCACGCTGAAGATCCATCCCGCAGAGCCGAGGGACTCAGCCGTGTATCTCTACAGTAGCGGTGGCACTGCATGGCTGAGTCAGTTCCCTCCAGGGTGCAAACCCTCTGGCTGCTCTTCTCCCAGTTGAACTCCAAGAAAACATTTGAAAAAGCCTCTTCCTTATCTTCCTACCCCAGAAGAAAGAAGCGAGTTGATTGTTGTGGCTGCAGCTGCTACCGGGAGAGTACAAGACCATGAATTAAGGTCTTAAATGGTCATGATGGGCACACTGGACAATGGGCTCCTGAAACTACCCAAATACAAAATGAGACATTCTGTGGATCAGGAGGAATCCACATGTTTAGAAGGAAGGGCCCCAGACCAATTTCCAAGTTCAGAGACCAGCTATCTGAGGTTGATATTACTTACCAAAACACAAAAACATTCCTACTGATTTTATCTCAAACACAGTTCTCCTGCAAACTCTTCCCCCACCAACGTACCCCAGCAGAGGCAATGACATGTACATTTATGGAACAGCCTGTTGACTACTGCAGATCCATCTCTTCAATAAGACCAACTTTCCCTGGAGGTCAGTGACTAAACCAAACCGCAAGGCAGACAGCAACACGACCCTCTTAGGGGATGGATGCCAGAGAAACACTGACTAAAATCCCCACTCGGGGACTGTCCTAGCACATTCAGTTCCTCACACAGCTGCCCAGGGGAGCGCGACGTTTTATTCTGTTACTTCAAACACTCATCTGTTCCTCTCTCTCTCTTGCAGGCCCTAGACTCACAGACACTGGAATTAGAGTCAGAAAAATTGCTTTCTAATCCCAAAACTGGTTTTGTTTACTCCCCTTCAGCTGTGAAATCTTGGCAAATGCTCTTACTTCTCTGGGACTCAGTGTCCTCCTCTTCAAAATTAGAGACTTGCTCCACTTAGTCTCTAAGATCTGATACAAATATGATTATTTGACTTGCTATTTATTTATTTATACAAATATTAGAATATTTATGTATACATTTAACATAAATATATTTATATTTAATAAAAACATAAAATTTATAACATTTTATATAAATTTATATCAATAATATATATTTATTGATATACTTATATCACATAAGAGATATATAAATATATGCAAATATATTTTATGTAAATTTTAATACAAATATAAAAAATACATTTTCTATATAAGTATATATAAATACTTATATATAAATGTATTTTATACATTTATATATAAATATATATATAAATATATATTTATATATAAATACAAATACTTATATATATTTATATATAAGTATTAATATATAAATATATGTGTTTATATATTATTATATATAAATAATATATAAATATATGTGTTTATATATTATTATATATAAATAATATATAAATATATGTGTTTATATATTATTATATATAAATAATATATAAATATATGTATTTATAATATTTATCTATTTATCTATCTACAGCTATTTTACACATGTGACAATCAGGGTTGCGATGGAAGACATCACTACAAGCTGGAAAATATGAACATAATTACATATGCAGATAACACAGATCCAGAGACTATCTGATTGCAAGGAACATTATAGATCACCCCTATATACCATAACTTTGAAGCTAATTTGAAATGTGGTTTGTGAAAGTATTATACATTTCCTGCAATCCCCTCCACTGCTGCTAGATGGCAGTAAAGGAACGTGTTAGAAAGTCTGGGGAGGGGACCTCATGATTTATTTACCGCGCAGTCATGATTTACCACGCAATCACGGTTTAGTCTTGTTGTCCTGTCATAATTAATAGTATCCTCTTTCACATACAAAAGTGTCTCAATTTGAACATTAAACTATACGGTCATTGTAGATAATGACACAAATGATAGCATCTCTGTTGAAAGTAAATTGTTTATTAATGTTGCAGTACCTTCATTTCTTTGTTTCGGTTTAATGAAATAGATTTTTTAAATTATAGAATAAATAAACACGAAGCTATAGCATTGGTCTGCTTTTTGTCATTTTACTATTTAAATATATCTCAGCCCTACTTACAGTTTGTATTAGCGATATGTGGTGTATGAAGCCTCAACTTAAAAACTCAGCTTGGTCTTCGTAGTGCTTCTGTCACTGTCTGCCCAGCACCCACTGCCTCTCAATGTGTTCCAACGTTTCCCAATTCCTACCTGCTAATAAACCTACCAGGATATTTCCAGACCTATTTTCTCTGTGAAGAAAACCAAGCGACATTGACTTTCCCTCATTCATCTACTAATACATAAATGTCACCACATGCCAGTGACAACGGGGTAAAATAAGTAATAAAAGTGAAATAGGATAAAAGAATTGTTATACATTTATTGGCCTTCCGGAGAAATCCACCCTCTTCTCTCTAGTCTCCTGCGCACCCTGCCAACAATGTCATTGGCTGTAAAAATACCTCATGTTCATTTAACACTCTACAGTTTACTGAGTAATTTGTTGTTTTATTTTCATGCTTTAATTATATGTTTCCAGGTTCTCTGAGCTTTTGAGCTCCTGCTCTTCCCAGATGGGCTTTCATAACAAGGCCAGCCCCTTTCTCTCTCCCCTTCCGCCAGTGCCCATCATTTGAACCAAATTTTCTTCCTGTCTCTCTTACTTGATTCTTTCCCAACCTGTGCCTTCTGTTTGGTCTCTTAAAATATTTCCCTATTCAGTGATAACTCCCTTAATGAAGGCATCTTTATTGACTGCCTTGGAAATCCTCAGAATTATAGAAACATCTTTCATGTCCACCTTGGCATGTTTTATATGTTTCACATATATTTTCATAAATAATAAAAAAGTTATATATTTTCCATACGTAATAAAAATGTCCCTTCAACATGCGTAATATATAACAAGATTAGTGATCTTCCACCTAATGTCTTGGACAATGTGACTTCTGTCTGATAGGTATAGTCTTTGACCCCTACTTACTCATGATTAAAGAAATACCTTTCTCTCAAAGGAACTATCTGTGTTCACAGCGTTAAGTCTCATCCTGGATGCTGCAAGAAGACGTTCAAATGTCCACTGCCCACCCAGGTATGTGATGCTGCCTGCCATGGGTCACTAGAAGGTGATAGTTAAAAGTGTAGGCTCTGGAATCAAACAATGCAGACCACAATTCTGGCTCCTCTGCTCAAATGCTATGTGAACGTGAGCAAGACTGTGAACCTCTCTATGCCTCACTTCCTCACCTCTAAAATGAAGATAATAGTACCTACCTGAGGCTGAGCACAGTGGCTCATGCCTGTAAATCCCAGCATTTTGGGAGGCCGAGGTGGGTGGATCATCCCAGGTTGGGAGTTCGAGACCAGCCTGACCAACATGGAGAAACCCTGTCTCGACTAAAAATACAAAATTAGCTGGGCGTGGTGGCACATACCTGTAATCCCAGCTACTCAGGAGGCTAAGACAGGAGAATCTCTTGAACTCGGGAAGCGGAGGTTGTGGTGAGCCAAGATTGCACCATTACACTCCATCCTGGATGACAAGAGTGAAACTCTGTCTCAATAATAATAATAATAATAATAATAATAATAATAATAATAATACCTACCTGATAGTATTGGGTTAAATAAGATAATTCATGAAAATCCCTAGTGTGGTGCCTAAAACTCAAACGCTAATATACATAGGTTTGGCCTAATATTATGAGGTGTTATTATTTAGGATTGCTGTGCTTCAGCTTTTTGTTGAGTTTCACGGTTTGGCTCTTACTGGACCACTGACAGAAGCAACTCCATGACTGGTTATTCTGTCATTACCCCCAGATACTGTGCGATACCTTCCAAATCTACTACAAACAACGAGTGTGCATTTCTCTTGCTTGTTCCATCCAAGAGGAAAGAGATCTGTCCAGAGATGTCATTCTGCTTCAGTCAACCCAGCCGTGCCAGACAATATCAGCATAAATGTCAAAATTACCATATGTGGTCAACATATGCTGATACTGTGACCATATGCTACATGGGACTTGTTCCCTTAATTGTGAATAAGAGAACTATTCGTGTAGGTGTTATTATCCCCAATTTTATAGGCTCAGAAAGAGTAATACTTGGTCCAATGTCTCACAACTGTATGTTTCATGGCAAAGATTGGAAATGAAGCAATAACTTTTTTCTAGTAAAATTACAAGAATGACCTTAATTTCTTTCTAAGCAAACGTAGCGTATCATCACAACAGTTATGTTAAATCAGCTCAATAATCTCCTAGAAGAACATATTATAATATTCATTAGAGGTGGTATGGGCTTTAAGAGGGAGAAAAAACTAGGCAGGATATTGCTATACGTGAAGTACCATGCTAGATATTTCACATATGGTATTTCATTTCATCCATACCAGCAACCCAAAATTATGTTATTTATCCCTGTTTTACTAACAAAGAAATTGAAGTTTAAGGAGGGTAAGTGCAGGATGAACACTAAGCCAATTGTAGAGCTGGCTTTTGTAATCAGGGATTTTATTTAATTCGATTTGCTCTACTATCATCATGTTGAATTAAGAATGGCAAAGGGCTGGGTGCACTGGCTGACACCTATAGTTCTAGCTACTCGGGAAACTGAGGCAGGAGGGTTGCTTGATCCCAGGAGTTCGAGGCTGCAGTGAGATATGGTCATGCCACCGAACTCCAGCCTGGGTAACAGAATGAGACCCTGTCTCTAAAAATTTAAAAAAAAAAATAAGAAATTTTCAAAAAAGAATAAAAATTAAAAAATATATATATTTTAAGGCTGGGTGCGGTGGCTCACGCCTGTAATCCCAGCACTTTGGGAGGCTGAGGCGGGCGGATCACGAGGCGGGAAATCAAGACCATCCTGGCTAACATGGTGAAACCCCATCTCTACTGAAAAATACAAAAAATTAGTCGGGCGTAGCGGCGGGCGCCGGTAGTCCCAGCTACTCGGGAGGCTGAGGCAGGAGAATGGCATTAACCCAGGAGGCGGAGCTTGCAGTGAGCTGAGGATCATGCTACTGCACTCCAGCCTGGGCGACAGAGTGAGACTCCCTCTCAAAAACAACAACAACAACAACAACAACAAAAATTTAAAAAAATGTGTGTGTGTGTGTGTGTGTGTGTGTATACATATATATACTTTTTTTTTTTTTTTAAAGAATGAGAAAGGAACTAGAACAAGCAGAGAGAAAAAGCCCAGGGGCACGACAGCTAAAGGATGACTAATGGAAGTTGAAAATAGGAAGCTGAAAGGTACAGAAATACTGCGGGAAGACAAACTACAAATTATGTGGAGAAAGACAAGAATAAGAACAGTTCCCAGAGGTCTGAACACAGCACATTATGTCTTCTTGCTATACAGTGGCCACCAAACTTGTCAATACTGTAGGCAAATGCTAGTGTCATTGCTTGTGGCTAAGCAGAAATTTTGACACTTGGGAAGGTTGGCATGAGATTGAACAGTTGCCATGGTGACCTGCCATAGATATTTTGATTGATGATGAGTAGACACAAAGTGCCAATGCTTAAGACCTAGCTTCAGATACTTAGGATTTAGTGGAGAGGCTGTTTTGACTATTTCTTTTCTTTTCTTTTCTTTTGAGACAGAGTGTCGCTCTGTCTCCCAGGCTGGATGGAGTGCAGTGGCACGATCTCGGCTCACTGCAAGCTCTGCCTCCCGGGTTTACGCCATTCTCCTGCCTCAGCCTCCCGAGTAGCTGGGACTACAGGCGCCCACTACCATGCCCGGCTAATTTTATGTACTTTTAGTAGAGACCGGGTTTCACCGTGGTAACCAGGATGGTCTCCATCTCCTGACCTCGTGATCCGCCCACCTCGGCCTCCCAAAGTGCTGGGATTACAGGCGTGAGCCACCACGCCCGGCCTGACTATTTCTGACATCTGACTTAGGCTGCACAGGAGGTGGGGTTTCTTGACAGGGAGGAGCTAATGTAGGGACTGTGATGTGCCAGGCTATTTGGGTTGGGGTGGAGAAACCACAGAGAGACAGACATAAGCTCTCTCCCTTATTTATAGGACATACCTACTGGTCCTGCCCTAGGCCCCAGATTCTTTGTTAGTGGCCTTTTCTACTGGGAGCAGGTGGGGCATTCCAGTTTCAGGTGTTCTGGGACCTGGCTTGAAGTTTTTCACTGATGGCTGCATCATTAGGCTCGCTCTTTTGCCCTTTCCTCAGTTCCTGTCTTTTTTTCACTTTCAGTCACCTAGAAACGACAATATCCAATCAGAAGTTGAGAATGAGACAAGTTTGGGAAGACATTGAGGAATGTCTCATATTGTGGTATTGATAAATCTAGAGATGGGGCCACAGCTTGCTTATAGCTGCTTAGAGTAAAATGATTAATCAGAAAAAGTAATTTCCAAGGATTTGTAGTCAGTCTGCCTGAGGCTAATACATTTATTCACAGCAAAATATCTGCTGCCTAAAATGACTCTGCAAGTTACCCCTACAATACCAGCTACTCAGAGTGATGCAATCACCTGGTTGCAATAGGAAATTATCCTGGCTTCAGTTATCTAGTAGAACAGGTGTACATATCAATCTTAGAGCTCTTGAGAAGACCCAGTAGCCCCAGACCCGTGCAATTATATTATAAGCACTCAAGTAACTTCTCAGCTAAAGGAAGAATGATGAAGCAGGAAAGAGAGAAAAATGATTTGTATTTTTTGTGGTTAACTTGCTTAGAAATTTTAGGGAGGATAAACTCAATCTTGACTAATAGGAAATTTAATTAATTTAGAGAGTTATTAAATAATAGCTCCTCCACATCAGGGACTATGATAAATGTTATTAACAACACAAAGAAGAATAAGACTTTCCCTTCTAGGAACATACCATTTAGTGGGAAGAAAGACAGACAGATACACACACACATACACACACACATGCACATACACTTAAACAGAAGTGGTAGAGGCTGAGGGAAATCCCATAAGATAGACATAAAGAAAGTGCTCCATTTGCTCAGAGTTAGAGGTGAAAACCAAGAATATTGGCAGAAAAGAATGTTTTAAAGCAACTTTGAATGATTCTTCCAATGATATTGGAATTAGAAAATGAAGGTTTAGGCAGAGTGGGGAGCAGGACAGTCACTGAAGTGGGAAGGCACACATGGGCTCAGCAAAACCGGAGCACAGTGTAATATCATTAGGGGTGAAGTCAAGAAAAGTAGCTTAAAATTAAGCCATAGAGAATCCAAAGATTTTAAATTTTCTTTTGATTTCAAAAATGATCTTTTCATATTATTGAGCCAGAAAATAATTAAGTCATCTATATATTAGACAAAGTTGTCAAAAGCAACTAAATGGAGGGATGTTAAAATGGGAAAGAAAAAAGCTAGCACATTTAACCTATAGCTAACAATACTGTATTATACACTTAAAAATGTGTTAGCAGGGTAAGTCTCATAGCACAAACAATAAAATAAATTTCTTAAAGAAAAAGTTAACTATTGGAATAGCCTAGACAAGAAATTATGAGGCTTTGAACTGAAACAACAGGAACAGAATTTGAAAGAGGAGAATAAACCCTTGGGATACAGAATGAACAAAATTTTAACACTGTCTGCTGTAAAAAGTGAGGGAGATCAGAGGGATTAAGGTGACCCTTGGATTTCAAGAATAAAAATATGGCCAACAAATCCAGGGAACACAGATGAAAGAGAATATTCAATAAAGAAGACATACAAATTCAAATGGGGTCATTCTGAAATTGTGGCACATTTGAGATATCCTCATATCTATCCTTATAATCAAAACAAACTCACTATCTGCTCATTCTATGACCAGTGACCTCACTCACTGCTGCCTTATACTTCAGGGCTTACACGTAGACACACACACACACAGGCACACACACACACACACACACACACACACACTAAGAAAAGTAGCTTAAAATTAGACCATAGAGAATCTAAAATTTTAAAATTTAGAACAGATCTTCATCTGAGCCAGGAACCATTCATCTATGGCTTCTGTCATTTAATAGAATAAACAAAATCTGCATATGAATCCATGCAGAACTCCAAGTTCAGCATGGTTTCTCACTGTTCTCAGAGCTGGTACCTGAAGCTGCAGGTGTGCATTCTCTGCCACACTCTGTAATGGATGAGTGGAAATTCTTCCATAAAGCTTTTGTCTATTGGGAGCAGGTAAGTCTAGGCAAAGTATGCACAATTTTTTTTTCTGGGATACCCAGTGGAAAAAAATAGAAAAGCATCATTTTTAAAGTACTGAAAGAAAAAAAGTCAACCTGAAACAACCTCATTCTAGCCAGGGAAATTAGTCATTTCAAGAAAATAAGAGACAATCAGACTAGAAAGGAAGATATAAAACAATCTCTAACTACAGTTGACACTTGACATAATCTTGTATATAGAAAATATGAATTCTCATACACATACACATGTACACAGACAACTCCACTAGATTTAATAGGCAAGCTCAGCAAGGTGCAGAATAAAAGATTGATACCAAAAGTTCTATTGTATGTCTGTATGTTAGCAATGATATGAAAATGAAATTAAGAGCAGAATTATGTGTATAATTCCAACAAAATAATAAAATATCTTGGCATAAATTAAACAACAACAAAAAAAAAAAACAGAAAAGACTTGTGGGCTGAAAGGTGCAAAATATTGTTGAAATTAAAGACCTAATAGAAAGATACTCCATGTTCATGGGTTGGAGGGCTTAACATTGTTAAGTGGCAACACTCCCCAAATTGATTTATAGATTCATCTCTGTCAAAATTTCAAAATTCTAGTTGTATTTTTTTTTTGGAAACTGATAAACCAAAGTAAAAATTCATATGGAAGTCCCAAGTACCAAGATCAGCCAAAACAATGTTGTAAAAGTAGAAAAAATGTTGGGCAACTCACACTTCACAATTTCAAAGCTTATTACTAAACTACATTATTCAAAACAGTATGGTTCTGGAACAGGATAAACATATAAATCAATGGAATAGAATTGAGAACCCTCAAATAAATTCATAAATTTATGGGCAATTAATTTTAGACAAGAGTGCCAGCCAAGACCATTCAATGGGGAAAGAATGGTAAATGGTACCAGGAAAACTGTGTATGTATGTGTAAAAGAGTGAAGTTGTATCTTGTCTCATACCATAAACAAAAAATAACTCAAAATGAATTAAAGACCTAAATGTAGAAGCTAAAACTCTTGGAAGAAGGCATAGGTATACATCTTTGTGACCTTGGTGTGTATGTAACCAGCAGCAAATCCATATGGGTCTGCAGTAAACTCAATTCTAGCTCCTAGGAGGAGAGAATTTGGCCAAGGGGCAGAAAGAAGTTTAAGGCAGAGGAAAAGACCCGGGCAAGTTTTAGAGTAGTAGTAAAAGGAAGCAAAGTATACTTGGAAGAGGGCCAAGCGGGTGACCTGAGAGACCTAAGGGCCCTGTTTAGCCCTTGACTTAGGGTTTTACACATCACCATGGTTCTAGGGTTTGTGTTTCTCCTCCCTTGATGTTTTCACCTTGGGGCAAGCTGTCTGTGTGCTCAGTGGCCTGCCAGCACTTGGGAGGGGCTGCTCATGTAGTGTTCTTACTGGAGTTGCGCACATGCTCACTTGAGGCATTTTTCCCTTACCAGTGGGGTGTTCCTAGAGTCATATGTTAGTTAAACTCCGTCATTTAGCCTCTGTGCACATGCTTGAGCCCACTCGCCCAACTCCAGAGATCTTATCGGGAAGCTGCTGATTACAAGCTCCAGATGTTTTTTTATCTATGTGGAAACTGTCTTTCCCGGATGCTGGTTGTGACTAATTATCATCTTTGAGAGACAGTTTAACAACCACCTGACCATCACCTGATGATCACCTGACATTCTGGAGTGTGTGTGGTGGGGGTCGGGGGGAGGGGGGAGAGGGGGTCTCTTCTCGTGCCCTCTTCATATCTGCCTACCTATTCTAACAGGTATACATGAAGCAGATTCGCTGTGCACTGTTACTAATTCCAGGGGATTGTGTTAATTTTCCAGGGAGAAATGCATGAAGGATAGTGGAGGTCATCACCATGCCAACCACCACTTCACAGCCCACTGCATCTTGAACTGCAATTTCCATCACTTGCCTGATTCATATAACAAGTTGAGCAAAGCAAATTTATTACTCACAGACAGGCAGCAAAGGACAGTAGAAGCTTAGGATTCATGGTGAGTTTGTCTCTCAAGGCTCAGAAAAACTACACAGGATGGATAGAATCTTGCCTGCATATGCCTCATGTTGCATTGCAGCTGAGTGGCTCTGAAAGTGCACTCTGTCCTGGGTTTTAAACCCAGGGGCTACATTTAATGGGTTAAAGCACTGTGGGACATCCTGTTCCAGGAGAGACAAGAACAGAGGCCAGGATTTTCCTGCCAGTTCCTCATTATCACAGGATGTGGTATTGCTAGCACATCCTACAGTTATTCTTAAGAACTATAAAAGAGAAAAGGGAGATCCACATTGCCAAGGCCATCCAGGGACTTATCCTTCAGAGTAGGCAGTGACTTCTTAAATATGAAACTCAAAACACAGGCAACCAAAGAAAAAGATAAATTTGACTTAATAACATTTTTTAAAGTCTGTGCTTCAAAGGACACTTTCAAGAAAGACAACCCCAAAATGGATATATACTTGCAAATCATATATCTCACAGGGAATTGTATCAAGGATATATAAAGAACTCTTACAACTCAATAATATAAAGACAAATAACCTAATTTAAAAATGAGAAAGGATCTAAACATGTCTCCAGAGAAGATCTGCAAATGGCCAAAAAATACATGAAAGATGCTCAGCATCATTAGTCGTTAGTGAAATGCAAATCAAAATCACAATGAGATACCACTTCACACCCAGTAGGCTGTAATAAAGATACCCAGACAATAGCAGGTGTAGGCATAGATGTGAGGAAATTGGGACCCTCAAGAATTGCTGGTGCCATTGTGTAAAACAGTCCAGCAGTTACTCAAAAGTTAAACATAGAATGACCATGTAACCCAGCCATCCCTCTCCTAGGTATACCCCTCAGACAATAAAAAATATGTTCACGTAAAAAATTTATACACACACTTCAAACAGTATTATTCATATTACTCAAAAAGTGGAAATATCCATCAATTGATGAGTGGATTAACTAAATAGGTTTTATTTCTAAAATAAAACTGGTGATAAAAAGGAACAAAGCACTGATACATGCTATACCATGGATGAACATTGAAAAGCTATATAAAGTGAAGAAGGCAGGCACAAAGGGGCACATATTGTTGGACTTCATTTATATAAAATGTCTAGAATAGACCGGGTGCAGTGACTCACGCCTGTAATCCCAGCACTTTGGGTGGCTGAGGCAGGCGGATCATGAGGTCAAGAGATCGAGACCATCCTGGCCAACATGGTGAAACCCCGTCTATACTAAAAATACAAAAATTAGCTTGTAGTGGTGCGCGCTCGTAGTCCCAGCTACTCAGGAGGCTGAGGCAGAAGAATCACTTGAACCCGGGAGGCAGAGGTTGCAGTGAGCCGAGATCGCACCACTGCACTCCAGCCTGGCAATAGAGCAAGACTCAGTCTCCAACAACAAAAACAGAGTCTAAAATAGGCAAATTCTTAAAGACGGAAAATAGATTAATGATTGCCATGGGCTGTGGGAAGGAATAAAAGTGAAATGACATCTAATGATAAAGAATTTCTTTCTGGGGTGATAGAAATATTCTGGAATTCATGGTGACAGTTACAGCTTTGTGAATATACTAAAAACCACTTAATTATATATTTGAAAGGGTGGATGTTATGGTATGCAAATTATATTTCAATTTTAAAGAAAATGTCAACACTCAACATGAAAATATTCAAAATTACAGCTCCAACATCAGAATAAAGACTATATTTTTGGATCTCTAGGATTCTGATATGAGTAAGACCATGAGTCATTATTATTTGGACACTAAATGTTAACATGATCTTATTTATTATTCAAGTCATACACCTAACTCCTCTGGGGTGCCTATCCAATGGAGTGAGATTGTGCCTTGTTTCCTGTATCTTTCTTTCACTACTCCTGGGACAAAGTAGACTTTCACATAATTTTTATTCAATGCTGCAGGATGAGAAAGGACAGAAAAATGGGAGGAAGAGGCTGGGCGTGGTGGCTCACGCCTATAATCCCAGCACTTCAGGAGGCCGAGGTGGGCAGATCATGAGGTCAGGAGATCGAGATCATCCTGGCTAACACGATGAAACCCAGTCTCTACTAAAAACACAAAAAATTAGCCAGGCGTGGTGGTGGGCGCCTGTAGTCCCAGCTACTCGGGAGGCTGAGGTAGGAGAATGGCGTGAACCCAGGAGGTGGAGCTTGCAGTGAGCCGAGATCACGCCACTGCACTCCAGCCTGGGTGACAGAGTGAGACTCTGTCTCAAATAAATAAATAAAAAATAAAAAGGGAGGAAGGAAGATCTCTCAAACACAGGCATCCCATGCATGACTACAGAGAATGATACAGATAGGTATGCAGAATAACGGGACCTGAGGTCAGAGGGGGAAGTCTTTTTAGAGTTTGTTCTTTGAATCACTTATATTGAAAATTCAAGTGGAATAAGTGAAGGTGACAAAAGTGAATTACAAATCTTAAAGTTCCCTGAAAATGCTTGAAGCCATCCCTTAGCTGAGGTGTGGGAGTGAAAAAGCAAACTGAGACAATGTGAAATCATTTTCTATCTCGAATTTTCCCTCCAGCAATGTTGGTGTCCACTTCCCTGTCTCTTAATGGGTGCATCTATATATCACCTCTTGTCAATACCTCTACTCAGCAACAGCCAGAAAATAGAAAGATTATATAAGCCAATAAAAGGAAAATAAAGGAACAAAAAATAAGAATAGTGGAGAGATCATCTACTTGGGAGGCTGAGGTGGGGAGGATTGCTTGAGCCCAGGAATTTGGGACCAGCCTGGGCAAACAGCAAGACCCCATTTATGAAAAAAATGAATAACATTATCTGGGTATGGTGGCTTGTAGTCCTAGCTACTTAGGAGGCTGAGATGAAGGACTCACTTGACTGATCCTAGGAGATTGAGGCTGTAATGAGATATGATTGCACTGCTGCACTCCAGCCTGGGCAGCGGAGCTAGATCCAGTCTTGAAAAAAAAAGAAAAAAAAGGTGAAGAGGGAAAAAAAAGAACGAGTAATAGAGGTGCTTACTTCACAACACTAACCTCACAAACACACACTAAGCTAGGTTGTGTGTATAGGTCAGAACAAAAGATCTACCATTTAACTGACATATAAGATTGGTTCTCGAAACCATAGGACCCACTGGAAATGGTGACCTCACAGGAAGATGCATCTTGTAGGAGGCAGCTGTGAGGTCTGGTTCCCCGACGTGCTGCAGCAAGTGCCTTTGCCCTGCCTGTGGGCTCCCTCCATGGCCAACTCTGCTATGGACACCAGAGTACTCTGCTGTGCGGTCATCTGTCTTCTGGGGGCAGGTGAGTTTTCAGCTAAAGGATCACCATCACTGGGCTTTGTTTTGGGCTCTACAGCAGATTCTCAAATATACCCTGGACCTCTGTGTTGACCAAATATTTTGTGAAAGGTATTGACATTTATATGAAAACAAATAATTGCATTATGGAGTAAAAAGCAAAATTCATGTGAGTTTTTAAATGAACGCAGGAGACTTCAAACAGGCTCCTTCACTGTAAGACATTCATCCTTCTGCCATTACAACTCTGTCTCATGCAGTCTCTTCTCCTCTGAGGTCTCTCAAATGCCGGCGTCATGCAGAACCCAAGACACCTGGTCAGGAGGAGGGGACAGGAGGCAAGACTGAGATGCAGCCCAATGAAAGGACACAGTCATGTTTACTGGTATCGGCAGCTCCCAGAGGAAGGTCTGAAATTCATGGTTTATCTCCAGAAAGAAAATATCATAGATGAGTCAGGAATGCCAAAGGAACGATTTTCTGCTGAATTTCCCAAAGAGGGCCCCAGCATCCTGAGGATCCAGCAGGTAGTGCGAGGAGATTCGGCAGCTTATTTCTGTGCCAGCTCACCACCCACATTGATGCAGAGCCACATCCTCTCAGTCCACAAACATCCTCCAGACCTGCCTTGGAAACAGCGGTGGGCCAGGAAGGGAAACGCGTTACCTGTACAGTGAACAGGTCAGCTCTACGGTATTCTGCAAGTTGAGGGTGGAAATAGGGGAGGATTGTAGGAATAGCATGAAACATCCCAGGCTACGCTCAGAAACTAAGACTCTGTCATCCAAAGAACATAAAGATTTTTAAGAACTAGACATAATTTTTCAGTTTCAACATTGACTTAATTTGTCAGTTTCAAAACACTTAGCAGTGTAACTCTGTTTTTTACTCCACACTGTATGTCAAGTTCTATATTTCATGCTTTACATCAATAATTTTATTTAATCACCAAGACACACAAGCAAAGGAAGTGCTTTCTTCCTTTTCACCAAGAGAAATTATGGTCCTAGGAGTTAATTTTTAGAAAGAAAGAGACAGAGAGATGGGGGAAGAAAGGGGAGGGGAGGGGACAGGAGGAGAAGGGAAGGGAGGGGAAGGGAGGGGAGGGGAGGGGAGGGGAGGGAAGGGAGAAGGAAACCTAGTAGGTGGCAAAAAGCATTTGGCTCAAAGGGTTATGATTTTTATCTCACATCATGCTGCTTAGCATTCTTTTAGGCATAATCCTTGTTCTGTTCCTTGCTGAGTACCCGTGCAGGTTTTTACGGATGCTAGGTTCAAGAATTCCTGCTATAAAATTATAGAACATCTGAGAGATGATGGAAATAGAGTTGGATAAATTTGTCTAGAATTTAGGGAAAAGGTCTGGCCCACAGATATTGTTCATTAGAAATGTGTCACCTCAACTTTTTGTCTTAATGTTTGTTTTTATTCTCATCACTCAACAGATATAGGCCACCTACAGAAAAAGATTTGTTATAATTTGCTTTGATGAAACAATTTCATAAAATCAAAAGGCAGACAAAAGCAAAGTCATTTCAAATATATGTGCAGACTAAGTCCAGCCTCACCAGCTTGGAGTATAAACCATGTGATTCCACTGCAGTTTTTGCCCTTTGATTTTCTAAAATCATTTAATGTACTCCTGCCCCTCCCTCACTTTACCCAAAAGGAGAAAAACCCAGAAAATCTTCCAGGAAGACAGAAGAGGGACACCGGCTTGGGAGCCTGAGAAAGATCCAGAGAGATTTCCAGAAAAAGACCAACCCTGAGACCCCAGCAAGGCTGCAGAGAAGATGGATTCCAAACTTCATGCCATTTAAAGCACCAGACATGTAATTTAAAGAAACAGTCTTCCAAAGGTAGTGCTTTACAGGGAGGGGAAAAAAAGGCAAAGAGGAAGAAAGAGGGTCTTCTGGCAATTCAATAGTGAGGAGAAAAAGAGGAAAAAGGGGAAAACTGAGAATTCTGCAAAACAAAAGGAAATCACAAATCAAGAGGACCCACAACCAGCCCCACTACGAAAACAAACAAAGCTCACTAAGGAGTCTGGATTTTGCTAGAATGATGGCCAAAGGAACATTAGACTAGGAATTTTGTAAAACACCTCAATAACACGAAAATGAGCAAGATGAAAGTAATACCCGTACAACAAAGGAAAACATCTCACCTCTGTTCCCTGTTCCCTCATCTCAAAAGCAATCATGAGTCAGAAGATAATGTAAGTCTACACTCCAAACAGAAATAAATACACTCAAGGAAGCAGCTGAGGATATAAGTGACCATAACCAGACCAGGACTTTAAAAACTCAGACTACAAATGGCCAAAATGGGAAGACATCAGAAAAAAACACAAATTGATTGAACCCAGGAGGGACATGAAAGAAAAAGACAAAGTTATCCCAGTCATGCAAAATAAAAGATGACCAAGGGAGAATAAACCCAAATGAAAATTTAGTCAGGACATTGAACAAAGGCAAAGAAACAAGTAGCAGAATGAGAAGGACATGAGTGAAACCAGCCAGTTAGAAGGCGGTCAAAGAAGGCGAGGTCTTGGTATGATTGCATGAGGGGCCTGGAACAGCAGCACTGGGCTCTGTGCAGCAGGACGGCTAAGCAGCAGGTTGTCACAGTGGCCACAGCACTACTGGCCAGACCCCAGGAGTCACAGTTTCCCTGAGAGAGCTGAGGGCATAAACAATGATAAGTTCTCCAGGGGATGGACTTCTTAAATACTCTGAGTTCATCATTACACATTCTATGCATGTAGCAAAATACCACAGGCACCCACAAATAGGTACACATATTATGTATCAATGTTTTTTTAAAAAAAGGAAAAATAAATGAATTCCACATTCTTGTATAATCAGAGTATCTACAGCGCTCCTGGAGTAACCCAAACCTTATGGTTGCTGGAAAGATAAAAAACCAATGGGCCAATTGGGGTGAAACTCTGGCCCGGAAACGTGGGGTGCCAGCCCCCTCAGCACAGATGCAATGCAGAGTTATGGGAGGTGCGAATGACTCTGCTCTCTGTCCTGTCTCCTCATCTGCAAAATTAGGAAGCCTGTCTTGATTATCTCCAGGAACCTCCCACCTCTTCATTCCAGCCTCTGACAAACTCTGCACATTAGGCCAGGAGAAGCCCCCGAGCCAAGTCTCTTTTCTCATTCTCTTCCAACAAGTGCTTGGAGCTCCAAGAAGGCCCCCTTTGCACTATGAGCAACCAGGTGCTCTGCTGTGTGGTCCTTTGTTTCCTGGGAGCAAGTGAGTCCTGGGTTCAGGGAGAAAATTCCTATCTGGAGTGCTGCAAGTTCCAAATCTAAGGCCTCCCCGAGGGACAGCAGCATCAGGCGCCTCCCTGGGCTGTACTCAGGCATGCCTCTCTTTCTTTTCCAGACACCGTGGATGGTGGAATCACTCAGTCCCCAAAGTACCTGTTCAGAAAGGAAGGACAGAATGTGACCCTGAGTTGTGAACAGAATTTGAACCACGATGCCATGTACTGGTACCGACAGGACCCAGGGCAAGGGCTGAGATTGATCTACTACTCACAGATAGTAAATGACTTTCAGAAAGGAGATATAGCTGAAGGGTACAGCGTCTCTCGGGAGAAGAAGGAATCCTTTCCTCTCACTGTGACATCGGCCCAAAAGAACCCGACAGCTTTCTATCTCTGTGCCAGTAGTATAGACACAGTGAAGCACGGATGTCGCCTCTCTGTGCATAAATGTGCCCAGTCCTGCTTCCCCGACCAGGTGGCAGGGCTCCTCTGCACTCTATGATGGCAGGAAACGCCACTCAGCCACTAAGCAGGTTTAAAAAACTGTATATAACTAAAACTCTATATATAAACTATGCATATAAAACTAAACTATATATGTATACATTTATATATAACTAAAACTTTATATGAGACTAAAATGATAGTTTTATATAGTTTTTTAAAGTATAGTTTTATATATATATAACTATATATATATATCATTTTTTAAACTATAGTTTTGTAGTTTTATTTATTTATTTACTTTTTGGAGATGGAGTCTCACTCTGTTGCCCAGGCTGCAGTGCAGTGGCATGATCTCAGCTCACTGCAATCTCTGCCTCCTGGGTTCAAGCAATTTTCCTGCCTCAGCCTCCCAAGTAGCTGGGATTACAGGTGCATACCACCACACCTGGCTAATTTTTGTATTTTAGTAGAGGCAGGGTTTCACCATGTTGGCCAGGATGGTCTCGAACTCCTGACCTCAGGTGATCCACCCACCTCGGCCTCCCAAAGTGCTGGGATTACAGGCATGAGTCACCGTGCCTGGCTGTTTTATAGTTTCATATAGTTATTTTTAAAAACTATATAAAAGTTTTTGTATAGCCACTTAGTGGCTGAGTGAAGTTTCCTGTCATATATGATATAGATATAGATATGTTTATATATGATATAGATACAGATATGTTATATATATGTTATATGTTGTATATAAGATATATACATATAGAGAGAGTCAGAGAGACACAGAGAAGAAGGAAAAGTTAATCTTACAACCCCCAGCTTTTTTCTATTTTACCGAATGCTAGATGAATAGATGGATGAATGAATAGAAATGAATGAATGAATAGAAAATTTTCCCTTCTTTCAGGAAGATAAAAAAGCCTGTGGAAAGAGAGATGTAGAAGACAAACCCTGTAATCACAATTTCATATGACGCGTGCTTTAATGAGAGACGTTAGTGGAGTATAGGAAGTAACACAGCCAATTCTGTCTGGTGACATCAGGAAGGGCGTCAAACAGAAAGCAAATTTTGAGATGAAAGTTATTATTCAAATTTCACCAGATGGGCAAGTAGGATTTCACCAGATGGGCAAGCACCAAAAGAGGGAGGCAGGCTAAGGGAACTATGAAAGGAAAGAGTGATGAGATAATACCAGGAAAAAAATTATCAACACTCCCTCCTCCACCGGAATATGGCAATGGAGGAAAATTTGGACAAATGAATGGAGTCAAGTTATTGAACAAAACTGAGTTTCTTGTTCTAGTGGTCCTTCATTGGATATCTGTGTAGAAACATCCAAGAGGCTCCGTAAGTGCAGGTCTGGCACTTAGAAGAGAGGGTTGGGCTTGAGAGAAATGTTTGAGTGATAGTTAAGCACACAGGTGTGAGTAAAACTTCCCAGGTGATCTTGTCTTCTATGCTTTCTCTCTTTATGCTCTGCCACCTATGCCTTGAATTAGAAGGTAAGTGGTGTAAGTGGTGTTATTTCTTATGTTGACTTACACATGTCTATTTGATCATATAATTACATTTCTGGAAATTGATGTTTCTATGTTATTCTTCAAATACAACTAAAACTGCTGGTTGAAAATTTTTGTAAAATATTGTCAGAAGCATCAAATAACCTTAGTCTGTCCTGCTGTATTGTCCTTTTTTTCCAGGGATAAGAAATTTTTAGAAAAATATGAGTCCCTGTCCAGAATACACAAGCCTTGGCTCCACGAATTTTCTTCGAATTATTTCCTGGATTCTGTGTTTAGCTTTGGATTTCTTCTTCTACATAGCCTATGGGAGTTTGACTCACACAGAGTCCCACAGAAACCAAAATACTAAAACATAGAGATGGAAAAGACAGTTCTCCCTGAAAAGGATCTAAAGAACATTAAAACATGGTATCATGAGAACTACAACCAGTCATTGAAACTAATGTTTTCTGACGGTAGTAAGTAAAACACTGGAAATGAGATGGCTCTAAGCTACTTCACTTTGAACGTTCAGACCATATTCACAGATGCCTACACATCAGTCATTCTCTGAGCCAGAGGATGGAGCCAAGGACCTTCATGGCGGTGGGAAAGACACAGTCCCATAGTGCTATCTGTGCCCTGTATACAAGCCATTTTCCAGAGGTGATGGGATTGGGAAAGACTGTCTGTCCAATGAGAGGAAGAAAACGAAAGGGAAGACAGTAAGAGATAGACAATCTTGTTTTTCCTTGTTTTTCTTGTCCGTGACTAGAATGGACACAAATTCCTTTGTTTCAGTTGAGGAATTTATTAAAGCAGGGCATAAGAGCTTAAATAGACTTCAAAAATTCTACTGTAAAACTATTAACCATTTGCTTTTTTCAGGGTAATCTTAATACTGAAAAGAACACTGTAGCTATGAAGTTTCATCATAATCTCCATTCCCACAACCAGGTTGTAAGAGAGATATCATCTGAAGTGAAGGACAGGAAATTTTTAAAATGTAAAATATCACTGAATGTTTTCTTAGCAAGTTTTGAGAGGCCATCGCATCTATTAAATAGGAAGATAATTTATATAAAATTTTAATCTAGAACTGTATTTCTTTAACATAATAAACATAATTGCTCTATTTAAAATCACATTGAACATAACAAATTGTAAATTAGACAAGTCAGAAAACCAATTTGTCAACTGTTTAAAAATTGAAGAAATAGTCCAGAATTCTTAGGAAGCAGAAAGGGATATTTAACGTGTGAGAAAAAGGTACTACCACAATAGCAGCTTTATTCCCAATGGCTCCAAATTGGAAAATATTCAACATCTGACAATGCAATGGAGAAATGATTGTGTTACATTTATGTAACAGAATACAATATAGCACAAAAAATCAAGTGTAATTTCCAACACAGATATTTCAAATATAACATTGAATAAAATATAGTAGACACAAAATAATACAGTATGTAGTCAGAATAGTGATTAAATTTGGTAGCATTATGTATTTATTCTGAGGGAGACATGAGGAAGGCTTTTGGAATTCTAAATTCTATATCTTGATCTGGGTGATGATTACATGAGTATATTCATTTCAAAAATTCATTGGGCTGAACACTTAAGATTTGTGCAGTCTATGTATTTTATACCTCACTTAGAAAACTTAAAATGGCAAGTATATTATCTTGACCAATAATCTATTGCTGTGTGACAAACCACTCCAAAAGTTAGTGATTTAAAAGAACAACATATTATTATCTCTTGTGATTCTGTAGAAGGGCTCAGCTGGACAGTTCTCACTTAGGGCTGCTCACATGGTCACTGTCAGATAGTCACTGAGGCTGAAGATATCTGAAGACTCAACTAGGCTGAATATCCAAGGTGGCTTTTTTGTGCCCCTGTTGGTTCGTTACCTGGGATGGCTGCAGTAGCTGTGGACCCGCTGAGCATTTCTCTCTGTACACAGCCTTTTGATGTGATTAGATGAGCTGTCTCACAGCATGGTGGCCTCTAGGCAGCTAAAGTTTTGGCATGGTCGTTGACCACCCTAACTGTGAGCATTCAAGAGACCCGGGTGTGGTCAACTAGGCTCCTTACAGCCCAGCCTGAGAAATATGCAGTGACACCTCCACCACAATCCAGCCAGCTCGGATTCAAGAGAAGGGCACCCCTGGGAAGGTGACCACTGGCCAGTGTGTTTCATCAGGCTGGTGTCTTTGAAGACCAAATACCACACCACAGCCATTTGAATTTGTGTCATTACTTGGTACTCTTATTTTTTCCCTGCTGCTCTTTTTGCATTGAAGTCCTTTTGGGATGACATCAATAAAACTATTTCATGTTTTTAAGATTGTATTTGTCAAGTATTTCTTTTTCAACCTTTCTACATGCAGCCTTTTTGTTGTTTTTATTCTTCAGGTGGGTATTTCATAAGCAGTGTGTATTTTTTCAGCCCATGATTTATAGAACTAGAATCCTCAGTCTATTGTCTTAAATGTATTTCTGTATAGTTTTCTATAGAAGGTGATTTCCTGGGTTTTGAGTTATGTTTCTTGCTTGGTTTTGTACATTAATTTTTCTCACATTTTGGTTTCTTCTTCCCTCATGCATGACCTTATTTTTGTTGACTATTTTTCTCATTTCATTATTTTGCCTTTCAGAAGTCCGCAATTCATTTTCATTTTTTGATGGTTAACTGTAACATTTTATTATATAATTATATTAAGAAAATCTGAGATTAGTCTTATCTTTACCATTCTCCTGAAGCCTATGTGAACTTTAGAACAATTAACACCTATGGTTCCCCTTCATGATTTCCAATATTTTGGATAGTCAGAATGTTAGATCTACCATAACTAGAAGTATTGTTTTATTTTACCAATACTTAATTACAATTACCTACCTATGTGTTAACCATCATCTTTAATCGTCATTGTTTTTGCACAAAACTTTAGTATACCAACTCAGAGCAGAAAGAGGATCCATCATATTCTGTGTCTGCCCTATTAAGCATGCTTCTCTGCTGCATGGCCTTTGATTCCTAGTAGTAGATTTATCCCAGGCAAAGATGTAGAGCCCTATTATGGGCTATCAGATCTCAACACCAAGGATTTCTTGTGCCACAGCCCTTTGGTGCCAGGCCTCTGACTCTAACTTCTATCTCTTTTTCCAACAGTTCTCATGGATACTGAAGTCCCCCAGACACCAAGAAAACTGGTCACATTGACTAATTTTAAGAGATGGCCTTGAAGTAGTCTCAGAAAATGAAAAGTCATAGCACATACTAGCTATTGACAATGTATGGTTTTGGCTATGGCAAACCCATAACACAAATGGAAGTGTCAGGGAAGAAAAACCACCATGAGCATTAAGGAACAAAAGAATATATTATAGGAATGAGGCCTGACACAATTTGGGGAGAAGATGGATAAGTGAAAGTTTGAAAAGGGTCAGAAAAAACAACTCTAACCAGCTCTGGTGAAGGTGGATGAACTGGACTTCGCATTAAGTTTTGCATTAAGCTGTTATATCCATACACTATATGGAACCCTGAAGGGGCTGGTGTAGGAATCTATGAAGATGGCTGACTCTATGTGCCAATAGCCCTGTGAGTTCTCAGAAAATTTGGTGGTGGCACTGCAGTCCCTCCTGGTCAGCAGGGCTGGCAGTCGGTATAAAGAGCTGGATGTGAAGCAGGGGAAAGTCAGCATAAATTGGAACTCACCGGCACTTTTGATGCTACTCCTTACTGCCTGGAGCCAGTGATGACTTCAGAACTCAGTAGCAGCTGTTTTACTTTCCCCTTACAAACTTCCTGCATTTCTTACCCCATGATCAACTCTAACCCGGAACCATACTAGGAAAAAAGTTGTCCGAAACATATTCCTTGCTTAGCTAAGTTGACACAGTGATAAAACCCCACAAGAATATCCAGATGCTCCTTGACTTGCAGTGGGGTAATATCCTGATAAATCCAGCACAAATTGAAAACATCATAATTCAACTTACAATATCCAGCTTATCTGTACATAACCCCATCATAAGTCAAGGAGCACACTGAAATGCATATTGCTTTTGCACCATTGTAAAGTTGAAAAGTCATTGAACCATCATGAGACCATCTGTACCTGACAATTAGTGTTTCTCAAAATAAATAGGAAGATTTTCTTCTGATCTGAAGGTCTTCCAGCCACTCCCTCCCAGACATATCATAATATTGGACCAGAGGTCACCCATAGCAAGCTGTCCCTACTTATTCTTTGCAGAAAAAGTACAGTTACAGTATGAAGTGGCCTCATTTTAATGAGGCCCAACATACCCAGGAAATAAAAAATGCAGCCACAGGAGCATACAGATGCCCTTTAATAGATATGTCAATATTAACATAATGCAATAGCTATATTTGTTATAAAACGATTTCACTATTGCACAAACATAATATGATGGGCGAAGTCTTAATCTTATCTTTTCTAGCTACCTATGCCAGAGAAGCAGAACTAAATATTAAATGAAAGCACAATTGAGAGGCTGTTATAAAAATGAAAACATAGGGCTTTCAAAAAAACTTTCCAGCTCCTTGTAATTGCTACATATTTCCAACATCGATCCATTAAAACAAGTATCCCAGCCTGTTCAAATCAAAGAATTTCTTATGCCTCCTAGAAACTATTTTCACTGTCCAGTACTTAGTATGACCTCCATTACAATAGAATAAATTTAATTATTCTCACAACCTCAACAGTGATTAACACGGAAACATACAAGCTAAATTGAGAAATATTATTAGAATGTTTAGAATTAAGTCCCTTTATATATGAGGGAAATTGTCATGAGATACACATGAGGTAACTATCTCATTTAGAAAATGATGAAGTGGCTTCAACATGATTATGAAGAAACATTGGACTTCCAGCCGAGGCACTGGCCTGTGCTTTATCAATATTTATGGTAGTGCCAACCTGTGGGTCTAGTGATTAACAACCATGAGTTGTCTTGGTGTTATTACTTTGAGGATATGAAACAGAAGCAGCAAACAGACTCCAATGCCATTCATTACCTAAACCTACACTCCTTTCCTTATAGGAAACTCACTTAAGTCATTACAATGCTTTATGTCTCAGTGTATCTTTAATAAATTTGGAAGTTGAATTGGGAAGTCTTTAGGCCACTTTAGGCAATGTATGGGTTTTTTGTTTTCTTTTGATATGGGGTCTCACTCTGTCACCCAGGCTGGAGTGCAGTGGCATGATTTCAGCTCATTGCAACCTCTGCCTCCTGGGTTCAAGCAATTCTCTCCCTCAGCCTCCTGAGTAGCTGGGATTACAGGTGTCCACCACCACGCCTGGCTAATTTTTGTGTTTTTAGTAGAGATGGGTTTTCACCATGTTGGCCAGATTGGTCTTGAACTCCTAACCTTGTGATCCACCCGCCTCGGACTCCCAAAGTTCTGGAATTACAGGCGTGAGCCACCTCACCCGACCTGTATGGTTTTTTGACAGGCAGAGATGGACGTAACATCAGTCATGGGCAAAGATTACCACCAGGGGGCAGACTAGGGCATCCTTGGGATTCTGTGATCAGTCATCCCTCCTCGCTGGTGAATGGAGGCAGTGGTCACAACTCTCCCCAGAGAAGGTGGTGTGAGGCCATCACGGAAGATGCTGCTGCTTCTGCTGCTTCTGGGGCCAGGTATAAGCCTCCTTCTACCTGGGAGCTTGGGTGGGCATGTGCGTGTGTTGGCATGGTCAAGTGGTGGCCAGCAGGGTTGCAGTGTGGATTGTTTATGCTCATCGAAGGGAGAGGGAGAGGCCCTGCTCTCTAGAGGTGTAAATGGTAAGGTGAAAGCCGCCGGTCAGAGGAGATGGGGGATTATGGCCCTAGGGAGATGACGGGAAGATTGCACAAAACAAACAGGACTCTCCAGGAGCTGGGAGCACAGGGAGGGAGTGAGGCTCAGCTCTGCCTGGCGTCCTGTCTGACTCGGCTCCCACTGGGCTCTCCTCTCTCTCTGGCTTCTGTCTCAGCAGGCTCCGGGCTTGGTGCTGTCGTCTCTCAACATCCGAGCTGGGTTATCTGTAAGAGTGGAACCTCTGTGAAGATCGAGTGCCGTTCCCTGGACTTTCAGGCCACAACTATGTTTTGGTATCGTCAGTTCCCGAAACAGAGTCTCATGCTGATGGCAACTTCCAATGAGGGCTCCAAGGCCACATACGAGCAAGGCGTCGAGAAGGACAAGTTTCTCATCAACCATGCAAGCCTGACCTTGTCCACTCTGACAGTGACCAGTGCCCATCCTGAAGACAGCAGCTTCTACATCTGCAGTGCTAGAGACACAGCGCCAGGAGGGGATCAGACACCGCGGCAAGAACCCCTGCAGCTGCCCTCCGCCCCAGCGGGCCCCCTGAGTGCTGAGAGGGGAAGCGTGGAGAATGGAAAACCACAGCTTTCCTGACTGAGACATCTGGGAGTGTGTGTGCAGGGGGTGGGGCGGGGGGGAGGGGGAGAAAAAGAAAAGAAGCACTGTGAGTGTGGAGTATGGAGGAGGTGTAGTGTTTGAGACCCACGAAATGGCAATAGAGTTGGGCCTAAAGTGGTCGGCGGACATGGAAAGTTCCCTGAAAATTATAAAACCTGGAATTTTGCCCTGACTCTGCCACATTAGTCATGTATTCTTGAATAGATCTACACATAATCCTAGAGGTAGATATGAAGACAGTTGTATAATCACTGTGTATTTCCTATAATAAACTTCAGCGATTGGCTTTCTTGTCATCATGCTGGGCTCTCAAGACAAAGATAACCAAGAGGCAGCCAAGTAGAGAGTTATGCATGAATACGTTACCTTAGGGGAGGATAGCAACAGCATTGAATAGCATTCACTCCAAATTTGTGTTCTGTCCTCCTTAGACCAGGCCACCAAAATAAAATCCTATCACATTTCCTGTAAATGTTGAACGCCATCATGTTCTCCATGGTGTTTCGGTTGATGAATGAACAGAGTAAGACTCGGTACAAAGGGAGGGGAGCACCCTCTATGCCTAGGTACACACCATACGGAATGTATCGCTAGGGAAGGTGCTGGTGAGCTGGCTCCTGGGAAAGGTGTCAAGGGGAAGAGGGGGCAGAGGTACCTAGAAGGAAGACCTCAGACAACATGGCTTGTCTACAGAGTTGGAAAGTTCTGCCAGTAGTTAGAAGACAGTAAGTGGAACAGTGAAAATCCTTTCCTAGGAGAAACCAAACATTTACATTGACCACAAATCTGTATGAACCAACAGAAAATGAGCAAAACATATGACCATACATTTAATAGAATAAACATATATGACTAATAAACATATAGAGATATTTCACTTCATTGATGATCAGGATAATATGAAGCAAGACACAATGATACATAGTTTTATATCCACTTGATTAGCAAAATATAAAAAGTTTAGAAATATAAAATGTTAGCGAGGGTATGGATTCATAGGATTACTTATAAATTACTGATGGGAGCATAAGTACTATCAACCATTTGGAAACAGTTCAGCATTATCTCGTAGTTGAAGATTCCTATATCCCATAACTCAGCAATTCCACTCCTAGGTTTACATCAGGAGAAGCTCTTGCATACACATATCAGAAGACATAAATAAAAAAGTGTTCTTCACAGCACCAAACAGTAGAAAAACATGGCACCAAGCCACATATGCACTGAGAAGAGTGAATGAATAAACTGTGACATATTCATATGAGTCAAAATGAATGAACTACAGTGAAGAGCAAGGTTATAGGTGAATCTTAGCAATATAATAGCAAATGTAAAAACTAAGTCTAATGAGATTATGCAAAGCATAATGTGCTTTTCATAAAGCTAAAAACAAGTCAAGAAAATAATTTTCAGGACTGAAATATATTAGAACAAATTATATTGAAAGGAAAGCAAAGATGAGTTGTATGCTGGAGCCTACTTTATCAGCTCATGGGAGCTGACTGTATACATTTTTCCCAACTCCAGTTTTAGTGACATCATTTTGTTAGCTTGAAATTGGCCATAGTGAGGGTATTTACACTACAGAAATTAGCAAACACAGCAAATTACGGTTTGCTTTATTTTCCTCCAGACTTAGCTGTCAACCCTTTACCCTTTACCAACACACTACTGGCAGGGAATAATAATGACCCAAGTTCAGGATTTTTATAAGGCTGGGGCATGGCAGGAAATAGAATGAGAGAGAACTATATGGCTATACATTGAAATATTGTCAAGGTCTATCTTGCATAATGTTGAGGAGGAGAAGTTTTACAAGTTCCTATTATGTTTTTTAAAAATATTCATTGACAAGCAATGCCTGTGTGTTATGAACCACAGGTTAAGATAAATAAAATTGAATGCATATAGCATCAAAAAGAAGAGAAAACAAATAAATGAATAGATTAGAGTTCTTACAAGAAAAGGATCAAGGGCATTTTATAGTCAAAACCAGGAGTGAAATAGCAGTGGCTTAACTGCTACCATCCTCATATAGATATCGGCTGCTGAATTAATCACAGCGGACAACCTACCACCCAACAGACCTGGACCCTTGTCAACCCTTTGCAACACAGAACAGGGGTTTAGACAATAAGGGTGAACGTGAAAGCGTGGAGATGACACCTGGCCCCTGACCAAGGTGGAACTGACTGGAACAAGATGGGAGCCAATTCTGCAGTGAACACGCTGCTGCTTTTCGTCTCCGCTATGACCGTGTGTTGCTGGTGGTTAAATACCCCACCTGGGTTCAGTCACCTCAGACTGTGCCATTGCCACTGATCTCAGGACCCACTTTAGTTGTAGCCTTTTACTCTGTTAGCGTTTTCAGCCTGGAGAACAGAGCTAGTAAAATACTTATAAAATATTCCACTGCTTCACTAACGGCATGGAAAAGACAAGAGCTTTTAAGGCTCTGGCATGAAACAGGGAGACAGTGGTTACATTCCTATTTCACGCAGTCACTATTTCCGTCTACGTTAAGCTGAGGAGTGTAGTGTTTCGGTGACATTTAGCATGGAACGCTGCTGGGTTCAGACCTGACATTCCCAAACCAGCTGACTGTCAAGGACACAGCCTACTGCCTACCTATATTACCTTAGGAAACGAGACAACAGCATTGAACAGCATTCAGTCCATATTTGTGTTCTGTCTTCCTTGGACAAGTACCAACAAAATAAAATCCTATCACATTTCCTGTAAATTTTGAATGACATAAATTTTTGATGAGCAATTCTTTTTGAAGTGTTGAACTTTCTGTTCTGATTTTATATTCTACTCTCTGTGCTTTGTTGTATTTAAAATCAAGTTCACCTTTCAGAGGCAGTGATGGGTGAGGTAAGAGACAGACTCTTACATCCTCCTCCCCAACACACACACACACACATACACACACACACACACACACACACACGGAGGCACTGTTTTTCCCAGTAATGGAGAAGCCATGGGAAGAATTTCAGAGGTTTCAAGGGAGCTAGGGTCGTCTAATTCCTCTATATCCTTGGATATCCCCATTCTTAATGTCAAAAATAATCTCTCGAACTGGTTTCCCAGAGTCTCAACCCATTTGCTATAGTACATGCACCATCTCAGGTGTCCAAAGATGAATATTTGATAAGCTACTTCTCAACTTCATACCTCTGCTGCTGTTTTTCCATTCTGGAATGTGGAAAGCAGTGTGACTCCTATTAACTGACCAGTAGTCAATTTTAACTACCCATAAATATGTGAGTGTCTTTTATCTGTAATCTCCTATCTGGTGCCATTTTTGAAAACCAGTTAAGACTCTTTTATCCTAAAAAATGAACTATGTCTAATTTCTTGAAAGTAATTATTGATGAAATACTCCCTGGAGAGTCTGAAGCCCCTGATATTGCATATTTAATTGTTATCCTCCTTTTAATAAAAGGTATAGGAAGAAATTTTAAATATTATTCCTAAATACCTTACATCAAGATGAGCTAGAGTTAATTAAGTGGGACGAGGGATAATGAATTCAAGGGCATTTAAGAAAGATTAAAGAACCAGTGCAAAATGTTTTAATCAGGAAAGAAATTAGTGTGTTTAATGACAGGAAAGAAGTCAGCAGAGTGACAGGAGCAGGGGGAGGAGGTGGTTGAGTACAGGGCAAAATTGAAGAAGGCAGGAAGGCACCAGACCACTCAGAACCTTACTGGTCAAGGTAAATGATACAGAATCCAACATAAAGCTTAATAGGAGACACTGAGGTTTTCAACATTTGACTTCTTTAGTAATCAGATTCGTGGCTGTGTGTGTATCTGTGTATTTAATCACCCTGGTCACAAAGTGAAGAAATAATGGACCATGCAGGGAAGGCAAAATGTTACCTCTACCCTCTTGCAGTTTTTCGGCTGGTCCTGAGAATGGAAGATTAACAGGAAGGAAAGCATACACATGTATTTAATACAAGTTTTACATCACATGAAAGCCCCCATAATTAAAGGAAGAACTGAATGTGCAGTTAGAGTTGAACATTCATATATTGAATTGGGCAAAGGGTCATACATTGTGGAAAGGTGAAAAAGTAAAGGGGCTTAGGCTAGGGTTGCTGGTTGAATGGCAAAGTGACTAGGAAGGTGAGGATTAGTTTAACAAGCTTTTTTTGTTACAGATTCCTTGGCCTCAACATCATCCCATTCTATCTTGGATGTTAAGAATATTCTTTTTTCCTGGTATAGATAAGACATCTTTTATATGGGAAGCTTATTCCATTTTTCAAGAAGAAAAGGGGAAGGGTCAGAGTACTCCTCTTATACTTGCTATTGTGTTTAATGCCTCTAGCTCAAAATATTCCTTATGCCAAAGTGGCATATTTTGGGCAGAGGGTTGGGAGGCTTATGCTGCCACCCTCCAGCAGTGTGAACAGAGTTGATGCGGAGGAAAAACTTAGCTCAGGCAAGCAGTAGTTTAGCTCAGATAATGATGATGGTGTTAGAAATATGGGGAAAATGAGACATTTAAAAGGAAGTAAATCAAAGGACTTGGCAATTGATTAGACATGAGCAGCAATATGCAGGGGGTGGTGGGTGGTGATTAAGAGAGACTGCTACACACAGACAAATAAGAAGGACCAAGTGGGAAGAAGATCAAGATTTACTTTGAGATTGGGAGTGCCTTAGGGACAGTAATCTAACCAGGAATATGCAGAGAGCAGTTGGATGTACAAGTCATGGACTCAGAAAATGGATCTGGATAAGAAGCACACCTTTGGGACATTTAGCATCACTGGAAGAATGAAAGTGCCTCCAATCCCTTGATATACAGTTTACAATGAAAAGATCAGAGAGCATAGGATAGCGGTTTAGGGAGCACACCTGCCTTGGGGGACTATAAAAGGTTGAGGGAGGCAAAATGCACTGATAAACCACCATCGGCATTAGACTAATGGCTGAATAATTGTGTAAGTAATTGCTAGTAACAATGCTGTGGAGTATGTGGCAGGTAGCACATCAAGTGCTGCTTTTTTCTTAATTTCGCTCTGATACCTGGAATGCCTTTTTGCTGCCTCGCTGCCGGGCGGGCCACTCCCGACTCAGGCAGGCCGAGGCAGAGCTCCGCGGGCATTGGATGAATTCGCTCCTTTGACCACTAGAGGGTGATGTGGATCTTTCTATAAAATATCTGCCGCTCATCAAGTGGGGACTCACAGCTTCACCGGATATTTCAGATGAGATGTTTAGGTACTGACTGACCAAAAAAATTGCAGATATCCTGGGAGGCCAATTGGTCTTTAAAATGGCAGGATCTAATCTTAACATTTTGTAATAACCCTTAGCGTTTACCCATATCTGGCACCTGTAGTTGTGTGATTTCTACACAGTTGATAAATATATAAATGAATAATACCGTGATTTCTATTCAACATTGTGCTGAATTTGCAACCAGTGAAACAAGGGGAAAAAGTTGAAAATGAGAAAGGAAAGAAAAATAAGTATTGGCGCACGACAAGTTTATTTATAGAGATTCAAAAGGGTCTAAAGAAGCAATGCATTATCAATAACAAAATGTAGTAAGTTTACTGAATTTAACATAAATATAAAACATTATTTTATTTTCACATACTACAAGCAGTTATGTTTTTTAACGAGAGACAATTTACAAATAATGATATAAAATAGAAAATAAACACCTAAGAACAAATCTATTAGATTAGCAAGACTATCATGCAGAAAACTATTAAAATTTTAGGGGAATCAGGGCCGCGCTCAGTGGCTCACGCTTGTAATCTCAGCACTTTGGGAGGCCGAGGCGGGCAGATCATGAGGTCAGGAGTTCAAGACCAGCCTGGCCAATAGGGTGAAACCCATCTCTACTAAACGTACAAAAAAATTAGCCAGGCATGGTGGTGCACGCCTGTAGTCCCAGCTAGTCCGGAAGCTGAGGCAGGAGAATGGCTTGAACCCAGAAGGCGGAGCTTGCAGTGAACCGAGATCATGCCACTGCACTCCAGCCTGGGCGACAGAGCTAGCCTCTGTCTCTAAATAAATACATTTAAGGGAATTATTTTAAAAGTTTGAAATAAGCCAGGCGCGGTGGCTCACACCTGTAATCCCAGCACTTTGGGAGGCCGAGGTGGCTGGATCACCTGAGGTCAGGAGTTCAAGACCAGCCTGGCCAACATGGTGAAACCCTGTCTCTGCTAAAAACACAAAAAATTAGCTGGACATGGTGGTGGGTGCCTGTAATCCCAGCTACTCGGAAGCCTAAGGCAGGAGAATTGCTGGAACCCGGGAGGCGGAGGTTGCAGTGAGCTGAGATTGCACCATTGCACTCCAGGCGGCTGGGCGACAGAAAGAAACTCCGTCTCAAAAAAAAAAAGTTTGAAATAAGTAAAGATATACAACATGATCATGAAAAAGTGAATCCAATAGTAAGGTTGTTTCAATTTCTGCAGTATTATCTATATATTCAATACCACAGTAATCAAACTACAAAAGATTTACTTTATGAAATTTGTCAAATAATCTACAACTAAGTGAAAAAGAACAAAAATAAGCAATATTTAAGAAGTACAAAAAGTGATGTGAATTGCTCTACCAATTATCAAATTATGTTATCATTTAGGATAATGAAAGAAGCGTGATTAAATAGGCAAATGGAAAACAGAAAATGAAAAATAGGCCCATGAATATACAGGAATTTCATATATAATAGAGGTGTTATTGAAGATATACGGAGGAATGATGTAATATACAAGTTATTCTGGAACAGGTGGTTATCCATACAAGGAAAGATGAATTTAAACCTTACTTCACAATATATGTCAAAATAAATCACAAGTGAATTAAATGCTTAAATGCAAAATTCAAAATGTTAGGAGTTTTGGTAAATAATAAGGATTATATCTTCATGAACTTGGGCTATGGAAGATTTTTTTTAACAAAGAATTAAAAAACATGTTTACCCCAAATAAAAGAATAATGCATTCTACTAAAGAAACCCAACAAAAAGTAGCACAAACAGAATAAAGACATACACCACAAATTGGAAAGATATTAGCAACACACATAGCTGACAAAGGTTGGGTATCCAGAGTCTAGAAAAAACTGTTACAAATAAATAATAGCTAATCAACCAAAAAGAAATATGGACAAAGGGCAGTTTACAGGCAACACTGGTGGCCTATAATATATCAAATATATTCAACCTCCTTAGCAACCAGAAAGAAGCAAACAAAAACTATATTGCACCATGAGATAATATTAACATACTAGACTGGCAAAATTAAACGTATATTAAATAGCAAGTGTAGTCCTAGATGTGGAACATCTGAACACACTCATGAGCTGTTGGTGGGATCACTTATTTGGCTTAATCACTTTGGAAAGCATTTTGTTATGTTATGTAAAGTTGACATGTTGACTTGAAAACTCAGTCTTTACATTGCCAGGTATGGCAACAATCTTGCACCTAGAAAAGCAGAGACATGTTCGAGAATACAATACTGTTTGTAGCAGCACAAACACCCAGGGAAAAATTAGTGTGCATTAATTCAAGAATGAATAAATTCTAGCCAATGAATATAATGTAATACTAGATGGCAGTGAAAGTAAATTGTCTAGATTGTGTGTCAACGTATTATCACAGACCTAATGTTGAATGAAAAAATAACATTGTAGAAAATATATAAACTAGCTGATTCCTCTTAGATACATTTCAAAGACACACAAAATTAAATACTACATAATTTACAGATTCTTGTGTAAATGCTAAAGACTATAATGCCAAGCTAGTGAATGACAAATTTAAACTTCAGATTACACCTACCTGGGCATGACGGAGAAACAATGAGGAAATCTAAAAGAGTAACATGGACTGAGAAATTTTCAGCAATAATCTAACTCTTAAGCTGATTGGTTCAGGCAAAGGTATTCATTTTATTGCTTCTATATATGCATTGCATATTTGTCATAAATATTGTTCTGTATAGTTCAACATTTCATTATTTAATGTAGCCGGGCACAGTGGCTCATGCCTGTAATCCCAACAGTTTGGGAGGCTGAGGTGGGCAGATCACTTGAGGTCAGGAATTAAAGACCAGCCAGTGACATGGTGAAAGCCTGTCTCTACTAAAAATACAAAAATTAGCCAGGTGCGGTGGTGGGGGCCTGTAATCCCAGCTACTCAGGAGGCTGAGGCAGGAGACTGCTTGAACCCGGGAGACAAAGGCTGCAGTGGGCTGAGATCATGCCACTGCACTCCAGCCTGGGAGACAGAGCAAGATCCGTCTCAAAAATAAATAAATAAATAAATAAATAAATAAATAAATACTTACTTAATGTAAAGCAGCTGCTATGTGATTTTATAAGTGTGTCAAAAGCTACTATTTGTAAAGACCGAGTTGTATGATTCCTTACCTGAGATGGAAGGGAGGGGAAGAAGCAAACTGACAAGTTAAAAAAGTAAATAGAGTGTAAATTAGTTCAACCATTGTGGAAGACAGTGTGGAGATTTCTCAAGGATCTAGAACCAGAAATACCATTTGACCCAGCAATCCCATTACTGGGTATATACCCAAAGGATTATAAATCATTCTACTATAAAGAGACATGCACATACATGTTTATTGCACCACTGTTCACAATAGCAAAGACTTGGAACCAACCAAAATGCCCATCAATGATAGACTGGATAAAGAAAATGTGACACATATATTCCGTGGAATATTATGCAGCCATAAAAAAGGATGAGTTCATGTCCTTTGCAGGGACATAGATGAAGTTGGAAACCATCATTCTCAGCAATCTATCACAAGAACAGAAAACCAAACACCGCATGTTCTCCCTCATAAGTGGGAGCTGAACAATGAGAACACATGGACACAGGGAGGGGAACATCACACATGGGGCCTGTCGGGGGATGGAGGGCTAGGGGAGGGATAGCATTAGGAGAAATACCTAATGTAGATGATGGGTTGATAGGTGCAGCAAACCACCATGGCATGTGTATACTTATGTAACAAAAGTGCACATTCTGCACATGTACCCCAGAACTTAAAGTATAATAATTTTTTAAGTAAATAAATGTATGAGTGATTTTACTTAAAAAAAATAGCAAAACAGTGAGTAACAGAAAAAAAAAAAACTAAAAGCAGGCTGAAACTTACACTATTTTTAACAGCTAAAACAAAGTCTGCCCTCCTACATTCTTTGAAATTGAAATGACTCTGTCCCATGTACAGAGCATCTACAAAGGCTATGGAAAGTGATCACGTCACAAGGAGGTTGCTGACGGGGGCTAGGAGAGTGGGTGAAGAAGCCTTACAGAAAAAGCTACCACTACGATTTCTTTCTGAGCCAACCATGTGCCTCAGACTTCTCTGCTGTGTGGCCATTTCTTTCTGGGGAGCCAGGTAAGGCCCTGTTCTGAACTGGTTGAATTTCAGTTCCAAGACTCTCTCCGGTGGCTGCAGTATCAAGCTCCCTCCTGCGCTTTTTCTACAGCTGCTCTCTCCTTCCTCCACAGGCTCCACGGACACCAAGGTCACCCAGAGACCTAGACTTCTGGTCAAAGCAAGTGAACAGAAAGCAAAGATGGATTGTGTTCCTATAAAAGCACATAGTTATGTTTACTGGTATCGTAAGAAGCTGGAAGAAGAGCTCAAGTTTTTGGTTTACTTTCAGAATGAAGAACTTATTCAGAAAGCAGAAATAATCAATGAGCGATTTTTAGCCCAATGCTCCAAAAACTCATCCTGTACCTTGGAGATCCAGTCCACGGAGTCAGGGGACACAGCACTGTATTTCTGTGCCAGCAGCAAAGCCACAGTGCCGAATGTTAGCCCTTCTTAGAACACAAACTCATTATGGACCCAGCTCAGGAAATAAGTGTGTAGCAGGTTGGTAGGCACTACGTAACAGAAACCCAACTTGAAAGACAATAAATCAGAAGGAAAAACTTGTAAATAACAGCTCTAAGTGAGCAAAAAACAAAGGGGGGTTATTTAAAACAACTGATGGGGACAAAACCCCAGGGAAGGGGCCAGAAGGCATAAAAAGCTTGGATTCCTCAGTGTTCAGCATATTAGGTAAGATATGCTAGGTTACCCTCTCTCTCTCTCTACATGAGCTTTATGGATTTCTAACAATCTTTATTTAAAGAAGGGGATTCTGTGCTTTTCACTTGGTAAAGTTGTGGGTGCACAAATAAGAATGACAAGCGGATCAACTGTGTCTTTCAGGTAGACCCTGATCTTCTGACCCAGCACATTTCCTTGAACTAGAGACAGACTCTAAAGGGCTTTTTGACTGCTTCTCACAGCTCTCCCTGCCATAGAAGCCTAGTGGGAACCATTAGCAATTCCTGCCCTATGGAATGTTACAATCACAAATTTTTATTTTTATTTATTTATTTATATTTATTTTAATTTTTTTTTGAGACGGAGTCTCGCTCTGTCATCCAGGCTGGAGTGCAGTGGCGTGATCTCGGCTCACTACAAGTTCCGCCTCCTGGGTTCACGCCATTCTCCTGCCTCAGCCTCCCGAGTAGCTGGGACTACAGGCGCCCGCCACCACGCCCAGCTAATTTTTTGTATTTCTTTTAGTGGAGACGGTGTTTCACCGTGTTAGCCAGGATGGTCTCGATCTCCTGACCTCGTAATCCGCCTGCCTCGGCCTCCCAGAGTGCTGGGATTACAGGCATGAGCCACCACGCCTGGCCAACAATTACGAACATTTTTAAAGCAACTCTATTGAGACATAAGATATATATGGAATATGTATGCAATAAACAAATCCAACTGCTGCAATAAAACACACCCGCATTTTAAGTGTACACTTCAACAAATTTTAACACATTTTTATACCCATGATGTAACCATGATGACAATCAAGATACAAAACATTTTCATCGTCTCAGAAAGTCCCTCACATCTCTTTATTGAGGTCTTGTTAATTTCTCTCAGCATCGCTTTGTATTTTTTATTATACAGATCTTATATATATTTTCCTAAATTTTATTTTAACAAGATTATAAATGTACTCAATAAAAATATTTTCTGCCAAGATTTCACGTCAGCCTAATTCAATTTCGTCTTTACATTTTTCAATTGACATCTCTACCTCAGTATGTTACATAAAAATACCTTCTCCAGAAATTGCATATGGTTTGGAGCAACCATATGTGAGCTCACAGCGTCAGCCTCATTCACCATGTGAACCAATCAAGTGTTAGTGCTGCTCTGTTTCCAGGTAAAATATACTTATTTACATGTATTGGAAAAGCTGTGAAATTTCTGCAAGGTGTACTTTAAGAAGAGATACATTTTGTTAATGAAAACATACCTATGCGTTAAGATTAATTAAAGGGAATATTTTGCAGTTAAGCACATGATTTGGAATGAGGGGTTGCAGCCCTGCTGGTCAAGCCTCTGAATTCCATTCTTGTTTCTCCCATAGGCCACCTTCATCAGGTCTATAGTTCTACAACACAGAGTGTCAGTAGTAGGGAACGTTGTTCATGTGAGTGCAGGGAATACTTGGGATTCTGTAGTTTCTGCTCAACTTTGCTGTGGACTTAAAATTGCTCCAAAAATACAATTCACTAATTTAAAAATGGATCCAAGTATTCAGATGGAGAATTACCATATTGGAGGCACGAAATGGGAACATACTGTTGAATCTGTTGCAATATAGGAAGAGTGTTTAATGACATAAACTTTTTCATTATTTACTCCTTTATCTAGGAAATAGGACACTATTTAACACTGACTACAATGAGGATCTTAAATACAGTAGAACTGTCTAAATTCCATCAATAAGAATAGTGCATATATTACCAATATTGGGATCTGAGGTGTCTCAGAATTAGTAACACATAGTACTGTAGAGATTATTTTAAAACATAGTGTGGAGATAATTTTGTGATTCCATTTTAGGAATACTATTTCTGATTACATGGTTTCTTAGCATAAAGCCTTACTCCTTCATGCAAGAGAGTATATACTATCATACTATGTCCCTGTAGTTTTCTATTCCAATAATGCTCCTCAGGAATAAAATATACATGATAATCATGATGATGATATGGATAATGATGAATATAATTGATAATGCAGACAGTATGTAGAAAGATAGATGATAGAATTTGTACCATGTTTCCAGGACTAGAACACAATCATGGTAAGTATAATATAATACCTGTTATAATTGAAGTCTGTAAACAGTCTAAAGAAGTAGTTTAAATTGTTTCCCTTGACACCTTGACAAATCTGCAAACTACACATATAGGCTAAGTACTTCCGAGGCTATATGAACGTTCTAAAAAACATTTCCTGTCTGTGGATTCCAGCATAATGCATATTCTCTTCTAAGGCAGAAGTTTTTAACCTGGGATCCGTGGACCTCCAAGGAGTGCAGAGATAAAATTCAGGGAATCAATAAATTTGAATGGGAAAATAGATCTTTATTTTAACTAACCTCCAACTGAAATATACCTTTCCTTCTATGATATAATGAGTAAACCATAGTAGTTTTAGTAATATCAGTGACAAAGTCAATGACAGAAATCACAGACATTTGCTTATATGTTGCATAGATGACAGTTGATATAAAAGTCAGATATTTTCATACCATGTTAAATGCAGTAAATATACTTTCATCACTATGTTGAAATCATGACAGTTTTCAGATTCAGCAGGTTATATTTCATATAATGAAATTTAAAGGTGTTCCTATATTAATATATGAGAATTTAAAAAAATTGATATCTGCATTTCAAAATAATTTTCTATATTCTAGTTTATGCATTTAAAATGTTATTCTGAGATGGGGTCCTTAGGATTTACCAGTCTGACAAAGAGGTCCCTGGTACAATGTGAAGAACTCCTGGACACAGAATTAGATCCTCAACGCAGGCATGATTGACAACCTGAAGCCTAGACCTACGCATTGGAAACAACTATGTTGCAAGCATTCTTTCTCAGAGTTTCACCCACACTGCCGCACCTCTTAATGCTTCTCACTCTAAATAATTACTTTATATTCTCTTTCTGTCTCTCTCCTGCTCTTTGTTTTCTCTCTCTCTCTCTCTCTCTGCCTTGTTTTTCTTCTAGGAGGGAACAGCAACAGCTTCTAAACCCCACCAGCTTGCAACCAAAAGTTTCATCATGAAAGCATCTTTTAATTGCAGATAACCTCAGAAATAGAACAACATTTGTCTACCAAAACAAAAGCATTCATTAAGAAATCAGCTAGGATCCTATTTTTATTTACTAAAACTACTTGGAAGAACCCATGTTATACAATGAATTTACACTCATACAAATTTCTACTCAGTTGGAAAATGAGACTTTAGTCAGCTGGTACAACCCTATGACCATAAATGTCTCATTTCACTTGATACAGTATTGACTTCCTAACTTCCTGTGAATTAGAACTTCAGGTCCAGAAAGTAATAAGAGCAAACGCAAATCTAGTGTTTCTTATGTACTAAGAACTGTTCTAAATGCTTTATTTATGTAATGTTCATCACAGGTTTTGGGTAGTTACTTATTATCTCAATTTTACAGATAAAGTGAAATTGAAGAGATGCTCTGTAACTTTTCCAAGGTTACATAGCTGCGAAATGGCAGAGACAGGACTAAAGCCCATGCCGTGTCCCAAGTCCCTGCTCTAATCCATTGTCACAAGGGAAGGGGCGCTTCAGACACTTTGCTATTCCTAAAATTGCAGGAGTAGCCCCCACCCCATCTCTACTGTATTAATTATTTATAGTGAATACAGAGGGTGTAGAGAATCGGTTCTTTAAAAAACAAAAACAAAAACAAAACCACTAAACTTCCAAACCCCTTCTTGTGTTGAGTTGAGCACAGGTGCATGGCACTCTGTGTATGACTCTGACCAGGAAGTGAGGGATTGGCTCTTCTGACCATGCAGGCAGGCACTTGTCCATTTAGAAGGGATATAAAAAGCTTCTATAAGCAGAAGAGGAGGTGCATGTGACTTGATCGCTCTAATTCTTAGTCTCACCATCTGCAAAATCAGCTGTGAAAATCAGTCATCACGTAGCAATGACAAATTCTTTATATTAAGCCCCGGGGAGGGGCTAGATCTCAGCCCCTTCCCTTGGCCTCTCTCTCTCTCTTAGAGCCTGTGTCTGTAACTTCAGAGAGATTTTGTCGCTGCCATGGGGAGCTGGGTCCTCTGCTATGTGACCCTGTGTCTCCTGGGAGCAGGTGAGCTCAGCACACATCCAGGTGGTCAATTCCTATTCTGGGCTTGCCAGGCCCTTCCCTGGCCAGCACCTCCCTTCCAGGCATGATCTCCAGCCTTTGTCTCTTGGACCCTTGGATGCTGACATCTATCAGATGCCATTCCAGCTCACTGGGGCTGGATGGGATGTGACTCTGGAGTGGAAACGGAATTTGAGACACAATGACATGTACTGCTACTGGTACTGGCAGGACCCAAAGCAAAATCTGAGACTGATCTATTACTCAAGGGTTGAAAAGGATATTCAGAGAGGAGATCTAACTGAAGGCTACGTGTCTGCCAAGAGGAGAAGGGGCTATTTCTTCTCAGGGTGAAGTTGGCCCACACCAGCCAAACAGCTTTGTACTTCTGTCCTGGGAGCGCACCACAATGGAAGCACAACCATTGTCTCTCTGTGCGGAAATGTGTCCTCACCCTACAGCCCCCACCACATCCTCTAGCTTAATTTTTTCATTTTTAATATTTTCTTGAGATTTTACTATGTCCTGTTACTTTTGCAAACACAAAAGATACAAAACTGAAAAGAAAATAGATCCTTTATCCAAGGAGCTAAGAGTCTAGCAATAAAGTAGTTATAACAGAATGGAAAATATAATGTATAATACTAAAATCAGAAGTCATTTGGGAGCTTTAGGGAGGACATGCCCAATTCTGTCTGATTGAATCAGAGAAAACAAAGAGGAAGTCACATTAGAACTTCACCAGCTAGACCTGGTTCTGAGTAGGGCATTCTGGGCAAAGAGAACAGCTTTTGCAAAGGCATATTAAAGAGTTTGTCACTTTGGGGAACAGTTTACAAAGAGAAAGAAGATGATCAATTTATATGAATCAAAAGAAATGGAATACATTTGAGGAAGTAGACAGAAAGGAGTTTTTGAAAAAGTTGAGTTTTTGGTTCCATGAATACAATAAGTATGAAAGTCCTTTGTAGGCTGTTGCTCAAAAGAGAGAGCTGAAGCTTCATTGTCATCAGCAGACAAGCAAACAATACAATTTTTCAATATATATATATATTTTCCTCATGTAACTTTGAAATGATACTATTTTTCCATTTTCCTCATATAACTTTGATCCTTAACAAAGGGCACAGTTTCAAACAATATGAAATCATGTTAGCAGTAGCAGTTCCCATTTGGGATAATAGGGTTCAACTGTCTATGGAACAATGAGATAAAAACTAGAAGCAGGCAACTGCATAGACAAGATGTGAAATTGAGATGCCATAAGGCTGGACTAGAGGTTGAGATTCTGCAGATTTCAGCATGTAAATAATTGAACTATGGGGACAGAAAATTCCAACCAAATATAGATTTAGATCACAGAGATAAAAGGCATGGAAGTTAAGACTGTGGTATTCTGGTTCCTTATGGAGATTAAAGAAGCCTAAGAGTGAGGAGTGATTAGAACATGGGATGTAAAAACAAAAGAGGGAAAGAGAGAGAGTGAGAGTTTTGTTTTGTCTAGTATTTGATATTTCTAAGAAAATTCGGGAAAAAAATAAAGGTAACCCAGGCAGAAGAAGCCGCAAACACTTCTTGGGTAACAGGGAATAGTTGGTAAAATGTCATATGTTAGTTTACTGAGGTGCACAGAACCTTTTCCACTGAGGTTCCTTTTGGAAAGACACAAGACTTAGCTAAGATTCCAAGAAATCACCAAAGTAGGAAATGAAAAGCCTCCATGAATGAAGTTGCATGAGTCTCCTACCAGTGGATAAAGGATAGGATAGGATAAAAGAATAGCTGCAAAGGATAAAAGAATAGCTGAGGCACTGAAGTAGAAGCTCCAAGTGAGAGGACTAAATCTAACAAACATGAAGAATTATTATAAAACCACAACAATAAAAGTGGTGTAATATAAGGGCATTGATATATAAATAGGTCCAAGGAAAAAAATACATGTTCATAAACACAGAGCAATGGTACTGCAACAATCAAAGAATATAATTTTCAATAAATGGTGATAGGAAAATTGGGTATCTATATAAAGAAAAATAAGTGCAATTGGACACATCTCAATATATAGCCAAAATCAATCCCAGCTATATTAAAAGCATAATTGTAATAAAATCACAAGGCTTCTAGAATACTGTATAAGAGCACATCTTCATGGCCTTAAAGCAGGGAAAGAGTTCTTATTCCCTCAATCATAGGGAACAGATTGATAAAAATGGCTATATCAAAATTAACATATTGAATTTATCAATGTTAATTATGTAACAGTGACAAGATTGACTGTATAGTGACATATCATTAAATATCTATATATTTATACCAAATTAATATCCCTATTTATATTTATATTTTCAAGAAAAGCTAGTATATAAATTTTTTAAAAACCTACAAACTAATTTTTCTACAGATCAATGAGAAAAAGGTAACTGTCAATGGAAAAAGTGAGTGAAAACCATAAGCACCTAGCAAAATCTCACTGGTCATTAAACATGTAAATGTGGCTATATTTAATAATCAGGGAAATAGAAATTGAGTCCAACGAAATATATACCCACAAGAATGGCTACGATGATAAAAATAGTAACTATCAAGTGTTGGCAAGGCAAAGTGTCAACAAGAACTCTCTGAATCACTGGCTAGAGTGTATATCGGTAGATCCAGTTTGGAAAACAATTTGGTATTATCTAGTAAAGTTCAAGATGTGTGTACCCACTATCCATCAATTCCACCCTTGAGAAAGGCTTTTCTAGAGAAACCCTTCTACGAAAATCAGGACAAGAATATTCACTGTAATACATCTGTCATGGCAAAAACGTATAAAATATCCAAATGTAACTTAAGAGAAGAATAAATCCTGGTTATTAAAAAGAAATTACACAGCAGTGAAAATTCATGAACTAAAACTAAACACACAAACATGAATGAATTTCACAAATTTGAATGAAAAATTACATTGCAGAAGAAAGGTACAGTATTGTCTCGTTTGTGTAAAGTTTGAAAGCATCTAAAACTAAACACTATTTTGTTTGCTTATGTGCCTATGCATTAAAATATAAAAGAGAAGCAAATAATTACAAAAACAAACACCTCAATAGAGTTAGAGAACAGAGGCATGGAATCTGGGAAAAGAAATAAGAGCTTTCAAATATTCTGGTAATCTTTTATTTCCTGTGCCAAGTTGTTTTTTTAAGTGATCATTCTGTTGGTATTTTATCAAGTTATTATCTATATATTCAAAGTCCATTTTGTAATGTGGAGAAAACAACCTCACTGAACAATTAAATTAGTAAGGAGAAATCTATGGAAAGATATACATTAAGCTGTTAACATTACTTACCTGAAATGAGGATGAGATGGAGGAAGAGAAAAGTAAGCGAAAAAAAAAATCATCAAAAAATGCACAATTTAAAATAAATAGTTACAGAGAGAAAAAGCAAAAAAGGGAGGTTATGTAAAAGAAGCACTAGTAAATGAACAAGCTAAAATACACCAGAAAGAGCTAGAAGGTGAAGTATTTTTCAAAGCAGTCACTAGTTTCAGAATCATAAAGATAGCAATTACAACAGAGATCTGAAATATATAAAAGATAATTAGATAACTAATAGCCAGAAGGAATGTCCAGTCTTGAGTTAGAAACTGATGCTCAAATTAATGGCAAAGGACGTTTTTGAAACAACTGTGAAACTTTGCATAAAAACTAAATAGTAGATAAGATGAAAATGCATCGATGAGAAAGGATGATCATTAACTGAAAAAAAGCTTATCAAACAGAATTTCAAGAATATTGTTTACTAAAAAAAGTGTCTATATATCTACACATTTATATATGGGGCAGAGAAGGATCTAGAAAGACTCACTAAGGTGTTAACAGTGATAATTGCTTTCTGGCAGTGGTATCATATTTTTATTTTGTTATTTTATTTTCTAACTTTCTAAAATATGAGTGTATTGCTTATATTAGCAAAAATAGACATAACATATTTTTAAATGAATACAAAATAACTGAGTTATATTTCCTGAGTTAGGATAAAAGCTTTTTTTCCCTGATACTATGAAGTGTTTTTGCTCAGGAACATGAAGCAATAACATGATGATTATAAGTCAGTGGAGGGATCACGTCACAAGAAGGTGCAGAAAGGGGATGAAAAAGCCTCATCCCTTTGCAACGTCAATGCGATCATGGGCACCAGGCTCCTCGGCTGTGCAGCCCTGTGTCTCCTGGCAGCAGATGCGCCCTGAGCACAAAAGAAAAATCCTTGTCCTGGGCTTGCCAACCAGCAGATCCAAGCTTTGTTTTGTTTTGTTTTGTTTTGTTTTGTTTTGTTTGTTAAGCTCTTTCCTGGACTCTTTCTACAGCATCTGTTTCTTTCTCTTACAGACTCTTTTCATGCCAAAGTCACACAGACTCCAGGACATTTGGTCAAAGGAAAAGGACAGAAAACAAAGATGGATTGTACCCCCGAAAAAGGACATACTTTTGTTTATTGGTATCAACAGAATCAGAATAAAGAGTTTATGCTTTTGATTTCCTTTCAGAATGAACAAGTTCTTCAAGAAACGGAGATGCACAAGAAGCGATTCTCATCTCAATGCCCCAAGAACGCACCCTGCAGCCTGGCAATCCTGTCCTCAGAACCGGGAGACACGGCACTGTATCTCTGCGCCAGCAGTCAATCCACAGCACTGAAATGTCAGTTCCTCTTAGCACACAAACTTGTCACAGACCCAGCTCAGGAAGCAGGTGATGTATTAGGCTGGAAGGGAGTAACAGAAAATAACTGGAGCCAGCTTAAGCCACAGTGTAATTTAACACAAGGATAAAGGGTGTTTAGCAGAAGTCAAGAGGTGATAGAAGTTCTGAAAAGGCACCACTAGGGCTGGGCTCTAGAATGGCTATCTCTCCAGCGCTGATTTTTATTCAATTTTGGCTGCTGAATGCTTTTCTCTCCCTGTACACCATCTCTTTTTCTCCAGGCCTCGTGGTGAGAATGAGATGGTCACTAAAGATTACAAATTCAGTTGCCATCATTTCCCTACACTGATAAATACCAGGCTGGCTCTTTCTAAGCCTCAATTCAAAATCCCAAGAGAAAAAAACAGATCAGTCATGATCCAGCCATTAACCTTCTCACAGAGCACTCAGCAGGAGGCATGTATGTATATATTTAAAATCACATAAATATTACTTTTCCACTCAGCTCAAGCAAGGGAAGTGCTCCGTTTTTCTGTATGTACATTTGGTCTTGTTGCTTCTACATGATAGAGAGTACTCATACCCATTTCTTCAGAAATACATAGCCAGATTTTCTCCAGTTTTCTGCCAGAATTGAAAATTCTTGTACAAATACCTTCATAGACTTGTATGATTGCTTTATAGGATTATATACCCAGAGCAAGTCATGATTGCTGAGACATGGAATTCTATGCATATTTTATCTATCTAAATACCACCACGGGTTCTTCAGGATCACTGTATACATCTGCAATCCCACATAAAAGTGAATAGGGTGTTTTCCTACATCCTAATATCTCCTTTAATCCTTATCCAGTGATCTAGATTGTTCTCAGTCTAGCAATGTAAAGAGATTCCAATCTCTGTCTCTCTTTCTCTCCACCCCCCACCCCTGCAACCCTCTCACCTACTGCCAGAATATCATCAGTGTTTACCATAAAGATACAGGTGACAATTTTTTAAAACTAAATAAAACCAATAATTTAAAGGAACTGAGAGATTACGTTATACTACTATAATAATAACTGGCAGCAATCTAGAAGGCTGAATAATGTTCTCTCCCTCCTTTTCTTTCCTTTGCAATTTTCTAATTACTAATGAGTTTGAGCACTTCTTCATGTGATAGTGGTCCTGGATTTCTGTTCTCAAAATGGCCTATCCATATCCGCTGGCAAATTCTCTATTGACAGTTCTATATTTTCCTCAATGATTTGTAGGGGGTCCTGAGATATACAAGATATTAGTCTCCTTTCTGAAACTTTAGGCACTGGAAATACCACCACCCAATATGGCACCACCTCTGTCCCAGACTTCAAAGAATCAGTAGATGTGGGAGGAACCAGGTGATCTCTTACCTTAGCAGGTGCATGCGTGTTATCTCCATTATGTGAATGAGACTTCTATCTTTCACTTCCACTCTGCTGAGTGCTCAACTTGCTGTCTCTTCCATTATTACTCATGTCTTTAAGCAGCATAGAAAAGTTACCAGCCATGGCTGTCCCCAAACTACTATCACCCACTGACAACCCTTTCCATCCAGAACTGCTGAAAAAATGCTTCACTCCATTTAGCTGTGCTTTTTTACAATATGGGGCAAATTTGATTCAAATTAATTCTTATTGCTCTTTTCTAAGTGAATTATGCTGCCTGGTTATAGCAAAGGACAGAAAAACTTCACACATCTTTTTGGAAGACTTAATACTTGCCCACACATTATCTCTTTTAGGGCCAAATTCCATCCACTGCAAACACCTATCTCCTTGAGCTCTTGATATGACAGCTGATCCATTTTGATTTCACAAATGCTTACAGAGCAACTCCCATTCACTGAGACATAAAGGCATTCAGAAACTTTCAGCTACACTACATGGAATTTTGGTCTCTGGGGAAAGGGAGAAGAGTAAAAAGAACCATAAAAATGTATTTCAAATAATGTGTATAAGGATGACAAAATATAGATTACTTTCATGAAAAACATTAGAACATTATATTGTCTTTGGGAGTGATTTATCAGTGGATAAATTAAAACAAATTCCTGAGGAAGTTTGGGAAAAAAATAAATTTAGGAAAACAAATTTTAAATGATTTCCTGAAAACCATCAGGGTTTACCATAAAGTTAACAATTGAAAAAAATCAAATAATTTAATAGTGAATGAGAATATGAATACAGAAAATTCATATGAATATGGAATGAAATATTAGTAAAAATGTGTTTGAGAACACTTACAAATGAATTTTGTTGTCCAATTTGATTAAGAGTCTAGTCAAAGTGTTACTCTTTTAAACTACTTGTAATAGTGTCAGTTTGACAATCTGGAACAAAAACCTTTAAAATGCTTATTTTTGGGAATTTGGCTCTAAATCAAAATAGATAGTTGTTACTGTACTTGTTCTATTGCCTTAAGCCACTATAAAACTTGACAAAAATTGTAAGACAACTATGTTCAGACATCAGACAACAGGCAGTACACGTCGCCATCTCTGGGAAAGAGGAAACCTAGAAGGGGAATTTCGCTATTGTCCTAAGACTCTGCCTTGGTATGACTTCTGGGCTGCACCACAAGTATATGAAGCCCAAGCAGTGGGCAGTGGTCTACCCAGCATAGGGAGGCAGAGATTGAGTTCAGAAGTATGGACATGGCTGATAGTGATAGGGATAAGCTACTGCAGAGAAGGAAGCTATGCAGAATAAGACCTCCAAATATTTTATGAGGTCCCCTTAAGTCTTTGGTCAAAAACTAAGCAGCAAATGCATGGGAAACGCCTCCATAAGACCTGGCAGAGAACAGTTGCTGGGTAGTTGTGAGAGGAATAGAGATTCTGACAGTCATACGAGCGTGGGAGACATGAATCCTGACTGGGCAGAGCTGAGAGGCCTTGCTGAAACCCCTGGGAATGCAGCTGGCACCACATAAGGGTCACATCTCAAGAGAAGGACTACCAACGTCCTAGAGTAAACCACTCCAGAACTGCCCTAACAAAGCTCAGCAAGTCTCAAAAGGATCTCGCTGATCTTCCAATAAGTTCACTGCCTTTTGAAGAAAAATATCTCAGCACTCTCTAAATAAAGGCAAATATAAACATATACATATATATAATCTGTAGATATATAAGTCTGTAGAGAGATATGTATCTCTAGAGTGTCAACAATGCAGCATCTACAATTTTGATCTTGACATGAAAAAAAATATTAGACATGGGAAGAACTAGGAAATGTTACACATGGGAAAAAAATAAACAATAAAAACCAACCCTGAAATAATACAAATGTTGGAAATTTCAGATGAGAATTTTCAAGCAGTTATTATAGAAATATGTTCAAGAATTTGGAGGAAAATATGGTCATGATTTAATCAACTGATGAAATTGATTAACCCATAGCAATCAAGACAAAAAGGGGAAAGACACAAATTACCATATCAATGATGAAGGAAAGCATATGTCTATAGATACAAAAGACATTAAAATAGCGACAGAATATTATAAGTATATGCAATACATTCTTCAACTTAGATGAAATGAAATTTCTTGAATAATACCACTTACCAAAATGATTCAAAATGAAATAAGAAATGTAAAGAACTTCAAATGAAGGAAGTTAAATTTTTTATCAAAAGCCTTCCCTCAAAGGAAACTCCAGACCTGAATTATTTCTTCATGAATTCTATTCTAAAATTAAGGAAAAAAGACTATCCATCTTACATAAATTTTTTAAGAAAATAGAAGAGGCAGAAACACTTCACAACACTTTTATAAACCCAGCAAAAACCTAATGCCAAAATCTGTCAAATGCATTACAGAACAGTATCTTTTATGGCTGCAAATGAAAGAAAACTTTTCACAATATATTAACAAATTAAATCCAAATATGTCTCAATAAAATACTGGCAAACTGGATCCAGGAGCACATCAAAAAGCTTATCCACCACGATCAAGTTGGCTTCACTCCCGGGATGCAAGGGTGGTTCGACATATGCAAATCAATAAACGTAATTCATCACATTAACAGATCTAAAGACAGAAACCACGTGATTATCTCAATAGATGCAGAGAAGGCCTTCAATAAAATTCAACATCATGTTAAAATCTCAATAAACTAGGTATTGAGGAACATACCTCAAAATAATAAGAGCTATTTATGACAAACCCACAGCCAATATCATACTGAATGGGCAAAAGCTAGAAGCGTTCCCCTTGAAAACGAGCACAAGACAAGGATGCCCTCTCTCATCACTCCTATTCAACATAGTATTGGGAGTTCTGGCCAGAGCAATCATGCAAGAGAATGAAATACAAAGTATTCAAATAGGAAGGGAGAAAGTCAGATTGTCTTTGTTTGCAGATGACATAATCCTATATCTAGAAAACCCCATTGTCTCAGCTCAAAAGCTTCTTAAGCTGATAAGCAGCTTCAGCAAAATCTCAGGATACAAAATCAAAGTACAGAAGTCACAAGCATTTCAATACATCAACAACAGGCAAGCAGAGAACAAAATCATGAATGAACTCCCATTCACAATTGCTACAGAGATAATAAAATACCTAGGAACATAGCTAACAAGGGAAGTGAAGGACTTCTTCAAGAATAATTACAAACCACTGCTCAAGGAAACCAGAGAAGACACAAACAAATGGAAAAAGATTTAATCCTCATGGATAGGAAGACTCAATATCATGAAAACTGCCATATTGTACATAGTAATTTATAGAGTCAATGCTATTCCCATTAAACTACCATTGACATTCTTCACAGAATTAGGAAAAACTATTTTAAAATTCATATGGAACCAAAAAAGAGCCCAAACAGCTAAGACAATCATAAGCAAAAAGAACAAAGCTGGAGGCGTCATGCTACCGGACTTCAAACTATAAGGCTACAATAACCAAAACAGCATAGTACTGGTACAAAAACAGACATATAGACCAATGGAACAGAGTAGAGAACTCAGAAATGGATCACACATCTACACCATCTGATCTTCGACAAACCTGACAAAAACAAGCAATGGGGAAAGGATTCCCTATTTAATAAAAGGTGTGGGGAGAACTGGTTAACCATTTGCAGATAATTGAAACTAGACCTCTTCCTCACACCTTATACTAAAACTAAATCAAGATAGATTAAAGATTACATGGAAAACCCAAAACTATAAAAACCCTAGAATAAAATCTAGGCTATATCATTCAGATATAGGCACATAGATTTCATGATGAAATCATCAAAAGCAATTACAACAAAAGCAAAAATTGACAAATGGGATCTAAAGAGCTTCTGTACAGCAAAAGAAATTATCATCATAGTGAACAGGAAACCTACAGAGTGGGAGAAAATTCTGTAGTCTATCCATCTGACAAAGATCTAATACCCAGAATCTACAAGAAATTCAAACAAATTTACAAGAAAAAAACAAACAATCCTATTAAAAAGTGGGCAAAGGACATGAACAGACACTTCTCAAAAGAAGACATTCATGAGGCCAACAAACATACCAAAAAAAAAATCTCAACACCACTGATCATTAGAGAAATGCAAATCAAAACCACAATGAGATACCATCTCATACCAGTCAGAACAGCCATTATGAAAATGCTGGCAAGGTTGTGGAGAAATAGGAATGCTTTTCCACTGTTGGTTAGAACATAAATTAGTTTAACCATTGTGGAAGATAGTGTGGTGCTTCCTCAAAGATCTAGAACCGGAAATACCATTTGACCCAGAAATCCCATTACTGGGTATATATCCAGAGAAATATAAATCATTCTATTACAAAGATACATGCATGCATATGTTCATTGCAGTACTATTCGTAATAGCAAAGACATGGAATCAACCCAAATCCCCATCAACGATAGACTGGATAAAGAAAATGGTACATGTACACCATGGAATACTATGCAGCCATAAAAATGAATGAGATCATGTCCTTTGCAGGGACATGGATGAAGCTGGAAGCTGTTATCCTCAACAAACTAACCCAGGAACAGAAAAACAAATGTTGCATGTTCTCACTTATAAGTGGGAGCTAAACAATGAGAACACATGAACACAGGGAGAGGAACAACACACACTGGGGTCTGTTGGGGGGTGGAGTGGGGGGAGGGAGAGCATTAGGAAAAATAGGTAATGCATGCTGGACTTAATATCTAGGTGATGGGTTGATAGGTGTAGCAAAGCACCATGGCAAACATTTACCTATGTAACAAACCTGCCCATCCTGCACATGTACCCCAGAAATAAAAAAAAAAGAAAGTAGAGTTGCTATAAAGTACATCTACTGGGGGGGAGGTAAAACCAGATAATTCACTCAAATTTTGATGAACAAAAGCTTCCAAAAATTAATTTTCTTCAAAAAATAGAACATTTACTTTTGGATCAAAAATAAATAAATAAATCCAAATATGTATGGATATATGTATATATTTGTGTGCATATACATATGTGTATATGTGGACAATTCTACAACATGTCCAAGGGAGTTTATTGCAGGAGAAACAGTGGTTTAGCATTCCAAAATCAATATACTTTTGCTGTACAGAAGCTCTTTAGATCCCATTTGTCAATTTTTGCTTCTCTCAACTAATGTGATCACCAAGAATAGTTCATATTCAGCTCCCAAATATTAATTCCACTCAAATTACTGCCCACAGCAGGGGGCACCAAAACAGCATGTTTACTTTAAGAATTGCAAATAAGGGCAATGATTTTTTTTTTTTTACGTTGAAGACAAAGCCAAAATAAAAGTTTTTATGATCATTGTCTTGTTTATATTCATCAGATGCCTGGCTAAGGAATTTACTGGAACAAATCCGTATTTTCATTCATATTACTAATGGAGAACTCTAACCAAAAAGAGAAGAAGGGAGGGGACACTGGAATATGTCATCTGGAGTGTAGGCAAAGGCTGTAAAATGTGCTTGGGTACTCCTAAATAAAGCAACAACTATTCAAAATTACACAGGAGAGGCAGAAGTGGTGAAGGAGGAGGTAGATGAACAAGAGAGGCCATGAGGAGTTGGTAATTACCAAAGATGACTCATGTGAGGACATGAAGGCTCATTGTTTATTAAGCCTACTTTGTATATGTTTGAAATTTTTAGAATTAAAAGTAAAAATATCTAAAAATAAGACTTTACCAATTTGACATGCAGCAGGAATGATTAGGGTAGGATGCCATGGTGTATCCATGCATGAGGGAGGGTCAGTGATATGGACAGGAGACGGAAATACTGGGTAGAAGAGGGTGGTTTCCCAGCAAAGGCCCCACCCTCAAGCCTGGAGACCTGCAGCTGTAAATGGGGACAAGCATTCCTGTTTTCATTCCCAAAAAGTTGTCTTTTGACCCACCATGCCCCCTTTCTTTTACCCATATAAACCCCAAACCCCAGGCTTCAGAGGCAGAGAAGCAGGCTAGGAGACAAGCAGAGGGAGGGCAGAACAACGTGGCAGAGAAAAAGAGGAGGAACGTCTGAAACCCGAGAGGAGTTCAGCTGGAGGTGGTCAGAGAAGAGTTCAGTCCCTGGATGGCCAAACTCCAAGGGGAAGATCATCTTCTCACTCCATCCCCCCTTCCAGCTCCCCATCCATCCCACTGAGAGCCACTGCCACCACTCAATAAAACCCCACATTCATCCTTCAAGCCCATGTGTGACCCAATTCTTCCAGGACGCTGGGCAAGAGCTCGGGACACAGAAAGCTGTCACACTGGCCCTCTGCCCTTGCAAAAAGGCAGAGGGTCCACTGAGCTGGTTAACACTCAAGCCGTGTGCAGATGGCAGAACTATCTGCCCACTTGGGCTCCTGCATCTGTCCCTCTGTGTGTTCCCTTTCCCCTCAGGGGTTTGAGCAGTTGCAGCAACTGAAAAGGTGAGCAACACTCCTGTCGCACGTCCTTCCAGGGGGGTCAGGGAACTCTTCCTTTTTCACCAGGACGAGCACAGATCTGAAGCAGCAAAGAGCCAGTTGTTTATTACATTGAACAATGTTTCACACTATCACCATAACTGTTCTGTACTTGCAATCTGCTGCATTAAATATTAGCTCTTTCCTCCTAAAGTCAGGAATAATTTGTGTTAGAATAAAATGAATTCTTTAATGAACAACTGTATTTTCAGCTAATTCAAAATAGGAATGAAGGCGTTAAGTACTTCTTTGAAGCACATACCCACATTAAACTAACATCTTTCTACAATAAGCCAATATTTTTAATAAAGCTCTGTGCCCAGAAAACATTGACCAGAAAAGCAGGAGCCACTAAAAAATAGGAGCAATTTGAAACAAAGTTAGGAATCCTGTCCTTCTTACAACAAAAAAGTCTCAAACTTTACAGAGAATGTATTCAAATTGCATAGTTTACCAAGAACTGAGTTAGAATAAATGATTAAATGCAGAAAAAAAGGAGAAGAGTTATAATGTCCTATCATTCAAGTGAGACTAGACTTCCTTTATTCGAAATTCAATTTGGTTTTGAATTTTCTCCAGCCTGTTTTATCAGGAGGATGATGTCACCTTGAACAACTGAAATGGATATGCCCTGAGAAAGGGGAGAGATACAACTCTCTGGTGGTTGCCAGTAAAGCGCCAGAAAAACAGAAGAGAAGCAAGTAGAAGAATTTCAGCATCTGCTAAGAACATATAATACATAAGCCAACATGGCATCTTTCTTTAAGACCCAGTACCTTGGGAGGGACAATGACATCACTTCCTGAATCCTCCCAGTTTTCTATTTCCATGCCCTGCTTCCCTCAACATCCAGAGCTGGAAACACCTCCATCCTGCCTCTTCATGCCATGGCCTCCCTGCTCTTCTTCTGTGGGGCCTTTTATCTCCTGGGAACAGGTGAGTTTGGAACACAGATGGGGAAATCACTGCCTTAAATTTTCCAGGTTCTGAATTAAGCCTATCCTCAGAGATTGCAGCACGAGGATATTTACCAGTTTCTGTCTTCAATTTCTGTCTTATTTCCCACAGGGTCCATGGATGCTGATGTTACCCAGACCCCAAGGAATAGGATCACAAAGACAGGAAAGAGGATTATGCTGGAATGTTCTCAGACTAAGGGTCATGATAGAATGTACTGGTATCGACAAGACCCAGGACTGGGCCTACGGTTGATCTATTACTCCTTTGATGTCAAAGATATAAACAAAGGAGAGATCTCTGATGGATACAGTGTCTCTCGACAGGCACAGGCTAAATTCTCCCTGTCCCTAGAGTCTGCCATCCCCAACCAGACAGCTCTTTACTTCTGTGCCACCAGTGATTTGCACAGTGCTTCTTGGCCACCTGCTCTCTACACAGAAAGACAGACACATGGGTGAGTTGTTTGCTCTGAAGGGTACCTGGATGTGGGTTGTGGGATGTGGGGTGTTTAGAGCTTTCAGTGGTCTTAGGTAGTGTGAGCTAAGGGCCACTTTGGATCAATGTCCCCAAGCCATGTGATGACTCTGAAAGCACAGGCTACACTGAATCAATCTCCCCTGTCTATTTATTTTTCCTAGGGAGCTAGACGAATGGTGACCTTTCAGGAGAAGGAACTTGAGCATTTGACAGAAGCTCATGATTTTCAACAAGAGCATTTCTTATGAGCTGAATACAATGCAGTTTTTATAGTCCTTTTGCCATTATTTCCACCCACTTTGCAACATCCCACACTTTGTTCTGTTCCCACTGACAGCTCCTTTATCCTGTCTAACCTTTCTCTGCCCCAGTTCTTCCAAGCTCAGCTCCACCATTTAGCTCTATAATTGATTGCCTTTCTACTAAAAACAAAATAACTAGCTTGTTTTCTAAAACTTCACTGTAAGTAAATTTAATTGTCATTAAATCTGACTCAGAAGTTAAAGTTCAAGTAACAGAGACTGTGATTTACAAAAGTAATTTTTCATCTACTACCCCACACTTTGATCTCTGCTGAGATTCATTTTAACCTGCAGGTGCAGATAGACTTGCATTATTATCTGGATGTACTGAATTTCAAAAAATAAAATTCCCTGTCCCCAGTATGAGGTCAAAGCTAGGAGCTTGGAAGTGCCCCTTGTTTCCAGGCACTAGAATAATTCCCTGGTTCCCCTGCTGTGGGGATTCTTTTAGGAGCCAGTGAGGCCCAGGCACAAAAATAATTGATCAAGGACTGCCAGAGCTTGACGTAAAAGTCTTCCTGAGAATCAAGTTGATGTCTTCCTCATGGATTTAGTCTTCTTGTCCCATAAGCCTCAATTATTTCAGCAAACGAATCCATGGGACTTGGTGACTGTTCAGAAATGAAGAATCCAACTTGTTCCCTTTTCTACCTGTTCTCATGTGTAAAGCGTGTTACTTTTAGGGATTCTTTCTCATTGGCTTCCATTTAAAAAACAGGTTTCTCCAGAGTTTTGTTTCCTGCTTTCTATGCACACCTCATCAAGTCTTATCAGCAATAATAATTCTTCCCTTACAAGCTGTTAACTGTCCCAGTTAATTGTCTCCTGGACATTTCTGATAGATTTCCCCAGGATTTTTCCTTCTGCCCTCCTTTTTCCTCAGTACACATGTCTTTCCTCAACCTTCGCATTCATTGTCATGACAACTTCTTTCATAGGTTCCTGCCTGGCAAATTCAACTATCTACTGGACACTTGAAGCTGGATGCTCCATAGGCAATTCAAACTCAGTTTATCCCTGAAATAAACTGCCTCTCCATCCTTGCACTTGCCCATTTTGGCCACACACTGTATTTCTATCTCAGTGATTGGAACAGCCCTTCTAGGTTCCTCATTTTTGCTATGCCTCATATTAAATCAGTTTCTAAATCTATTACTTGTATATCACACATTGTCATAGTTTGTGTTCTCCAAAAGCAGATTTTGAGAGGAAAATTAGTGTGCGGGAAGGTTTGTGGAAACTGCCCTTGCAGTCCACGTGGGCAGAGGGAAATGGGGCAGAGGGAGAAGTTGGGCTTTGCTGTATCCTCAACAAAGTCCTTCACTCACCCCACAGGGAGCTCTGAGTCTGGATGGTCCTTTAGTGCCATCCCAAGGTGAGATGGCAGGTCTTATTCCCACTTTCCTTGTAACCATGTCATTATATGTGAGTTGCTCTGAGAAGCACTCATGAATTTGATGGGGAGGAAGTGTCTCTTTAGAACAAGACCATTCACAGAGAGATGTCGGCATCACAGTTTCTAATATACACATATTTATCTGATTCAGTTACCCCTCTCCCTCCTCATTGCTTCTACCTCAGTGCAGACCCTCATCACTCATTGCCTAGAAATAAATGCAATGCCCTCTCCCTGGCTTACTAGCTTCTTACCCCTTTCCCTTACCCTATTTCTCACATTGCCACCAGCATGACCACATATGACATTCCTCACACAACACACAAAGCCCTTTGGAAATGGTTCTCCAACTAAACATCTGGCCAAATTGGCCGAATTCACTCCAGCACTTTAGACTGTAGCTGAACTGAACTTTTTATATTTCCCTGAATATACCAGCCTGAATTGCACAGGTGTACCTTTGCCAAAGCTCTTTCCTTCATCTGAAATGAGCTTCTTTATTCCTTTTTTGTCAAAACTAATTTTTTAATTGCAAATTTTATTACAGATTAGTGGGCACATGTTGTGCAGGTTTGTCACATGGGTAAATTGCGTGATGCTGAGACTTCAGGTCCCAACAATCCCATCACCCAGGACATAAGCATAGAATCCAACAGGTGATTGTTCAGCCCATGCCCTGCTCCCTCCTTCTCCCATCTAGTGAGCCCCAGTGTCTATGGTTTCTATCTTTACAATCATGTGTATTCATTTAGCTCCCACTTAAAAGAACATATAGTATTTGATTTTCTGTTCTTGCATTAATTGCTTAAGATAATGTCCTCCAGCTCCATCCATGTTGCATAAAGGGAATGATTTTGTTCTTTTATGGCTGCATGGTATTCCATGGTGTATATGTACCACATTTTCTTTATCCAGTTCACTGTTTTGTTTTTTTTTTTTTTTTTTTTTTTTTTGAGACGGAGTCTCGCTCTGTTGCCCAGGTGGGACTGCGGACTGCAGTGGCGCAATCTCGGCTCACTGCAAGCTCCGCTTCCCGGGTTCACGCCATTCTCCTGCCTCAGCCTCCCGAGTAGCTGGGACTACAGGCGCCCGCCACCGCGCCCGGCTAATTTTTTTTGTATTTTTAGTAGAGACGGGGTTTCACCTTGTTAGCCAGGATGGTCTCGATCTCCTGACCTCATGATCCACCCGCCTCGGCCTCCCAAAGTGCTGGGATTACAGGCGTGAGCCACCGCGCCGGGCCCCAGTTCACTGTTAATGGGTGCTTAGGTTGATTCAATGTCCTTGCTATTGTGTATAGTGCAGCAATGAACATAATGGGTACATGTGTCCTTATGACAGAATAAATTATTTCCCTTTGGGTATATATCCAGTAGTGGGATTGCTGGGTCAAATGGTAGCTCCATTTTAAGTTCTTTGAGAAATCTCCAAACTGCTTTACACAGTGGCTGAACTGGTTTGCATTCCCACTAACAGTGTATAAGTGTTCCCTTTCTTCTGCAGCCTCACCAACATCTATTGTTTGAAATAAATCTTGAGTGCCTGGCTAATCCTCACATATCCTTTAATTCTCAGATCAAAGATGAGCTTATCTATAACAGTTTTTCCAATGTCTGTAGACAAAGATTCAGCTTTTCTCTTGTGTGTGATAGTTTATGCATTTCAAAGTTATCATAGTTGTTATGTCCCTTCATACTTCTTTAACTTTTATTTTGGGTTCATGGGGACATGTACAGGTTTGTTATAATAAACAGTTATATGCAAAACTGTGATGCTGATCTCTTTCTTTTTATGGCTGCATAGTATTCCGTGATGTATATGTACTATATTTTCTTCATCCAGCTTACTGTTGGCGGCCTTTTAGGTTGATTCCATGTGTCTGCTATTGTGAATAGTGCTGCAATGAACATCTGTGTGCATGTGTCTTTATGATAGAATGATTTCTACTCTTTTGGGTATATGCACAATAATGGGACTGCTGGGTCAAATGGAAGTTCTGTTTTCAGTTCTTTGAGGAATCACCATACTGCTTTCCATGATGGCTGAACTAATTTACACTCTCACCAGCAGCATATAAGCAATCCCTTTTCTCAGCAGCCTTGTAAGGATCTGTTATTTTTTGACTTCTGATAATAACCATTCTGCCTGGTGTGAGATGGTATCTCATTGTAGTTTTGATTTGCATTTCTCTGATGATTAGTGATGTTGAGCATTTTTTCATATGTGTGTTGATCACATGTATACCTTTTGCTGAAAAGTGTCTGTTCATGCCCTTTGCCCACTTTTTAATGGGGTTATCTGTTTTCTGCTTGTAAGTTTAAGTTCCTTATAGAATCTGGATATTAGACCTTTGATGCATATATAGTCTGCAAATATTTTCTCCCATTCTGTAGTTTGTCTATTTACTCTGTTGATAGTTTCATTTGCTGTGCAGAAGCTCTTTAATTAGGTCTCATTTGTCAATTTTTGATTTTTTTGAAATTGCTTTTGGTATCTTCATCATGAAATCTTTGCCAAGTCATATGATTAGGATGGTATAATATTTCCTAGGTTATCTTCCAGGGGCTTTATAGCTTTAGGTTTATATTTAAGTCTTTAATCCATCTTGGGTTGATTTTTGTATATGGTATAAGGAAGGGATCTAGTTCAATCTTTTGCATATGGCTAGCCAGTTATCCCCAGCACCATGTGTTGAATAAGGAGTTCTTTCCCCGTTGCTTGTTCTAGTCAGCTTTGTCAAAGACCAGATGGCTGTAGGTATGTGGCATTATTTCCTGGCTCTCTATTCTATCCCATTGGTCTATATCTGTTTTTGTACAGTACACCATGCTGTTTTAGTTACTGTACCCTTGCAGTGTAGGTTAAAGTTGGTAACATGATGCCTCTAGCCCTTGTTCTTTTGACTTAGGATTGCCTTGGCTATTTGGGCTTTTTGGTTCCACATGAATTTTAAAATACTGTTTTTTCTAATTCTGTGAAAAACGTCATTAGTAGTTTGATAGGAATATTAGGTTGGTGCAAATGTATTTGCAGTTTTTGCATTGTTGGAATTTGCCATTTGGTATTGAAATACATTCTTAAGTAAATGTGGTTATGTTATACATCGTTTTAATGAACATTTTCACTTTATGTTTTTTGCTAATTACTTATTACTTGCTACTTATTTGGTATTTATTTTAGACTATACACATGGTGTTAGACAAAAAGCAGATTTGAGTGATTTTCTTATTCAAGTTCAAACTGAGTCATAAAGTGGCAGAGATAACCCGCAACATCAGCAACGCATCTGGCCCAGGAACTGCTAATGAACATACATACAGTGCAGTGTTGGTTCCAGAAGTTTTTCAAAGGAGACGAGAGCCCTGAAGATGCAGAGTATAGTGGCAGGTGATCAGAAGTTGACAATCACCAGTTGAGAGCAATCATCAAAACCGATCCTCTTACAACTAGGCGAGAAGTTGTTAAAGAACTCGAGGTTGACCACTCTACAGTTGTTCAGCATTTGAAACAAATTGGAAAGGTGAAAAACTCGATAAGTGGGTGCCTCATAAAGTGAGCAAAACTTTTTTTAAATTGTCATTTTAAAGTGTCATCTCTTATTCTATGCAATAACAACGAACCATTTCTTGATCAGATTGTGACATAGAATGAAAAGTGGATTTTATATGACAACTGCCAACAATCATCTCAATGGTTGGCCCGAGAAGCTCCAAAGCACTTCCCAAAGCCAAACTTGCACCAAAAAAGTCATAGTTGTGGGCGGGAAGCCTCCCAGGTGCCGAGGCAAGAGACCGAGGACACGAGCTGCTCCAGTATAATAAAATATAAAATAAGAATAGTTATACCAGATATAGATCTTAGATATGATTATATATGAATATCATTAATCATTAGTTTGTAGCAATTACTCTTTATTCCAATATTATAATAATCCTCGCTCTATAATCATAACCTAGGAAAAACCAGGGTATACAGAGTTAGGAGCTGAGGAGACATAGCGAGAAGCAACCAGAAAAGAGTGCGAGCCTTCTGTTATGCCCGGACAGGTCCATCAGAGGGCTCCTTGGTCTAGCGGTAGTGTTAGCGTCAAGGAAAAACACCCGCTACTTAGCGGACCGGGAAAGGGAGTCTCCCTTTCCCTGGGGGAGTTTAGAGAAGACTGTACTCCTCCACCTCTTGTGGAAGGCCTGACATCATTCAGGCCCGCCCGCGGTTATCCGGAGGCCTAACCGTCTCCCTGTGATGCTGTGCTTCAGTGGTCACGCTCCTAGTCCACCTTCATGCTCCATCTTGTACACCTGGCTCTGCCGTTTACTTAGCAGTAGCAAATTAGTGAAAGTACTAAAAGTCTCTGATAAGCAGAATAATAGTGTAAGCTGTTTCTCTTTCTCCTCTCTCTCTCTGCCTCGGCTGCCAGGCAGGAAAGGGCCCCCTGTCCAGTGGACACATGACCCATGTGGCCTTACCTATCATTGGAGAAGGCTCACATGCCCTATCCTGCCCCTTTGTCTTGTATCCAATAAATATCAGCGCAGCCTGGCATTCGGGGCCACTACTGGTCTCTGTGTCTTGGTGGTAGTGGTTCCCCGGGCCCAGCTGTCTTTTCTTTTATCTCTTTGTCTTGTGTCTTTATTTCTATGCTCTCTCATCTCTGCACACGAGGAGAAAACCCACCAACCCTGTGGGTCTGGACCCTACACGTGGTCACTGTCTGGTGGTCTGCTGCCAGTGTGATCCACCACAGCTTTCTGAATCCTGGCAAAACCATTACATCTGAGAAGTATCTTCAGCAAATTGATGAGATGCACCAAAAACTGCAATGCCTGCACCTGGCATTGGTCAACAGAAAGGGCCCAATTCTTGTCCACAACAACATCTGACCGCAGGTTGCACAACCAATGCTTCAAAAGTTGAATAAATTGGGCTACAAACTTTTGCCTCATCTGCCATATTCACCTGACCTCTCACCAACAAACTACCACTTCTTCAAGCATCTTGTCAACTTTTTGCAGGGAAAATGCTTCCACAGCCAGCAAGATGCAGAAAATGCTTTCCAAGAATTCACTGAATTCCAAAGCATAGATTTTTATGCTACAAGAATAAACAAACTTATTTCTCATTGGCAAAAAATGTGTTGATTGTAATGGTTCCTATTTTGATTAATAAAGATGTGCTTGAGCCTAGTTATGATTTAAAATTCACCAAAACTACAATTACTTTTGCGCCAACTTAATACCATCGAATCTACATTGCTTTGGCCAGTAAGGCCATTTTAATGATATTGATTCTTCCTATCCATGTGCATAGAATGTTTTTCTATTTGTTTTTGTCATCTCTGATTTCTTTGAGCAGTGTTTTGTAATTCCTGTTGTAGAGACCTTTCACTTCTCTGGTTAGCTGTATTCCTAGGTATTTGTTGTGTGTGGCAATTATGAATGGAATCATATTCCTGATTTGGCTCTTAGCTTGTATGTTTTTAGTGTATTGGAATGCCACTTTTTAATGTTGATTTTGTATTTTAAAACTGCTGAAGTTGTTTATCAGATCAAGCAGCTTTTGGGCAGAGACTATGGGGTTTTCTAGATATAGAATCATGTCATCTGCAAATAGGGATAGTTTGACTTTCTCTCTTCCTATTTGGATGTCTATTTCTTCCTTCTGCCTGATTGCCCTGACCAGGACTCCCAGTACTATGTTGAATAGGAGTGGCGAAAGAGGGTATCTTTGTCTTGTGCTGGTTTTCTTTTTATACTGGCTCTTCACAAGGCTATATATATTCTTTAGTTAAAAGTAGACATCTCGATGGACCAGTGACTATCACCCTATTAATCAGTCATGGGAGCACTGCTGTGCATTTGGTATTTTAACTTTCGGGTATGCTATCACATCACAGAAGGCCTGGTCCCCTCCCCATCACCTGCAGCCGGACCTGTCTTTGATTCCTACCAATCACCTATATTAATTGTGCCTAAATTCAATATTCCGACAGGGCATAACTACCCTAAGGTGCTAATTAATTCATGCTTGAAGGACATAACAGTAATTAACAGACAAACACATACAACCGCTCCCCTTATTGGACTTTTAAAATGAAAATCTGCAACACCCCCCTGCCCCATCTCTGACTTCATCAACCCAGGAAAAAAGACACCTTGCCAAACTTCAAAAACAAGTAAGCCTTAATTCAACTCTGCCAGAGCCCAAAATATTTGTATTTTAGCTTTGGGTATCCCCAACAGCTACCCCTCAACTAATGCAAATTTTTTTAGGAAACTAACCCCTCACCAATCTAATTCTACTTTTACAACAATTATATCTAACACGCACGCCCATCCATTACTAAGCCCATATCCTAAATTTACACACCCCGAAAGGCATCATCTGTCACCTTGTACTACACCAACCACTCGCGAGTACTAAAATCTACTCCACCAACTCCTGCTAACTCAACTTTAAATCCCTGAACCCTACAACTGTGCATATTGCCTGTATCTTCTTCTATACTCCAATTTTGCACTTAACATATATACAGTTAATGTAGCTTAATTATTTAAAGCAAGACACTGAAAATGTCTAGATGGGCTTATACAGCCCCATAAACAGACAGTCTTGGTCCTGGCCTTTCTATTAACTCTTAGTAAGATTACACATGCAAGCATCCCCATCCCAGTGAAAGTACATCTAAATCACCTTGATCAAAAGGAGTAAGTATCAGGCACGCACAAATGCAGCTCAAAACACGTTGCTCAGCCAAACTTCCACGGGAAACAACAGTGATAGACCTTTAGCAATAAACAAAAGTTTAACTAAACTATACTAATATCCAGGGTTGGTTAATTTCATGCCAGCCACCGCAGCCATACAATTAACCTGAGCTAATAGAACTCAGCATAAAGAGTGTTTTAGGTCTATCCTTAATAAAGCTAAGCTTCATCTCAGTTGTATAAAACCCGGGCTGAAATAAAATAAACTATGAAGGAGGCTTTAATACTTCTGAAGACACAATAGCTAAGACCCAAACTGGGATTAGATACCCCACTAGGCTTAGCCCTAAACTCCAATAGTTAAATCAACAAAACTATTCCCCAGAACACTACAAGCAATAGCTTAAAACTCAAAGGACTTGGCAGTGCTTTATATCCCTCTAGAGGAGCCTGTTCTATAATGGATAAACCCCAATTTACCTCACCACTTCTTGCTCAGCCTATATACCATCATCTTCAGCAAACCCTAGTAAAAGTCACAAAGTAAGCACAAGTATCTACATAAAAACATTAGGTCAAGGTGTAGCCCATGAGGCGGTAAGAAATGGGCTACATTTTCTACACCCAGAAAATCTCACAACCCTTATGAAATCTAAGGGCTCAAGGAGGATTCAGCAGTATATTAAGAGCAGAGTGCTTAATTGGATGAGGCCATAAAGCACACACACAATGCCCATCACCCTCCTCAAGTATCACTTTAGAGATTAGTTTAACTAAAATCCCTACATATTTATATAGAGGAGACAAGTCGTAACATGGTAAGTGTACTGGAAAGTGCACTTGGATGAACCAAGGTGTAGCTTAACACAAAGCATCTGTCTTACACCCAGATTTCACCATAATTTGACCACCTTGTGCCAACTCTAGCCCTAAACTTAACTAATAGTACTACCGAATAACCTTAATCAAACCATTTACCCAAACAAAAGTATAGGCGAAAGAAATTTTACCCAGGCGCAGTGGACGTAGTACTGCAAGGTAAAGATGAAAAAGTTAACCAAGAATAAAATAGCAAGGATAGACCCTTATACCTTCTGCGTAATGAATTAACTAGAAATAACTTTACACAGAGAACCAAAGCCAAGGCCCCCAAAACCAGACGAGCTACCCAAGAACAGCTAAAAGAACACACCCATCTATGTAGTAAAATAGTGGGGAGATTCATGAGTAGTGGTGATAAGCCTACTGAGCCTAGTGATAGCTGGTTGTCCAAGATAGAATCTTAGTTCAACTTTAAATTTACCTACAGAGCCACTTAATCCCCCTGTAAATTTAACTGTTAGTCTAAAGAGGGACAGCTCTTTAGACATTAGGAAACAACCTTCATGTAGAGAGTAAAAAACATTATCCCCATAGTTGGCCCGAAAGCAGCCATCAATTAAGAAAGCATTCAAGCTCAACATCCAACCACTCTAAATTCTAATCACACCACTGAACTCCTAACACCACATTGGACTAATCTATTACTTTATAGATGCAATAATATTAATATAAGTAACATGAAATATTCTCCACTGCTTAAGCCTACATCAGACCAGAATAACCCACTGACAAATTAACAGCCTAATATTAATAAACAACTCAACAAATTTATTATTACCGATACTGTTAATCCAACACAGGCATGCTCTAAGGAAAGGTTAAAAAAAATTAAAAGGAACTCGGCAAATTTTACCCTGCCTGTTTACCAAAAACATCACCTCTAGCATTATTAGTATTAGAGGCACCACCTGCCAGTGACATATGTTCAACGGCCACAGTACCCTGACCATGCAAAGGTAGCATAATCACTTGTTCCTTAAATAGGGACTTGTATGAATGACCCCACGAGGGTTCAGCTGTCTCTTACTTCCAACCAGTGAAACTGACCTGCCTGTGAAGAGGCGAACATGAATAAATAAGATGAGAAGATCCTATGGAGCTTTAATTTATTAATGCAAACAAAGCTCAGATAAGCCCACAGGCCTTAAACTACTGTCCCTGCATTAAATATTTTGGTTGGGGTGACCTCGGAGCATAATTTAACCTCCGAGCAACCTATGCTAAGACTAAACAAGTTTAAGCGAATTACTATACATATATTGACCCAATAATTTGATCAACGGAACAAGTTACCCTAGGGATAACAGCGCAATCCTATTCTAGAGTCCATATTGACAATAGGGTTTACGACCTCGATGTTGGATCAGGACATCCTAATGGTGTAGCTGCTATCAAGGGTTCATTTGTTCAATGATTAAAGTCCTACGTGGTCTGAGTTCAGACCGGAGCAAGCCAGGTCTGGTACATGTGTATTTAAGTCCTCCACACCTCCCATCTATAAGTCTTTTTAAAACAAAGAAAATATGTTTGGTTAAGAGAAGGCTGGAAATGAGAGAGGGAGTTTTACTGGACAAAAAATGTATAGAGACTTATGTAACAATTATTATCTGATATTAATATCTGATGGTAATACATAATTGATTGAGAACTAGGGTGAAGTGACATAATCCCAAACATACATGGGAGAACGTTCGGGGAAATCAAAGCTGTTTTTCTTAATGGAATCTGAGTTCTGAGAAAGAAGACATGCAAAGGAGGATGCAAATATATGAAAATATATGAAATATTTGTTGTTTTAATTGTTAACACAAATTTATATACTCATATATTTGAGTCTAATTAGAATATTTAATAAGTTAAGTTTATGCCTGGAGTCCTAGTTTTAGTATTACAGGCAAAGAAGCAGAGTTAGAAGGAAGGAGGGGAATGAATTATGCATGCTGTATTTGAGGGCCTTTGGAACTTCCGAATGCTGGTAGAGTACACAGTTGGCACTCTGTATCAATGGGGTCCTCATTTGCAGATTTAGTCAACCTCAGATGAAAAATATATTTTAAAAATTACAAAATAACAACACAACAAAAAAAATACAAAATCTAAAACACTGAGGTATACCAACTATTTGCATGACATTTACATTGTATTAGCTATTATAAGTAATCTAGAGTTGATTTAAAGTATACAGGAGGATGTGCCTAGGTTATATGCAAATACTGTGCCATTTTATATAAGAGATTTAAGCATCAGTGGATTTAAACTAATCCCCCATGAATACCGAGGGACCACTGGGTTGAGAACATGGTGCTGAAGCTCATAAAAAGCCCTTGCTGTGGGATTCTGACATAAGACACTGCATAAAAGCTCAACACACATGCCCTATAGTCAGTGTCTGTGATTCTCTGGAATCAAACTCTATTCTGTGAAAACAGGAACCGTGATGGTACAGGCTATTCTTGGCAATGGGAAATGAAACCTCAGAGGTAATCCTACTTCCATGTGGTGCAGAGCCCTGAGCTAGGAGATGTTTATCACTGTTTGGGAAACCAGAACCCTCAGCCTTTCTCCCTTCTGCCTCGCCTGAAGACAGGTGAGTCCTTTGCCATAATATGAAGTCTTAATTTAGCATTGCCACATTCTGGTTCCAGATCTTTCCCTCCTGGCTGAATATTAAGATTGCATTTTGTCTCTTGTCTTTCTTGGTATCTCTTCCCTATGCAAACTTCATGGACACTGGAAGGACTACAAAATCCTGAAAATCAAGAAACCTCCATTGAGAAAGGGGGTTTTACTAGAACAAAAATGTGTAGAGATATATACAAAAATTATATATAATAATGTCTGTCTCTGTAATTATTCACACTTAGCAATTCCCAGCACCTTCTCCAGAGGACTTCCCTAACTAAACAAGAAAGGTAGTCTTTGGGGAAAGTGTTTTCATCAATAAAAGACAAGCTATGTGTGAGTTATTCCTGCACTGGGCAGCAAGGAGTGGGTAGTTACCTCTGCCTTCGAGTACCCCTTCATTTGACTAGGACCTGAGACTCTCTCATATCTACTTCCAAGCCCAGGTTGAGCACTTCTTTTCTTTCCTTTCTTTAGTTGCTTCTACTGTGAGGTATAGATTTTACATCCAGTCACTGCTGAAGACTTTCATCAACTCATCACTCATCCTTCAGTCATCTCACACTGAGAACAACTGGGAGCCTCCCGTTTTCCTGTTTCTTTAACATTTGTCAGAATCTCCCCAAACCTCTAACACCTTTTTTTCAGCAGGGGGCAGTAAAATTCAATTTATTTTTTCTGTTCTCAGCACTTACTATTAAGACCAGATTTCATAGTAAAGTCTAAGGCCAAATCTCATTAATGATTTTAATGGTTACTTTTGTCTTAAAGGAGCCCCTGATAGGACAAGAGTATTTCAGGGTTTGGTAAATCAAAACTGTTATATTCCTTCGTGACACATGACAGAGGAAGAGTAAGCAGGGGCCCACATGTGTTACATGTAAATACATACAGACTTGAAGACATGGTGTTCAAATAGTAGAGATATAATAGTAAAAACCCAAAGCCTATGTCAGCATCATGTGAACAAAAATTTTAGTAAATACCAACTGTAGATCTTAGTGAACTAGGGCAAAGGAAGTGGACAACACTGGGAGAAATTCTGGGATTAATCTTTGTATCTCACAATCAAAACCAAAGACTTTTCTGTTAAGAAGAAATGGGGGAAAGGGCGGAGGGAGAATGGCACTTGGTTTAGACATTGTTTACTGCAGCAGCACCCAAACCATTTGTAGCAGTATTACCAAAGCATGTATTGGATTATATTTTCTGTTCTGTCATGATTGATAGTGCAATTAAAGGCAGATGGACTAAAATCATCCTAGGCAAAGGCTAAGTTGATAAAGCTGATAAAGCCTGAACACCAAGTCAGTGAAAAATGAGACTGAGAAAGTTATTATCACACAATAATAACACCATTCTGAGGACTCAGTGAATTCCAGTTACTGCTCCAAGCTCTTTACATGTGTCTATATAAATAGATTGCCCCGTTTAATGCTCACAAGTTCTCCTGCTCCTTGTCTGATCAAGCCACGCTGTTCACTGGTTCCCTCTTCTGCATGTTCTTCTCTCTTGGGTTTGCAGAGTTCATTCCTGTTCATCCTTCAGAACCCAACTCAAATGCCACTTCCTTTCCCAACCTTTTTAATTAGGTAAAATCTTGCTATTACAGGCACTCAAAGCTATGTAGTTTTTATGTTCATAGCTTACAAAACAGTTGCAATGGAATGTTTTGTAAGAATATTAAAGACTTGAGTTAAGATAAGCAAAGCATCAAGCCTACTTTGGATGAGGGAAGTCAACAAAAATATTACTCATTTGATGGGTTAAAAGGATATAGATGAAACTGTTTCAACAGGATGTCTGTGGGACCCAGGAAGTTTGCAGGGGCTGTGTCATCACACACACACAATGACATTATCAAGAGCCCATCCTGCTTCCCCACTACTGGGAGACATCCTCTCTAGCCCCAACTGTGCCATGACTATCAGGCTCCTCTGCTACATGGGCTTTTATTTTCTGGGGGCAGGTAAGTCATAGACACAGTTCATTCCAAAATCTAGAAGGAATAATTCCTCTTTGTTGGGTTTGTGCCTGGCTCAGCATCAAAGTCCATCGTGAACTCTGTTACCAATTTTTGTCTCTTCCCATAGGCCTCATGGAAGCTGACATCTACCAGACCCCAAGATACCTTGTTATAGGGACAGGAAAGAAGATCACTCTGGAATGTTCTCAAACCATGGGCCATGACAAAATGTACTGGTATCAACAAGATCCAGGAATGGAACTACACCTCATCCACTATTCCTATGGAGTTAATTCCACAGAGAAGGGAGATCTTTCCTCTGAGTCAACAGTCTCCAGAATAAGGACGGAGCATTTTCCCCTGACCCTGGAGTCTGCCAGGCCCTCACATACCTCTCAGTACCTCTGTGCCAGCAGTGAATACACAGTGCTACATGGATACCGACACTCCGCACAGAAAGGGTCGCCTCTAATGTGAGGACATCTTGCCTCCAGAAACCTCATCTTAAACTACAGAAACCCCTACAAATCTTCCCAGACTCCTCAGCCTTGAGGGACCAGTGTGCTTTAAGTAACAGTCTGGACTAAAGACTATCTCTGGCTCAGTCTCTAAGAAGCTGAGAAATGACCCAGCCCCACAGTCATCCTAGCTGACTTTTTCCTTGCATCTAGTTGTTGTTGTTCAATTGAGCTTGCACAAATTTTATCCTTCAAGATAAATGCGATAATATTTGACAGTTACCTTATGGCTAGCTGAAGAAAGTCTTTGTCAGCTAAGAAACAGGAAAAGGATCCTTTGACTTTCTACACAGGCTGTCTTTATCTCTGGTTCATGGTTTCTTCCTCATGTTAAACTTGTTCCTTCATACACAGCCACACAAAGTCCCTGCCCTTTCCTGACCCCAGTCCTGCACCTGACGGCTTCAGTTCCTCAATCTATGACTTTGAACTTAGAATAAAATTTTATTTTCACTTGAAATAAGTGATTAATGATTATTTTCACTAATATCCCTCTAAATAAATGTAATTTTAGCTATATCTGCATGAGGCCTAAGGAAAAGAAAAGGCTCCAACTTTGGCAAAGAATAGTCTTTAACAATGTCCCTGGATTCAGCCCTAAATCTCTTTGGAGACTACCCTTAGCATTGGAAGACTATCCCACGGCTAGGTGATTCTTCTGTCTTGGATATGCTGAATCTCAGGGAAGTGTTCTCTATCCACATGAGATCAGACCTGGGACCCTGAATAGATTTATTTTTCACAGAAGTATAGACTGCTGTGGAGCCCTGGGTGCTGAGCTCAGATGTGAAATCTCTGTTTTGAGGTTACCAAAAAGTAAAGTCACAGAGTCTCTGTCCTGGTTTTGCCTCCTTAAAAAGTAGCTTTAATATGTTAGAAAAGAATCTAGAAAACATCATACATATTTTATTATAAAAGTCATTTCTTGTTCATTCTTCTTTTCTGTTTGTTTTCTACGATACTAGCCATTCCTCACTCTTCTTTGTAGGCTCTTTCTATTCTCATTTTCCTTATTTTGACCTTATTTCTGGACTTTTTGTTCTTTTCCTCTTAACCTATACATACATCTTAGACAATATCATCCAATCTATTTCTTGAAGCATATGTCTCATTAGTTTCAAACTTATTCTCTAGCTGCCTACTAGATATTTCCACCTCTATATTTCATAGGCTCCTCAACTCAGCTTGTCCCCAACAGAGTTCATCATCCTCCCAATAGCATATCCTCTTTTGGAGACACCATCATCTTGGGAGGCTCATCTCCAATGGTCAGGTGTCCTTAGCAAACACCTAGAAGATTAACAACCCTCCTTACTGAACTCTTAGCCTCGTGCCTTACCCTTCTGGCCTTCTTGCAAAAGTGATATGCATCAGAGAGTTGGCCCTCTGTATTCATGAGTTCCACATCCCTGGATTCAACCAACCACAGATCAAAAATATTTTTTTCAAAAATCGTGTCTATACTGAACACATACAGACTTTTTTCGTTGTCACTATTCTAAACAATACAGTATAACAACTATTTACATAACATTGCATTGTATTTGGTACTATGAATTATTTACAGATGACTTAAAGTATATGGGAGTATATGCATAGATTATATGTAAATACTAAACCATTTTTTATCAGGGACTTGGGCATTTGTAGATTTTGTTATCCTTGGGAGGTCTTGGAACCAATTCACCAAGACACTGAGGGATAACTGTAGACAAATATGATCATGCTACTGGATCCCTTCACCATTTCTCCATGCTTCTCCCTCATATTCAAGATAAAATTTAAATTTCTTCACCTGGCTTAATGGTATTTTGTGATCTGGACTCCAGAAATTAGCTTATCTTGAACACCTTATCCTAGCTATTTTTCATCCTGGCAATCCTGAACTTCTGACCATTTTCTATAGTCCATGTTCTCTTACCCATCTGAGACCCTGTACCCACTGTCCCTCTATCTCTGAAGTCTGCACTTCTTGTCTACAGGGCTGACTCCTACTCCAGCATCTCATTAATCACTATGCTAACACAAGAAGTCTTCATCTGCTTCAGTTCTCAAAAGAAGTGAAAAGCAGACACTTCTCAAAAGAAGACATTTATGCAGCCAACAGACACATGAAAAAATGCTCATCATCACTGGTCATCAGAGAAATGCAAATCAAAACCACAATGAGATATCATCTCACACCAGTTAGAATGGCAATCATTAAAAAGTCAGGAAACAACAGATGCTGGAGAGGATGTGGAGAAATAGGAACAATTTTACATTGTTGGTGGGAATGTAAACTAGTTCAACAATTGTGGAAGACAGTGTGGCGATTCCTTAAGGATCTAGAACTGGAAATACCATTTGAACCAGTGATCCCATTACTGGGTATATACCCAAAGGATAACAAATCATGCTACTATAAAGACACATGCACACGTATGTTTATTGCAGCACTATTTACAATAGCAAAGACTTGGAACCAACCCAAATGTCCATCAATAATAGACTGGATTAAGAAAATGTGGCACATATACACCATGGAATACTATGCAGCAATTAAAAAGGATGAGTTCATGTCCTTTGTAGGGACATGGATGTAGCTGGAAACCATCATTCTGAGCAAACTATCACAAGGACAGAAAACCAAACACCGTATGTTCTCACTCATAGGTGGGAACTGAACAATAAGAACACTTGGACACAGGGCGGGGAACATCACACACTGGGGCCTGTCGTGGGGTGGGGGGAGTGGGGAGGGATAGCATTAAGAGAAATACCTAATGTAAATGATGAGTTAATGGGTGCAGCAAACCAACATGGCACATGTATACATATGTAATAAACTTGCATGTTGTGCATATGTACCCTAGAACTTAAAGTATAATAATAAAATAAAAATAAATAAATATTTGTGAAGTTATAAACTTTTATTTGCAAGGTATCTAGAAGTGGAATTACTGAGTCATAGGGTAAGGGTATAATAAATTAAAAACAAAAACAAAACTTGTAAAATGTTTTCAGAATTGGCTATTTCATTTTACATTTCTGTCATCAATGTGTGAGGTTCCAGTTTTTTCACATCCTCTCCAACTCTTGGTCTTTTTTAATAATCATGATTCTGGAAAATGTGTAGTGTCATCTCACTGTGGTTTTTAAATTTTGTTTCTCTAATAACTAATGATATTGAGCATCTTTTTGTTTGCTTATTGGTTATTCCTATATGACCTCTGATGACGTACCTATTCAAATCCTTTACTCATTTTAATTGGATGGTTTGTCTTTTTATTTACTGAGTTTTAACTGTCCCTTATCAGACGTATGACTTTCAAAACTTTTTTTCCTGCTCTGTGATTTGTCTTCTCATTTTCTTAACAGGTGACTTTGAAGATAAACCATTTTTTATTTTGATGAGGTCCAATTTTTCAATTTATCTTTTATGAATTATGCTTTTCCTGTTACTTCTAAGAAATAACTAAGCCAAAGTCATAATTTTTTTTCTGTCTTCTTCTAGAAGTTTCATAGTCTTTTGGCTGGGTGTGGTGGCTCAAGCCTGTAATCCCAGCACTTTGGGAGGCTGAGGAGGGTGAATCACAAGGTCAGGAGATCGAGACCATCCTGGCTAACATGGTGAAACCCTGTCTCTACTAAAGATACCACAAAAATTAGCCCGGCGTGGTGGCGGGTGCCTGTAGTCCCAGCTACTGGGGAGGCTGAGGCAGGAGAATGGTGTGAACCTGGCAGGCGGAGCTTGTAGTGAGCCCAGATGGTGCCACTGCACTCCAGCCTGGGTGACAGAGCAAGACTCTGTCTCAAAAAAAAAAAAAAGAAGAAGTTTCATAGTTTTTGCTCTTATATTTGGTGTACACCATGTTCTGAGTTAATTTTGGGGTATGGTGTGAGGTAATGATCCAAGATCCTTATTAATAGTATTAGTATTTTTGCATAGTGTAATTTCTGTACTATCTGTTGAAAATATTATTTCATCATTAAACTGACTTTACACCATATTCAAAAATGAGTTAACCATAGTGGATGGGTTTATTTCTGATCTTTGTTGATCTTATGTTAATACCACACTCTGTTGATTATTACAGCTTTATCGTATGTTTTTAAATTGGCTAGTGTAAGTCTTTTAACTGTGTTTTTCTTTTTCAAAATTGCCTTGACTATTCAAGTCCTGTGTATCACCATATAGGTTTAGGATCAGCTAGTCAATCTCTACAAAAGGTACTACTAGAATTTTGAGAAGGATTGCTGTGTACTTATTGATAAATTTGGAGATAATTTCTATCTTAACAATACTGAGTCTTCCATGATCACGGAATGCTTTTTCCATTCCTCTAGATCTTTTAAAATTTATCTCAACACTTCATATTTTTTCCATGTATAGATCTTACATTTCTGTTGTTTAATATATTGCAAAGTGCTATTTTCTATAATGTAAGTATAAAACTATTTTTCTTAATTTCAGTTTTGGATTATTACTAGTATTAGAACACATATGATTTTTGCTATACATACTGTATCCTGAAATCTTGCTAAATGGATTTGTTCTAGAAGTTTCTTTGTAGATTTCATAGGAGTTATTTTTTTTTTTTACATACAGGATCATGTAGTCTGAGACTAAAAAGAATTTTACTTTTTCCTTTCCAACCTGGATACCTTTTATTGCAATTTCTTATCTGACTGTACTGTCTGACATCTCCAGTGCAATGTTGAATAAAAGTAGTGAAAACAGACATTGTTACTTTGCTACCAATATTATAGGCAAAGCATTCAATCTCTTCAAGCTTTCATGTTTAAGGTGAGTGTTTATTTCTTTCATGCTGTTAGTCAGGATGAGAGAGTTCAATCTGTTCATAATTTGTTGAGATTTTATTATGATTGGGTACAGGTTATTTTGTCAAATTTATTTTATTGCACACATTGAGATAATAATCTGATATGTTTTTATTCTATTAATATGGTATATTACATTAGTTGATTTTGGATGTCAAGGCAATCTTGCATTGGTGGGATAAATCCCACTTGGTCATAGTATATAATCTTTTCATATATGGCTAAATGAGGTTTGCTAATATTTTATGGAGACCATAGACATACTAGTTTGTAGTTTTTTTGTGATTTCTTTTTATTTAGAATCAAAGTAATTCTGACCTGTTAGGCTGAATTAGGAAATTGTGGACTGAACTTGGATGAATTTAGGAATAATCTCTTATTCTTTATTTTGTGGAAGTTTTTTCTTGTAGGAGTGGTATTATTTAAATATTTGATGGAATTTACCAGTAAAGTCAGCTAGTCCTGAGCTTTTCTCTGTGACATGGAGTGACAAACTATTGCTCACATGTTAAAGTCAAGCTATGGCCTATATTTGTATTACTCATAAACTAAGAATAAATTTTATACTTTTAAAGTGTTAGAAGACGGAAGAGGAGGAATAGGAGAAAAAGAACTGACAGAGGTTGCATATGGCCCAAAATATTTACTATCTAGCTCCTTACTGAAAAATTTTGCTGACCTCTGCTCTATATGGTGTTATTTACTAAAATACTTCTTTACTTGTAATATGTCTATCCAGACATGTGGCTTTTTTTCTCGAGTTACTCTTATGTCTTTCTAGGAATATGTCTGCTTCACCCAAGTTGTCAAATTCATTGACATAGTGTTGTTCATAACATTTCCATATATTTCTATAGGGTTAGTAATTGTATTCTTCATTTTCACTCCTGACTTTGCAATTTCTATTTTCTTGCTTTTTATCTTGTTCAGTCTGACTAAAGTGTTATCAATTTTATAGCATTTCAAGTAAACAGTTGTAGTTCCATTGATTTTCTCTATTATTTTTCTATTATCTATTGAATTGATTTTTAATTTGATCTTTTTTTTTTTTTTTTTTTTTTTGAGATGGAGTCTTACTCTTTCGCCCAAGCTGGAGTGCAGTGGTGCTATCTCGGCACACTGCAAGCTCCGTCTCCCAGGTTCACGCCATTCTCTTGCCTCAGCCTCCTGAGTAGCTGGGACTACAGCCACCCGCCACCACGCCCAGCTAATTTTTTGTATTTTTTCTTTTTTAGTAGAGACGGGGTTTCACCGTGTTAGCCAGGATGGTCTCTATCTCCTGACCTCATGATCCGCCTGCCTCAGCCTCCCAAAGTGCTGGGATTACAGGCACAAGCCACTGCGCCCGGCCTAATTTGATCTTTGTTATTTCTTCCTTATGTTTACTTTTGGTTGACTTTTCTCTTATTTTTCCAGTGTCTTCAGGTAGAAGTTTAGATTATGATGGAAACTTTTGTAGTTGTTTTCCTAATGCAGTTATTTAAAGTTATACATTTCCCTCTAATCATGGCTGCATTCCATGTACATTGATATATTTTTAGTTTTTTAGTTAAAAGCATAATTTTTCTAGAAATTCCTTTTGAAGCCCATGAGTTATTTAGGAGTGTGATGTTTAATTTCCAAATATTTGTGATTTTTCCAGCTTCTTTCTGTTGTTTATTTCTAATTAAATCCCTCTGTGATGAGAGAATATACTTTGAATTATTTTAATCCTCCTATCTGTATGTTATTATATAACATATAATCTATATGGGGAAATACTCTATGAGCACTTGAAAAAGTGTACATTCTGCTGTTGCTGAATAGTGTGTTCTAAAATCATCAATTAAGTCAAATAGTTTAGTAGTGTTTTTCAGGTCTTTTTACCCTTATTTACTTTCTGTCTAGTTGGTGTGGTCAATTTTTCAGACTGGAGGATTTAAGTCACCAACTATAATTTTGGTATGTTTATTTTTGTTTCATTTCTGTCATTTTTACTTTATGTACTTTGGGACTCTGTTGTTAGGCCCCAGGAGTTACTCCACAATGCTGTACGGGCAAATGCTTTCTATACTAAAAGTAACTAAACTTAGAGATTTGTGAGTACCATCAAGCATACCCATATATGTAAAATTGGAGTCTTAGAAAGAGAGAAGTGAGAAAAAGACAAAGAAAAAATAATGGCCACAAACTTCTCAAATTTGTTGAAAAACATTAATCAAAAGAATCTAGAAGCTTAACATCTCTCAAACACAGTAAACACAAAGATATCTATGTCTAGATACATTATAGTTAAACTTCAGAAAGCCAAAATCCACAAATAATGTATTGAAATCAATATATTTTTTCAACAAGAGAAAAATGACTCATCATTTGAAAGAGAAGAGCAATACAATTAATCTGACTTTAAATCAGAAGTCATTGTTTCTGACTTTAAATCAGAAACAATGGAGATCAGAAGATAATGGAGAGGCACTGAAAGAAAAAAATTCCACCAAAAATTCTATATCCAGCAAAACTATCCTCTGTAAATGAAAATGAAATAAAGACATTCCCAGATAAACAAAGGCTACAGAATTGTGTGGTTAGCAGACCTGTCTTACAAGAAATATTAAAGGAAGTCATCCAGCTGAGAGAAAATGACATTGTTAGCAACTAAAATCCATAGTAAGAAATTAAAAGCACCTTAAAGGATAAATATATGTGTGAATAAATATAAAAAATACATATGCACAAACACACATAGAAGGAATATATATTTTGTATATTTTTTATATCATTTGATATACATATATAGGTTGAAACTTTAATCATTATGAAGTGTTTTTCTGTAATAATATTTTTTGCTTTAAAATTTATTTCTCTGATATTAATATAGCCACTCAAGCTTTTATGGTTACTAATATGACATATGCTTTTCCATACTTTACTTTCAATATATTTGTGTCTTTAAAACTAAAGTGATTTCCCATAGTCAGAAAATAGTTGGATTTTGGTCTTTCTATTTTACAACATAAAATCAACTCAAAATAAATTAAAGACATAAGCATAAGACCTGAAATTTTTAAAATACTATTAGAAAACATAGGGGAAAAGCTTCTTAATACTGGTCTTGGTAAACAATTTTTAGATATTACTGCAAAAGCATAGGCAACAAAAACCAAATTAGACAAGTGGGATTACATCAAACTAAAAAGTTTCTGCACAGGAAAGGAAAGGAAAGGAAAGGAAATAATCAACAGAATAAAAAGGCAAGCTACAAAATGGGAGAAAATATTTGCAAACCACATGTCTGAAAAAGGATTAATATCCAAAATATATAAGAAATTCACACTCATTAGCAAGAAAACAACCCAATTAACATATGGCCAAATGACCTGAATAGACATTTCTCAAGAGAAAGCATACAAATGAATAAATGTTTATCATTGCTAATTATCAGAGAAATATAAATTAAAGCCACAATGAGATATCACTTCACAACTGATACACTGGCTAACACTACAAAGACAAAAGATAACAAGCAGTGATAAGGATGTGCAGAAAAGGGAATCATGTACATTGTTGGCAGAAATGTGTGATGGTTAATATTGAGTGTCAACTTGGTTGGATTAAGGATGCAAAGTATTGTTCCTGGGTGTGTCTGTGATGGTGTTGCCAAAGGAGATTAACATTTGAATCAGTGGACTGGGAAAGGCAGACCACCCTCAATATGGGTGGGTACAATCTAATCAGCTGCCAGCATGGCTAGAATAAAAGCAGACAGAAGAATGTGGAAGGACTAGACTGTCTAAATCTTCTGGCTTTCATCTTTCTCCCATGCTGGATGCTTCCTGCTCTCAAACATCGGATTCCAAGTTCTTCAGTTTTTAGACTCTTGGACTTAAACTAGTGATTTGCCAGGGGCTCTTGGGCCTTCGGCCACAGACTGAAGACTACACTCTCAACTTCCCTACTTTTGATGTTTTGGGACTCAGACTGGCTTCCTGGCTCCTCGGATGGCAGAAGACCTATTATGGGACTTTACCTCGTGTTTGTATGAGTAAATACCCTTTAATAAACTCCTCTTCATCTATCCTATTAGTTCTGCCCCTTTAGAGAACCCTGACCTAATACAGAATGTAAATTAGTACAGCCATTTTGACAAACAGTATGGAGGTTCCTCAGAAAATTAAAAATAGAACTATCATATAATCTAGCAATTCCAGTTCTAGATATAAATCCAAAGGATATGAAATCTGTATGTTGAATAAATGTATGTACTCTTATGTTCCTTGAAGCATTATTCACATAGCCAAAATACAGAATTAACCTAGGTTTCCACCAAGGGATGACTAGATGAAGAATATATGATATAAATTCTGTATATGTATATATAAATATATATATTATTTATACGTATATGTGTATACATACACACATACACACACACACACAATGGAATAATACTCAACCCTACAGAAAAAGGAAATCATATAATTTGCAACAACATGTTTGGACCTGGAGACATTATGCTAAGTGAAATAATTCAGGCACAGAAAGACAAATAATGCATGGTCTCACTTATTCATGGAATCCAACAAAGTCAAACCCACAGAAGCAGAGAGTAGAAGGGTAATTGCCAAGCACTGGGATGGGGTTTCAGGAAGGGAGGCATAGGAAATAGGGAAATGTTGGTCAAAAGGTACATGTTTTAATCAGACAGAAAGAAGTTCTAGAGACCTAATATGCAGCATGATTACTATAGTTAATAATATATGTACTCTTGAAAATTGCTAAGAATGTAGATTTTAAATGTTCCTACCAAAAAAAAGTCAAAACAAAATAAGTATGTGAGATTATGCATATGTTAGCTTGATTTAATTATTCCACAATGTATACATATATTAAAATGTCACAATATCACATTGTATACAATAAATATATATAATTTCTATTTGTCAATTTTAAATAAATAATAAAGAAATGAGATAGCTTTCAACTAAGCTTATATAGCAGTATAATATAAAAATTTTTGTAGTAACAAAATTATAGTAATTTTGGCTTATATTGAAATGTGCATTAAACAAGTGTTTGCATAAAATATAATTCAAATTACTATTCATAGCCCACAGCCATGAAAACATGTGTGCCTTACTCTTGGTACAGAAACAAATAGCTTTTACTCCTAAGGAAAAAAGAAAATTCCTGCCTTTTGATGAGAATTGTTTGAGTTTTATACTTATTTTATGGGGAACTTTGCTGACCTCTTCATTCCACCATAGCTGGTTATTCCTCCCTTGCATGTACTTTTGTTTCCTGGGGGCAGTGAGTCTTGGAAACATTTGGGAAATTCTTATTCTGAGTTTGCCTGCCCACAGCCCAGGTTCCTTCCTGGAGTCTGCAGCATCAGGCTCTCTCCTCGGCTCTCTTTCTGTCTTCTGTCCCCTCAGCTCATAAACCCCAGCTCGTAGAAGCTGAAGCCACCTAGACTCTAAGACACCTGATTGCAGAGACAGGAAAGGAGTTCTCAAGATAAGTGCCAAGATTTCATACTGGTTTTCACAAGAATCAGGGTTGGAATTAGAGCCGACTCATTATTCAGTTAACATTGACATTGTTGATTAGAGACATATCCCTATTGAAAATATTTCCTGGCAAAAAATAGAAGTTCTCTTTGGCTCTGAAATCTGCAACTCCCTTTCAGGTGTCCCTGTGTCCTTGTACCGTCACTCCACAGCACTGCACAGGCATGTGCTCACCTCACAAAATGGCAGTCTCAAAGGGAGGAGTGCCCACCCACAAGAGGCTCCACCCTATTCTGAGAAAGAACTTCTTTCAGAGGAGGAGAGAATAGAACTTTCCAGAACCTTTTACATGAGATTTTTTTTTTTGGGTAGGAAGTCTGACCTGAGCAGCAACCTTGCATCAGACTTCAAAAGGCAATATTTCCTATACCTCCTTGTGCTCTACTAGTGAGTACAGAAGTCGAGAAAATGTTCCTAAGTCTATGGCCAGTTCAAATAGTCTCATTTTCTATTTCTGAGATTAAATTATATGTATTAAGATCCTTACTCTGCCCTTTCAGGTTTATTGCTCCTCAGACAAGATATCCCCTCTTCAGGTCCCAAACACATTCATTGCAATGCCTTTCCTCATCCTTGTCCCAGTCCTGGCTCTCTAGCTTCTTGAGACAATAACCCACCCTAAGGTATGTTGTGACATGCATCTTCTGTGTCACTGGGATCCCTAAGTGGTACAAGCATTCACTCAATTGCTTTAGCTAGAGTCCCCAGAATATCTTCACCTCTTCTGTCACATTCTTCTTCCACATTGGTCCATAAACACATCTTTAACATTTCTGTTTATTAAAACCTCTCAAATTCAACCACTATTTTCTATCCCAACGAATACTGCCTTAGCTCAGGCAACCACTGTCTTCGATCTGAATTACTTCTTTGACCTGAATTACTTCAACTCCTACCAAATATCCACCTACCTGATGTCTTACTCTCTTTTCTAACTCAGTTCATTCTCTGCAGCTGAAAACACTTCCTTTCCATTGACTTTAGGGTTATGACCAGTCTTCTTTATATCTAAATGTTAGCCTATAAGTTTTTTCGTAAAAAAAAAAACAAACTTCCAAACTACAAATTCTTAAAACCCTCCATGATTTGGCCCTTGCATACCTATCCAGTCTTGTGAAATTCACCTACTCTTTACCCACTTTTTGCATACTTATGCTCTAATAATATTCATAATCCCTCAGCTCTCCCAAAGCTCCATATGTACTTTCTCACTCACTCCTGAGCCTTTACACATGCTGTTCACACTAGCTAGAATAATCTTTCTCTCCCTATTTATCTGTACTCCTAATCCTTCATGTTTAAATGGCATAATCATCATGGCTGAGTCTCTGACTATGCGTGGTAAATACCCCATGGTACCCAGAGCTTCTACAATCATAGAGTATCACACATTTCATTGTTTAACTTATTATGATAGTTTTTAAAATTATTAATACAAAATATGCTCAATGAGGCCAAGGACCATGTCCAAGGTTTTAATTTTTGTATCTTCAACAGTATTACAGGCTTTGAATAAAGTAGGTGCTCTTTAAATATTTATTGAACAAACCAGGGTTTTATCAGTTCTTGCTTCCCTAGCTAAGATATGATCTCAGTCATCTAAACATTTCTCTCTCAGAAGTATTGCTGCAGTTATTTAGAGATTTTCACATTGTGGTAGACTGAATAATAATCTCCCAAAATATTCAGATCTGAATCCTTGAAAATCTTGAATATGTTCTCTCACATTGCTGAAAGGATTTTGCAGATGTGATTAAGTTAAGGATCTTGAAATGGGGAGGTTTTCCTTGATTAGCTGAGTGGGCTCAATATCATCACATACTTTCCTAAAATATCTTACCTAAAACCACCTCTGTGAAGCCCTCTTTCTTTTCCCAGACAGATATGGAGGTTTCTTTCTTTATGTGTTTATAATAAATTAAACAAACTTCAACTTCTATCACTATGTTATGATATTTATGGTCATGTCTGACTCTTCCTAGACTAGTATGGTTTTTGAGGGATTGGACTATATATTCGCTTACCTTTGTAAATCCAGTATGTAGGACTTGGTACAATATATTGGATACAGAATTATAAGCCCGATGGGAGCAGACACCTTTATTTGTTGTTCATGCTTATATCCCAGAATCTAGTACTATGTCTGGTGCATGTAGTAAGAGTGAGGCAAGAGGATGCAAGTCAGAAAAAGGCTATGTGACAATGGAAGTAGAGATCGGAATGACAGACACACTTTGAAGATGGAGGAAGGGCCCTGAGCCCAGTAGTGCAGATGGCACCTAGAAGCTGGAAAAGGCAAAGAAATGGATTCTCCCATAAAGCCTACAAAAGGAACACCACCTGCCAACACCTTGATTTTTAGCCCCATAAGACTCATTTCAGACATTTATCCTGAACAGGACAGAAGCAAAAAAATGGAATCGATCAACATAAAAGCAGAAGTGAATAAGGTAGAAAATGTTTTAATGATAGAACTAAGAAATAAGCAAATGAGATAATTGTTTGCCAGCCAAAAGACAGAGAGGACAAATACACTAAAACAGAAGTGACAAAGGGAAGTATCATGATAAAATCTATTTTTAAAAACAATATTTTGTATAATTCTCTGCAAACAACCTAAAAGCCTAAATGAAATGGCTCACATTATAAATTTAGCAAAACTGACCCTAATGTGGAAAAAAGCCTAAACAAAACAATGACTACAAAAGAAATAAATGAATTTGTAATAGAATTTCCTCACAGAAAAGTGCCAGTCCCATATAGTTTCTTACAGGGATTTTTCCACACCTTTTAAAATCAGGGACTTTGAGAATACCTAAAACATTGCAAAGTATAGAACAGTAGGGGAAATTTCTAAATTATTTTCATGACATGAGCTAAATATTAAGGTGCAACAAAACTGCACCTTAAAAAAAAAATCAATCTATAGACTGGCCAGGCGTGGTGGCTCATGCCTGTAATCCCAACACTTTGGGAGGCTGAGGGTGGGGGTGGATCATGAGGTCAGGAGATCAATACCATCCCGGCTAACACAGTGAAACCCTGTCTCTACTAAAAATACAAAAAATTAGCCGGTTGTGGCAGCACGTGCCTGTAGTCCCAGCTACTCGGGAGGCTGAGGCAGGAGAATCGCTTGAACCTGGGAGGTGGAGGTTTCAGTGAGCCAAGATCATGCCACTGCACTCCAGCCTGGGCAACAGAGCGAGACTCCATCTTAAAAAAAAAAAAAAAAAAAAAAAAAAAAAAAAAACTATAGACTTACATCACTGATTAGTATTGATAAAAAAGTATTCAATAACAGAGAATCAAATAATGACACTAGAAAATAATCTACAAATTGGTGTTTGCTCCAGGATGGTAAGGGTATTTCAATATTAGTAAACTTACTCTTAAAATCCATTATATTAGTCAATGGGTTTGGCCTGAGCACTGGGAAAGGGATGGGTAGGAAATACTGTCTCAGAAAGGCATTGAGAGAGAACACATCCTAATCCTATCTGGAAATTTACACTCCCCTTCAGCCATTCACGTCTCTTAACAATAGTCTCCAGCTTTACTGAACTCTTTGCAAACTCCAAAAATACCGTATTCTCTTAGATATTGCATAGGCTGGTCCCCCAGCCTAGGTCTACCAGGAAATTATTTGTTTTCCTACAAATCTTACTTAAACCCACACTACCTCTGTGAAGTCCTTTCTTCCCACGGAGATATGGAGGTTTCTTTCCCTATGTGCTTACAACAATTTAAAGTCTGTTACTATATTATGGCTTTTTGGTCATGTCTGACTCCTTCTAGGCAAGTATGGTCTTTGAAAGATGGGACTGTAAATCTGTTTACCTCTGTAACTGCAGTAGTAGGACTAGGAATGATATATAGAATACAGAATCATAAGCCCCCATGGAAGAAGAGACCCTCTTTTTGTTGTTCATGCTTGTATCCCAGAGTCTAGTACTATGGTGCACATAGATGTATATTTGTTCAATAATATGAAAGACTCAAATATGCCTTTGTGGAATTGACCCTGCACTTATGCCTCACCATCTCCTACTTACCCCGGAATTATTTATTAACTATCTCATGTCTTAGGTCTCATCTCCCTTCCCTAGTTAAGAGTGGGCCCTGTTGCTAAGCAGGTCAAAATAGGAGGCTGATGAAGAAAATCTCTGTGGAAAATGCTGAAGAGGAACACAGGAATAAAAATACCTTTACTCTGATGATGCCTTATATAAGGACAGATGCAGTTGGTTTAAACTTCTACATTGGCTCATTTCTATGAATGCCACACCTCTCAATTTCAGGGACTTCCCGTGAGGGGCTTCACAACAATCTCTGGGCTCAGTGGGGAGCTACTCCCTTGGTGAATCTCCTCACTGCCACTCAATGAGCCATCAGGGTGGGCCGTCACCTCTGCTAAGCCACAGAGGTACACCACATCCTGCTCCTGAGAGGAAGGGAAAGACAGAGGATCATAGGAAGTAAACCCCTTGAGGAAATTTCAATGTGGAATTTATTCTGTTTCTTGAGTAGCATATATATTTTCCCCATCTCAGACCCTAACCTCAAGTGAACTTACTCCCAGACTCACACACATAAATATACGCACCAGCACCATCCCAGCAAGGAGGCAGCTGCAACAAAAAGAAGCAGGTGGGAGAGTATTATATTACATATTTAACTACAGGATCACTCCAAGAATTACATCCCCTAAAATTATTCCCTCCATTGGAAGCAGACTAGTAGCCAATAGGAAGAGAAATTGCTAAAACAAAAATGTGTTCAGTTGGATGAAGTATTTATTTAAAACAGAAATGTATTTATGAAGACATAATTCTTCAGAATTATATTATAAGCTAAAAATAAAATCCTATACCCACCAACTGACTGAAAGGACCATCTCTGGGACAAGGGCACCCCAGAGTAACCTTGAATGTTGAGTTCTTGGCCAGGACAGGATGGAGGGATCAGACACACCTTATTATACCTCTCCTTTAGAGCCATGATGAGGTTTGCTTCCCTAAAGGCTAAACACAAACCAGCCCTTTGAAAAGACTCTAGCACTAAAAGCAACAGAAAGTGTGATGCTGTCCCTCCTTTTTCCTGGTAAAAGGCCACCAACCAAACAGTGTTTCTGGCCAGTCTATGGAGGACGTGTAGTGAGGCTTTTGGTGTCCTTTGCTTCACCTTTTGATGTCAGAGAGCTGAAAACTCCACCCCCAGATCATGCTAACATGGCCAGTTTTTTTTTACAGGAATCCCATGAAGGGGCAGGAAACTCAATTGTGGATGTATATGTTTTTCCCTTTATTAATATTCATGACTCCTCCTATAGCTTATTGAATATCTGTATTTGGCCATTCCACTCAGCATGTATTTCTTTTCCCTTTGCCTCTCCCTAGATGTGTGTTTCTGGCTTCTGGCCAGAGGCTGTGCTTCCCAGCCTGTCAGAATGGCCACACTGCAGGCTGCAACCCTTTATGAGAAATAAAGCTCTCCCTTCCAAATTTGAACCTCCTCATTCTTCCATTGACAGTATCAAAGATCAGATAGTTGTAGATGTGTGGTATTATTTCTGAGGGCTCTGTTCTGTTCCATTGGTCTATATCTCTGTTTTGGTACCAGTACCATGCGTTTTGGTTACTGTAGCCTTGTAGTATAGTTTGAAGTCAGGTAGTGTGATGCCTCCAGCTTTGTTCTTTTGGCTTAGGATTAACTTGGCAATGCGGGCTCTTTTTTGGTTCCATATGAACCTTAAAGTAGTTTTTTCAAATTCTGTGAAGAAAGTCATTGGTAGCTTGATAGGGATGGCATTGAATCTATAAATTACCTTGGGCAGTATGGCCATTTTCACGATATTGATTCTTCCTATCCATGAGCATGGAATGTTCTTCCATTTGTTTGTGTCCTCCTTTATTTCATTGAGCAGTGTTTGGTAGTTCTCCTTGAAGAGGTCCTTCAACGTCCCTTGTAAGTTGGATTCCTAGGTATTTTATTCTCTTTGAAGCAATTGTGAATGGGAGTTCACTCATGATTTGGCTCTCTGTCCATTATTGGTGTATAAGAATGCTTGTGATTTTTGCACATTGATTATATCATCATTCTTCTAAGAAGATACCAATGAAGTTTCAAGGATGATTCAGCATGATAATGAACTGTTTGTAATCATTCAAGATATACTAAATGCTGAAGGAAGTCAGTTAGAAATAAGAAGTAGGACAACCAAAGGATAGAACCTAGAAGAAGACAAAGAAAGGATTTTACAGAAGCTGCTCATGAAAAGAGATCCACCAATTCTGAGATAAAAGAACTGGGTTTGAGTAAGCCACTTGTTATAAGCATGCTCAAGGTTTTCAGAAAAAAATAAACAGAGCTAGTCAATGATACCTGGTAATAAAAGATATTTTGAATTTCAGGCCATTGAGGGTAGCATGCTAAGTGTGGTTTTAGTTTTGGGAATTAGAGTAAAATGAAAATAATTTCTGAAGAAGTCTCCAGCCAAACTTTAAAAAGAAAAAAATGCAAGGTATAGAATATTTGAAAAATTTATTATTAATAGTTGAAAGTACATATTTTAGAACTGGACTGATCTGGTCACCGTCTAGTTTTGCCATGTTACTTAACCTCTCTAAAGGTAGTTTCCTAGCCTATAAAATGGAAATAGTCATACCTGGCTCTGAGAGGTTTTATTTAGTTGAGAAAATGTATGTAAATTGCCTGACACAATCCCTAGCCAAGAATAAGACTCAATAATAACTAATGGCGGTAGCAGTAAGAGTGCTACTACTAGCTGACCATTCTGAAAGTTGAGCCTGAGTGAGTGATAACTATACACTGTGCAGTTGTAACTTCTTAACACATTAATTCATGTAATCTTCACAGCAAATCCACAAGGTTCATACTTTTATTAGTACAACTTACAGAGAGTAAAACTGAAGCATTCACAGTTAACTTACTTGCGTAAAATGAGCTTAAGTAGCAGAACCCATATTTAAACTTAGGCACTCTCTCTCCAGAGCTTTCTTTGTTAGCCACTAACCTTGTGGTAGTGCAATCAAGTAAATGGGTTTGTTGTCTGATATGCTCAGAAGCCAATAAGCATGGCACCAGCTTTTGAGAAAAGAAAAGGTTTTACTGCAAAACTGGTCAGCAAGGAGAAATAAGCCGGCTCAAATCTGTCTTCCTGATTCGGGGTCTTGGACAAGTTTTAAGGGACTGAGAGCAAGGATTTAGTGATACTGGGTTGACAGGGTCTGATTGGAGGGTTTCAGATTTAACCATTTATGGTAAAGTAGGTTGAGGCAGATTTGAGCCCGGATCTTTCCAGCCAATGAACCCCTTGCTTCTGAAAGAGTTTCAGCATCCAGATTCCAAGCATCTTCCTGTCTTCTTGGTTCCGAAGGGAGGAATCGTTCGTTCCAGGTGTTATTTGAGGTCAAAGCTTTTGGCTCTGTCGTACCTACAAGCTAACTCATATTTTGTTATCCACATAACAGACCCAGTTTGGGCTGATCCTGCAGTTACAAATCCCTCCCTTTTTGTTTACTTTAGTTCTCAATCTTGAAGAAATAGAGTGTCTACCACTCTAGCTACTTTTTGTTGACAAGGGACATAGGTCTGGGTTTGAGGAATGAAATTGTTTCATAAATAATTGCAAATATTCATAGGTCCTGAGTTGAGGTCAAACAGGTGGGTCAGGGAATTCGATATTTAATAACTATTTCATGAGCAGGGGGAATTGATTTAACAATCAATTTAAAAAATAGACAGCAGGTAGAGACCTTGAGAGAAGGAAGAGAAATCTTAACACATACAGAAATATAATTTTGAGTTTAAGTAGACCCTCAAAAAATAGATCTTATTCCTAATGAAAACACGCTGTTTACATATTATATCCAGGTTTTTTAGAGAACACTAGATGGCGTCGAGTGGCTTTTGGTCTATTATTTGGGTGGGTCTCAACTTTTTTAGAAGTATTAATGTAAACACAGCATGACATATTAAAGCATAAACACCTCTTTGTTTAGCCAGTATATAATCTAGAGTAATTTTATTATCTATTATTACTTTAGCCAAAGCACCTGGCTCTCTCTATTGAGCCACCATGGCCATTGTGGTCTCCTTGGCAAGCTTTTTCAGGGCAATGGAAAGGTTTTTAATCATATGTTTATAAGAAGCAACTCCCCACCATGGCAACAGAGTTTGTCTAAAGAAATATCCTACACCATCTGGTGGGCCACCTGGTAAATATTTAACTGGGAGGAGGTTTAGCATAGATCTTTTGGCCAAGGTGAACAGTTTTATGGTGTTAGTCTAATGCCCAGCATCACTAATGCCACAGACAGAGAAAGGAGTGACTAAGTACCCTAGTAAACAGATGTCTTTGGGGCATCAGCTGTCAAGGCATTCATAGTCCGAGGGCTGGTCGTTTGTTTCATAGACAAAGACATATCCTGAGGAGGCGCATAGAATACCAGATATGTTGCCGGGCGCGGTGGCTCATGCCTGTAATCCCAGCATTTTGGGAGGCCGAGGCGGGCAGATTATGAGGTCAGGGGATTGGGACCATCCTGGCCAACACGGTGAAACCCCATCTCCACTAAAAATACAAAGAATTAGCCAGGCATGGTGGCGGACACCTGTAGTCCTAGCCACTCGGGAGGCTGAGGCAGGAGAATGGCGTGAACCCGGGAGGTGGAGCTTGCAGTAAGCTGAGATCGCGCCACTGCACTCCAGCCTGGATGACAGAGCAAGACTCCATCTCAAAAAAAAAAAAAAAAAAAAAAAAAAAAAAAAATACCAGATATGTTAACATCTAAGTTCTCAGTTTCAGGAATTTTACTTAGGACTTGGTCAAAGTAGGAGTCAGAGTATAGAGGAGTCTAGAAGGAGTTATCTAACTTACAAATTGGTAGGGAAGAGGGCAGTCCTTGAAGGCATACTAGGTTCTTTTTATTTAACTCTTGATGTAATCATGTAGATCTACAGTTTGAGGACACATCAGTGTATATCTCCTGGACCAGAGGATAGAAAACAGGAAGTGGAAAATAGGTGTGTTAAGTAAAGAGATGATTTTCGTTTCTGCGTTAGCCAGTGTCTGGCTTCTGTGGGCATGGGCCCCTTTATCCTCAGTTTTAAAGCTGTTAACATAAGTGTCTTTGCAGGGGATGTTAATGGAAAACAGGGAACTAATGATCCTCCCCCAGCAAATCTGACCCTACAGGTTATACCTGTGGGTTTTTTATCATAGGTCACCAGAATATTAGGCACTTTAGAGAAGTTGGTCACAGAGATAAGCAGCAGATCAGTGTGATCAAGTGCAGAGGAGGGTTTTTGATGACATCTCTAACATTTAGATAGATTTTGTGAGGTAGGTAGGGATTGGGACATTTTTATCAAGAAATTATCTTTTTGGCCAGTCATGGTGGCTCATGCCTGTAATCCCAGCACTTTGGGAGGCTGAGGTGGGTGGATCACTTGAGGTCAGGAGTTTGAGACCAGCCTGGCCAACATGGTAAAACCCTGTCTCTACTAAAAATACAAAATTTAGCCAGATGTGTTCACTTGAACTCAGGAGGCAGAGGTTGCAGTGAGCGAGATCATGCCACTGCATTGCAGCATGCACGACAGAGTGAGACTCTGTCTGAAAAAGAAAAAAAAAAAAGAAGGAAAGAAATTATCCTTTTATGTTGAGGTAAGGCAAGCAAAAGGATATAATAGAGGAAAATTGTGGGCATTTTTAACAGAGGAAATCATTTTGTTTCCCTGAGAGGAGATATTTGGCTGATAGAAAAAAAAGCATCAGAAAAAAATAAACTCTACCCAAGGAAGGGCTATAAGGTCCCAAATAATATTTTTGAGGTTAAATCAAGGAGGTAGAGATGATTAATTCAATAGCATAGAATAGTATATATGACAACAAGGCAAAAATTAAGTTGCATTAATACAGGCCTCGCCCAATATCTTGGGCAAGCTGTCTCCTTTAATTGTCTCCTGTTTCTGCCCTCACAGTTCCATCAGATGGAGGCTGGTTTTAGAGACAGAAATGGATTTCCACTTATCTGGAGAGCTAGGAGCCCTTTGGCCTTATTGGGTTTTTTAAAAAGTAACTTAAAAAAAGATTAGGGGCTTCCAAGTGAGTTCCTGGGTGGAAAAGCTGGTTGTGGGCCTCCACAGCCATCTGGTAGACGGTCAGTCTGGTCCTTTGGCTTTTCTTATCTGTGAAGGGCATGACCTGTTTGGGAATTTTACAGGGGCCAAGAGGAATCTTCTGAAAATGGGAATAACTTTTACCCATGAATGATGAATTTAGGGCCTCAACACTTTTAACTTTATTGCTGAATGGATCACTAAAGGAACTTCATAAGGACCTAATCTGTTTGAACTGTAGTTGGTCTTCAGGGTAGCGGTTTTTCTAGGTCTTAAGTTGTACTTAGTTTCCTAGACTTAGACAATGTAAAGGAACATCTATAGGAAACATTAAAACAGCTAGAAGCGTAATTATGTATAGCAGAAAAAGTTATACCCAGAGACTGTACACATTTTATAGCATCTAATGCATTTACCCATCATGATCATTTTCAATATTAAAACAGTATTTAGTCTTAAGAAGGGTTGTCCCACATAGAATTTTGTAGGGGCTAAACTGGTGCTTACTTTTAGGGGTCATTCTTACTCTAAGCAGGGCAAGTGGCAAGATCTTATCCTATGTTAAATTGGGTTTTTGACACATTTTGGCAAGTACTTTTTTTAAGATATTGTTTATCTTTTCAGTCTTTCTAATAGACTGGAGCCTCTAAGAGGTGCTTAATTTCCACTGTATCCTAAGAGCTCCATAAATGTCTTAGGTAAGTCTGATATCTCTGTTGTCACTTTGAATTGAAAATGACAATCCAAAGGAATTATGTCTTTTAATAAAGCTTGAGTTACCTCAGATGCATTTTTTGTTTGACATGGAAAGACCTTGACCCATCTAGTGAAGGTGTCTATAAGTACCGACAGGTATTTATAGTTTCCTCCAGCTCCTGGCATAACTACAAAGTCTATTTGACAATCTTGTCTTGTTTCTGTTCCTCAGGTTTAGACCCCTTTGCCTGCTGGAGGTGGTTCTGTCTTTGGATTCTCTGTAGCACAAATAAGACAATTTTGGGCAGCCTTCTGGATAGTCTTTTGTACGTGCAGCCTGACAACAAACTTTGGTAACTAATGATAGGTTGTGTTTCTTCTATAATGAGTTCTTTGATGTAACTGGGAAATAATCCTTTATCCAGTGCTCAGGGACAAGAACTATTCCTTGCTCATTGTAAACCTAGGCTTCTTGTTTTACACTGTTCCCTATCCAAATCTTGAGTATAAGTATGAAATCCCTACTGGTTTGCTCTTTCTAGATTTACCTTTGAGTACTGGGTTTAAATAAGGACAGATTCATACTTGGAATAAGTACCAGAGCCTTTGTTTTAGGCTCTCTTGTCCTGGCTGTATGTTTTTCTGCCTGATTGGCTAGATTATTGCATTTAGTTATCTAGCTATCAGTCTCTTGGTGTCCTGGGCCGTGCATTATGGCCATTTTTTTTGACATCAAAATTGAGTCTAATAAGTCTAATATCTCTCTTGTGTGTTTAATTTTATTTTTTATGAGATTAATGAGTCTGTCTTTTATATGGTCCCATTTGCGTGCACTACCAAAAAGACGTATTTGGAGTCTATATAAATGGTTACCTTTTCATTTGTCCTGAGGTGTGAAGCTTGTGTGACGGCAATAAGTTCTGCCTTTTGGGCAGAGAGAACTGATGGGAAAGCCTCAGCTTTTAACATTCTCTGGTAAGTCACTACTGCATATCTGGCTTTTCAGAGACCCTGATCCATGAAGCTGTTCACACTGGTAAACATTCCCAGGCCTGGGTATTTCAAAAACTGATTTGTCAAGCCAGACCTGTTTTTGTAGATCCTCTTTAGGGATTTCAGGCAATGGTCCTTCTTCTACCTGTAATAAGGCAACTTGGAGGGTGCAGTCTTGTTTAGGAGACACCTTAATATTTACTCATTCTGGTGAAAAATTACTGTGCATTTAATTTTGTTAGCAAGTCTTATCCCAACAAAGGTATTGAACATTCAGGCATATATAGGAAGCTATGTTTAAATAGGTTTAATAGGCTTTTCCTCTATGGCATTTGAGTGGCTGAAAGAAAGGTTTGCAAGGATGTTTCCCCAGATGCACCAGTAATAGCAGTGTTCTTTGGGAAGACAGGGACTTGTGTTGTGTTTGGGATAGAGTATGTAGCTCCATGGTCAACTAGAAAATCTATGCATCACTTTTGCACACCAATTGTCATCTGCACTTCTTGGTGGGAAATGTTTACAGAGCTAATAGAGTGTATAGAAGTCCCTGGGTCTCATCATTACTGGTTGCTATGAGTAAGCTGTGGCATGTGGTATGTTGATTTGTGGGGAGTTTTATCTTAAAAGACTATAGACAAGTATGTTATTAAAGTTTCCCATTTTGTATAGAGTTTTACCTGAAATGACTGGAATAAGATCCTGTAAAAAGGAGGTGTTCTGGTTCTGTGGTATTGTGATTATGGGGATTCCTCTTCAGAGAATCACCAATGGGCTAGATATTCCCTCTTATGTGTCTCAGAGGGTCCTAAACACCAGATGGTATTGGGCCGCTTGAGATGTTGGGGTTACCAAGGCCCCTTGTATGCTCCTCCTGGATGAGCTATTGAAGTTCTAACCCAGGAATGGGGTATGTTTTTCTGGTGGGGTTGCCTATAAAATCACTTTACATCATAAGCCAATTGCCTCAACACCTCTGCCAGACTCTTAGTCACTTAGGAATACCCTAAAAGGGCAGGAGAAAGCAATGTATTTCATCTTTGGAATCCAAGGACTTTCATTTAAATAAACTTCTAATGAGGTTCTTGTCACAACCATCAAAAATTTTAACCTCTGTTAGGATGAATAATTATGCAAACCAAAAACTCAGAAACACAAAGGAAAACCAAAACCAAGCCGAATTGAATACTCAAAAAGTTACAGCACCTTACTATTGTACTTATTTTTTTGGATGCTAACCCAAAGCCAGGACTGAAATAATCTAACCAGGACCTCCCTAGGGTAGGATTCAAACCGATGAAGCTGCACAAAAATAGGACTCTAATCTACAGTCCTAGACCAAAGACAATTTAAGGTGTAAGCACATATTAACAAGGTATTGACTCCAAAAGACATCTTATCCAGAAGAATTTCTTTCCTCAAAAGAGAAAGTAGCACTCAAAGGGCCTGAAATGTCATGACAGAGAATAAGGACCTCACAGCTAAGCCTCTGGATAAACTGGTCTAAGTAGCACCACTCAGGGTCAGTGAAGAAACTTTAATTCCCACTGAGGGGCTACAGTGCCTTGGCAGGTGTTGGCCTCACATTGGGCACCTATATTTGTTATCAAACAAATGGGTTTGCACACAGAAGCCAATAACTATGGCACCAGCTTTTGAGAAAAGAAAAGGCTTTATTGAAACACCAGTCAGCAAAAAGAAAGGAGTGGGTTCAAATCTGTTTCCATGATTTGGGGTCTAGGGCAGGTTTTAAGGGATCAGAGAGCAAGGGAAAGGATTTAGGAATGTTGATATGGTAGGGTCTGATTAGAAGGCTTCAAATATGACTATCTATGGTAAGATATGTTAAGAAACATTTTAGCCCGGGATCTTCTGGGCCAGTGGACCGCTCACTACTGAAAGAGGTCTGGCTTTCAGGTTCCAGTCATGTCTTGGTCTTCCTGTTTCTAAGGGGAGGAATCTTCGGTTCTGGGTATTGTTAGAGGTCAAAGCTTTTACTACTGCACATGCCTGGGCTACATGATTTGCAGTTATGTAGCTGTTGGCAGTGTGGGAGATGAGTGTTGTTTCTCTGGCCAGGAAATAAATGAAAAGTGCTGGTTATCAGGGACTAAATTCATCACAGCACCAAGCAACATCCTGCTTTTGGTGCTGCCATGAGCAACAGGCTTCTCTGCTGTGTGATCATTTGTCTCCTAAGAGCAGGTGAGTCCTGGGCACAGGTAAGGAATCCCTATTACTGAATTCACAGGATCTAACTATAAAATGTTTCTTCATAAAACTCACATTAGTCTCCTCTTTCCCAGGCCCTGTCTCTATTTGATCATCCATTTTTCCCCCCAACAGGCCTCAAGGATGCTGTAGTTACACAATTCCCAAGACACAGAATCATTGGGACAGGAAAGGAATTCATTCTACAGTGTTCCCAGAATATGAATCATGTTACAATGTACTGGTATCGACAGGACCCAGGACTTGGACTGAAGCTGGTCTATTATTCACCTGGCACTGGGAGCACTGAAAAAGGAGATATCTCTGAGGGGTATCATGTTTCTTGAAATACTATAGCATCTTTTCCCCTGACCCTGAAGTCTGCCAGCACCAACCAGACATCTGTGTATCTCTATGCCAGCAGTTCATCCATAGCACTGCATAGCCATATCCTCTCCACACAAAAAAAGGTGCATACCAAAGAGGAAAAGCCTGCCCTCAAAATTCCTCACCCCGAATAAGAGAAGTTTCCTCACAAGTATTGACAAAAAGAGCCAAACTCTGTAAAATATTTGAAGAGATTTATTCTGAGCCAAACATGAGTGAGTGTGGCCAGAGGCAGAGGCTCAAGAGGGCGTAAGAACATGTGTCCAAGGTGCTCAGGCTACAGCTTGGTTTTTTGGAGACATCAGACATCAGTCAATACATGTAAGCTGTACATTGTTTCAATTTGGAAAGGTGGGACAACTCAAAGAGGGGGCTTCCAGGTCATAGGTGGATTCAGAGATTTTTCAGGCTGGCAGTTGGTTGAAAGAGTTAAGTTATCATCTAAAGATTTGAAATCAATATAAAGGAGTGTCTGAGTTGTGGGGACAAAGGTTCTTATTATGCAGATGAAGCCTCCAGGGAGCAGGCTTCAGAGAGAAGAGATTGTGTTTCTTAATCAGACTTTTAAAAGGTGCCAGACTCATAATTCTCTCCTGGATCAGGGGAAAAAACCTGAAAAGGAAAGAATTATCTACAGAATGCAGATTTTCCTCATGATAGACAGCTTTGTAGGGCCATTTAAAAATATGTCAAAAAATATACTTTGGGGTAAAATATTTTGATTTTTTTCAGGGCCTGCTGTGAGTCATGTTGGTGTCTTATTGCTACAAAAGGTCTGTTTTGTCACTTGTAAGGTCTCCATTCTAATGTTAATGCTGGTTGGTTGTGCCTGAATTCTAAAGTGAAGAGGGTATAATGAGGCATGTCTGACCCCACTTCCCACTAAGACCTGAACTGGTTTTTCAGGTTAACTTTGGAATGCTCTTGGCCAAGAGAAGGGGTCCACACAGTTGGTTGTGGGGCTTGGGATTTTATTTTTGGTTTACACAAGATTATACCAAAGCCCTTCCCTAAATTTGATATGCCCTGCTTCCCTCTTTCCATTTTTGTCCTTCTAGGACATCTTTTTGGTTGTTATTAAACCCTTAGTTTCTTGTCAATATCCCACTAGACTACAGGGCATCAACATGATATGAACACTTATCTTGGTTTATTTGTGATACTATAGCAAAATGACTGAGATTGGATAATTTGTAAACATAAATTTGTCACAATTCTGTAGGCTCGGAAGCCCAAGAACAAAGCACCTCAGTTCAATGTCTGGTGAGGGCCTTGGTCTCTGCTTCCAAGACGGCACCTTGAGTACTATGTCATCACACGAGAAAAGTGCCTAAGCTAGTTCCCCAGCCCTTTTATGAGTCACTAATTCATTCATGAGAGCAGAACCCTCATGACCTAATCACTTCTCACCTCTTAATACTGCCACAATGGGGATTACATTTCAAAATGAATTTTAGAAGAAACACATTCAAACCACAGCACATTTCTAGACAAACTTTCAGACACAGATATAGGGAAATTTTAATGAAATTGAATTTTACCAAGTAAAGACAAATAACCCAGATTTGCAAATACCCTTCAAAGATTCTTCAAAGCGATCTCAATGGTTAATCGTGTTGTTTAGGAAAATAAGAACAGTGGCAGCAAGACCTCCTCAGTGGTACAATGGCCTCAGCAGCAGTAAAAGAGGGTAGTAAACATTATGCAGACTTTGTGTGGGCTCAGGATCACCCACAGAGAAGAAGGTTATTTGCATGTATGTGTGTAACTGTGTGTGTTTAAGAGAAATGAACTATGTTTATTTACAGGGATTATTGAGGAGCAGAACCTCAGTTGGGTAGATGCAGGTATAACTTTTAAGATCAATATCCATGTCTTTGAATAGATAGGCTAGAGATACAGATTTACTGAGTAGTTCCCCAAAGATGCATGTTGGGTGATAACCACCTATACTAGTTTTCCAATTACTGCAAATTCAGCAGGTTAAAGTAACAATTGTCTTATCTCATAGTCCTGTATGTCTGAAGTCCAAGAAAAGTGGCTGGATTTTTCTCAGGGTCTCATAAGGCGGAAATCAAGGGGTCAGCTGTCTGCATTCTCATCAGGAGACTGGCTCCTCCTCCCAGATGATTCCTAGTATTGGTAGAATTTGGTTCCTTGTGACAGCAGGTCTAGGGTCTTCATTTTTTATTGGCTGTCACAGACAGCCAATGAGATTGGTCATTAGCTCCTTGCAGTTTCTTTCTGGTCCTCTTGATCTTCAAATGCACATCAAATCTGTCTCATGTTTAAAATCCCTCTGATACCCACTTCTGCTTCAAGACAGAAAACTCTGCATTTAAAGGGCTCTGGTGATTAGATTAGGCCAACCTGAATAGTATTTATTTTGTCAAATAATGTAACATAATCGCTGGGGTGACATCTCATTTTTAGGTTCCACTCATGCTCAAAGTGAAGGACATTATACATGGGCATGAGTCATTGGAGGTCATTCTTGGAATTCTGCCTATCATATCAATGGAGGTCAAATGCCAGGAAAGTCAAGAATAGAAATTCAGAGAGCATACAATCAAATACATTAAATTAGAATTCAAAACTATTCAAGAGATGGTTCAGAGTTTTGGCCATGCAGTGCATCAAATTTTCTTACTACTGCTTAATCAAGGACATAGTGCAGAAGTAGAATGAATTGGTCTTTATTAAAATGGAACAAAGACCAGGTCGAGGAAGGAAAGGCAAAAAGGTAGAATAGATTTGGCTCTTACTGGAAGAACACTGGAGATTCAAGACGAGAAACAGGATTGTTTTAGTCCCTGAGTTAACAAAAGAGAAGAAAGATGAAACCAGAACAGTTGCCAATGAAGGAGCAGTGAAGTGGAAAGGCAGAATGGAGTGAGTGTGGAGAGCACTTTTCTGAAGAGAATAAACTTAGTTATCAGATGAAAAGAGATATATAATTAGCTTTGTCCTTATAAATTTTGAGGTAACTTACTATGGAAATACTTTTTCTTATCAGTTAATTAATTTGGGGGGAGGTAGCACAATCCTTTGAAATTCCAATAAGTAGAAAACTACTTATTGGAATTTCAATGACCTCAAGATGAAGCCTTGAAAAAGAAATGTCTGTTAGAATCCAGTTAACAGGAGAACACCTACTGTGACTATTATCAGCAAGTTGGTGAAAACTTCCTGAAGAAGAAATGTGGGATGATACAGAAACTAACTAAAGTCTCGGAACAGCAAATAGTTTCTCCTCTTGTGAATTAATTCACCTTCCACAATTAAGCAGAGATAACTCAGGGTACCTCAAATACTTATGAGCTTCACAGAAATGAATTGCTACCAAATTCCATTGATGGAGGAAGATAAGAAAATGATCAAAGAAAATGTACCTTCAGAGAAGAAGAATTGTTGAGAAGGTAGCAGTCCTTTCTCCTTTCTCTTTCCATGAGGTAGTTGCTATTCATTACTTTATGATGGGGACTGGGAACACAAGAATCACCACTCATGGATTAATGAATTCAAGATCTATACTTTCCATTTTGATTCCAAATTTGAACTTAAATTTATTCAGGACACCAACTGAACACTTCTACCTAAAGGTAAAACTCATATCATATTTCCCTCCCAAGATGCATTTCCTCTGAGTTCCTGACTTGACAGAGTCATTTGTTTGTACAATATATGAACACTGAGAGTCATGCCACATTTCTTTCTCTTTTGCCCTGGACATCCAATTTTTATGCAAGCACTTTCATTTCTAATTCCTAAATATCTTAGTTCTTTGTTTGCTATCTCAATCACTGCAACCACTGACATGTTTATGCCCATTTTACTAGCTTACCAAATAAATATAAAAGGTCTCATTAATCTCTCTAGTTCCTTATTAATCCTCATTTCATCTAATCTAGTATTATTAGTATACCCAAGTATAATCTTCCAAATTGCAAAGATCTGTTTCTATCACTCTTTCTGCAGCATCCTTCAGTGGCTCCCCCATGGTCTACAATATATACAATCTAAGTTTATTAAAATGAAAAAAATTATGACTATCCCTTTAATATTTTGAAAAAAGGAAAATTAGTCCTTTACCAGAAAAAAATAGCACTGTATTATAATGTCAAGTTCACACTAGAGTCTAGGATGGTATCAAAGAGCTCTATATTTTTCTTCTTGAGTCACTTTGATATCCTCCCACAGTAAGACCACTATAGTTGGTGTATTAGTCTGTTCTCACACTGCTATGAAGAAATACCCAAGACTGTGTAATTTATAAAGCAAAGAGGGTTAATTGATTCACAGTTCCACATTGCTGGGGAGGCATCAGAAAACTTACAATCATGGTGGAGGGCAAAAGAAGCAGACACCTTCTTCACAGGGTGGCAGGATGGAGTGAGTGCCAGCAGGGGAAATGCCAGATGCTTATAAAACCTTCAGATCTCGTGAGACTCACTCATTATCATGAGAACAGCATGGAGGAAACTGGTCCCACGATTTAATTACCTACACCTGGTGCCACACTTGACACCTGTGGATTATGGAGATTATAATTCAAGGTAAAATTTAGATGGGGACACAGAGCCAAACCATATCAGTTGGGTACTGAGGAGGACATACTGTATTAATCATGCCTTCTTATTGTCTGTATTTTCTAATGTTTTGACATCCATATTTTCTGATGTTTTGACATCTGAGGACTTGCTGATCTTGGAGGGACTGACCCTCTCAGTGTTAACTCATTCCTAGGGATAGCAAACTACTTTCCCTAGAGCATGCCTTTCATACCAAATCAACCAATCCAAAGCCTCTACTCCAAACCACCTCCTTTATTGGGCTCTCATACTCTAAGCCCCTATTCTCCTACCCTAATTACCACAGGGCCAGGTACTAAACAACTTGAGATAATCCCTACACTTTGGAGCCTGCTCAAATTTTTAAACTAGCCCATGCTAAGCCTACTTAGCCTGTGTACCCTGCCTCCCTCATTCGTTCAGTGAAAACCACAATAAAGGTTCTTGCCAATGTTTCCTGTCACTCCTTCTATCTTCTGACCCACTGTTGTGATTCTTATTGCTATGATATTTTTTCTAACTTGGTCTTGAGGTCTCTCTTTTTAGACTAGCCATAAACCAATATAGCCATTCTCTAGGAGACCTCTGACTCAGGGGAGGGGGAGTTAAATTCAGGTGTGAGTGTCAGGTGAGACACAGTGGAGCAAGTGAAAACAAAATGCATGAAAGGAAGAAATTTATTACTCACAGAACCCAAAGAGGTTAGAGAGGCCTAAGAGAAGTGTGAAGATGGCAGGAGCTCATCCAGTTTGGGAGGGAAGGGAGGGTACAGGCAAAGGCAGGAGGAGGGGGTGGGCGAGGCCAGTGGAACTATTCCTTAGGCTTTCCTATGGGGGTTATGAGTCAGCTACTTTAAAGAAAACGTTTCAGAAGGAGAAAACTTACTTGCAGGACTCTAGCATTGGCCATTAGGCTTTATCATGGTCAGCAGCTCTGGAGTGTGCTGGGTTTTGGGTCAGGGGAATGAGAAATAGACCATATAGCCGACAACCACATAGGGAGAAGTTTTAACTGGGGCAACGACGACAGGGTATGACTGGGTTTCAAATAATTTGTTTCAGGCCTTAAAAAAAATTGGGGCCAGGCACAGTGGCTCACATCTGTAATCCTAGCACTTTAGGAGGCTGAGGCAGGTGGATCAGTTTGAGGTCAGGAGTTCTAGACCAGCCTGATCAACGTGGCAAAACCCCATCTCTACTAAAAATACAAAAATCAGCTAGGCATGGTGGTGCACACCTGTAATCCCAGCTACCTGGGAAGCCAAGGCAGGACAATCACTTGAACCTGGGAGGCAGAGGTTGCAGTGACCCAAGATCATGCCACTACACTCCAGCCTGGGTGACAGAGCAAGACTCCATCTCAAGAAAAACAAACAAACAAACAAAAAACTGGGCCTGTATTGCCCTGCATAGTGTGTCATGCCCCTTTCTTCTTGGGAATCGTAGGTAACAAACTGTATTTTCAGTGGCAGCTGTCTCCTCATCCATTAGCTCTACCATACTTGAATAATAATAGCACTCATATTCTAAAACACTTGCTTCTTATGAGTAGGAAGAATGGGTCACTGCTTCAGAATCCCAGACATGTCCAGGAGGAGGTGAAAACCAAATGAGCAGATCATACCCAGCCTGATTGAAACACACACAATATAGTCAGCCCTTTGTCTCTATGTATTCACCAACTCTTCAAGTACACCTATGTATAGCATGCTGACAAACTCTGTCTTCTTCAATCTGCTAAATCATTTTCCACTTTCCTACATTGCTGTGGGCCAGGAGAGCCCTGGGTGTAGTGGAAAGTGGGGAGTGATTAAATCCATCTAGGAAGGAGATGGGTGGGTGAAAAAAAGTGTGTAACATATACAAAGGTTTCTATGATTACAAGCCTACTATGAAATCCAGTCACACCTACCACTCACAGTCCCACTTACTTTGCTCTAAGCCACACTGAACTCTATCTCCAAACATGCTGTGCATAATATTTCCCTTACACAGCACACCTGCAAATTCCTTTCAAATATAACTTAAAACAATAGCACTACATGAAATGTGCCATTTTCCCAAGAAGATTGTAGACTCTTTCCCCTGTATTCTCCATAGCTTACACAATTCTCCCTTTCTACAAATACCAAATTATCATGTTTATTGGTATAGTGATCTTACCATGGGCCTACAAAATCCATGTGGTCAAATGCCACGCCTTTCCATTATTCCTTCCCCAGAATCTTCTCCTATGCATGACATCCATGTTTAATGAATGATCAGACACAATTAATATGGGAACAGGGATGCTGACTTCTGTGTTTATGCCTCTATTCTCAGGGTCTGAAACAGCACCTGATATTTAACAGGTGTTCATTATGTGGCTGTTAAAAAAAAAAAATCAGCAATGTCTACAATGATTTGATCCTGGGTTTGCCTCTTCTCTCCTTCTTCCTCCAAAGTATATTTCTTAAATTTAACAACCCTTGCCTTCCTTTTCTGTCTAAGGGCTACTGGTAGGTAGGATAATGACTCCGAAAGGTGTCTATGTCCTAAACCTCAGAACCTGTAAATATGTTACCATACATAATAAAAGATAATTAAGTTTGTAGATAGTTTAGTGTGCTAATTAGCTAACCTTGAGGCAGGGAGATTATCCTGACTCATGCAGGTGGGCTCAGTATAAACACATAGGTACATAAAAGTGTATGGACTATGGTGAGAGTGATGTGACAACTTTACCTGCTGTTGCTGCTGAAGATAATGAAAGGGGCCACAAGTCAAGGAATGTGGGAGGCCTCTAGAAGCTAGAAGAGAAAAAAGAAAACATTCTCTCCTAGAGCCTCCAAAGAGCAAACTGCCAATGAGACCGACCCTGGACTTCCAACCAAAAGAACTGTAAGATAATAAGTTTGCGTTGTTTTAAGCCACTAATTTGCAGTAATAGGATACAGCAGTAAGAGAAAACTATTATAAGGCTCTATTTCCAAGCAGCTGAAAAAAGGCAGCTGATGAAAGAAGTTGTGCCGGGAAGTAGCCTAAGAGGCAAAAGTACAAAGGCAGGAGTTTGAATCAGACGATGCCACTTTTAAGGGTGGATTTGTCAGAGACATGTGAACCACAGCAACTCCATCTTAAATAGGAGCTGGGTAAAATAAGGTTGACACCTACTGGGCTGCATTCCCAGATGGTGAAGGCATTCTAAGTCACAGGATGAGATAGGAGGTCAGCACAAGATACGGGTCGTAAAGACCCTGCTGATGAAACAGGCTGTAGTAAAGACGCTGGCCAAAACCCACCGAAACCAAAATAGTCCCAAGAGTGACCTCTGGTCGTCCTCCCTGCTACACTCCCACCAGTGCTATGACACAAATGCCATGACATCAGGAAGTTACCCTGTATGTTCTAAAAAGGGGAAGCATGAATAATCCATCCCTTGTTTAGCATATAAAAGGATATAACCATAAAAATAGGCCACAAGCAGCCCTCAGGGCTACTCTATCTATAGAGAAGCTATTCTTTTATTCCTTTATTTTCCTAATAAACTTGCTTTCACTTTATGCTATGGACTCCCCCTGAATTCTTTCTTGCTTGAGATTCAAGAATCCTCTCTTGGGGTCTGGATAAGGAGCCTTTCCTGTAACAGCTTTCTGGTGATGATGAAGGGACTGTAGTGAGGAAACCCTGGAAAGAAAGGATAACTTTGGGTAAGTGTTGGGGTCCTGTAACATCTTCCTGGCAAACCCTGAAGGGATGATACTAAGACGACCTCCCCCCAACCCAAGGAAATAGACTGCAGCACCGATTGGACAACTTTGGGTAAGTGGTGGAGTACCTACCCAGGTAAAGAATGGGATTGGGATAGAGGCTCAACTTAGGGGAGTTAGAGTCTCTCCTAAGACAGAGAGGGTTAAAGGCCCCTCTTAATAAAAGGCAAGGACACTTGAATGACCTTGGGTTAGAGGCCCGATTTAGGAGGATTAGAATCCCTTTCCAAGATTTAGGGGGTTAGTGGCCCTTCTTAGAAAGTCTGTCTTGGTAAAGTCCTTTCGGGCTAAGAACGGGTTTTGCACTACAGGATGTTAACTGCTATTCTCTTTGGATTAATCTGCCTTCAACTCCTTGCTGACAGCTGTGTGTAACAGGATTAGGCATGTACAGGATCATGGGACATGGGGAACTATTTTCTCCCTAAAACAGAAAACTTGAGAGCTGATGGGACTGCTGGAAAAGATCCTTCACAACCATCATGCGGCCACCTGAACCGTTCAGTGTCACTGCAATGGGTGGGTCTTTCTCTGGTGTCTCCGAGTGCCTCCCCTTCCCCACCCTGCCTCAGGCAGTGCTTTCTTCTTTCTCTGTTTCTCTGTCTCTCTCTTTTTCTCCTTGCAAACTGGTTGAATTAATGGTAAAAGTAACTGTCTCCTATAAAGTTTTGATTAATGGAAGAAAGGGTTTTTGAGGCTAGACTTAAGCTGTAGCAAATCTGATGTGCTTTGTGTGTTTTTCTGTATTATTCTGTCATAAAGAGGGGTACCTTATGATAGAACACTGGCTGAGGACACTTGTAAACTGCTTTTCAAGACAGACCAGCAAACTGGTCAGTTACAAACTTTGCTGTAGGTTCCTGAGAAAAATTGGATGAGATTTTTTTCTTGTCTTGCATGTCCTTGGGAGCTTGAAGCTGTAACCATGTGGCCATGTTTTCGCTTTTCACAATGGCATCCTGTGTTCAGGGTTCTATTCCTGCCTCAGGGGATGAGTTTTTTTATATTCCTATGTGTATGTATTTACATGTATTATGTGTATGTGATGTTTATTTCTAAAAGAGCATTGATTAATGGGTTTAATGAGAGCTTAAATCAAATATTTTGTCAGAAAAGTAAAAAGTGTAGTGCCTTTTAGTTCACGTGACTTTAATTTTCCAGAAATAAGGACAGTTTTGAAGATTATTGATAAAATAAAAATATCTTCAAAAATGTAAACATTTGGCTTAAATTAGGCAGGACACATATTAAGACTGCTAAATGCTTGAAGGTCATAAACTGCTTCTTTAACTTTTGAAAAATTTTTAATTAACCTACCTTGAAGCCATTAGATTCTAGATAAGACCTGGGGACATGTGGAGTTAGCCACGCCCCCTAGCTATGCTGGAGTCAGCCTTTATCTGCACTTCTGCCTGGTGTGTCCAAGGCTAGGCTCCACACCTAGTACATAATTAAAATCCTGAATTTAGCAACTTTTCGTGAAAAACCTTGGTAAGAGTCAACATTATAACATGTAATTGATACTACTGAAGAAACAGTTTTATATGCAAATTGTGTAAAGAAAGTGAAATGCATTTTTCATTAAAATTATATATATATATATATATATATATATATATATATATATATATATATATATATATAAAGTCATGGGAATTTAGATTTTTGCCTAGATTAAAGCATTAAAGGATCGTTTCAAGTTAGGATGAAGCTGACTGTTCAAGAAAGCTGTGGAAGGCTTATGAAAAAAATAACCATAAAAGAGATTCTGTGTGCGAACATTGGCTAAAATTAAAGGGGTGTTATTCAGTTATTCTAGAAACTGAACATTGGAATAAAAGCACTATTCTACTCTTTAACAAAAACTTGTAAAGGGTTATAAAAGGTTTATAAAAACCTTACCTTATGGTCAACATGATTAAGATTGAATACATTTGTCTATAAGGTTTTACTAAGAATTGGGTTTGACATCAATAATGCATGAATACAGCAGTGACATTTGGCTTATTTAATATTACAGTCATACAAGAAGCATTATCAAATACAAAATGGCATTTGGTTTTTTTGGGCTGTATTTGTATAAATGTGTCATTGGTACATGTTCCAAAATTATTTTAAAAAAAACTTCTTTAACCCTGATATGACTTAGTGTATGCTATTAATAATTGTTAATTAAAATCATTGCATGCCACAGAGTCAACCACATTTTTCTAGTCAATTTTGGCTTTAATTGTGGCTGTTCTAAGACTTTTGGTCATCCAGACAATTGTCTCATATTAGTTCTCTGTAAAAGGTGGTTTAGAATTAAATGTAGGACTCTAGAAAACTGTGCTTTTAAATGCAGATTTTCTGATAAATTTGGACATTGTGACATCAGAACAGAGGAAAACCTTTCAGGACTCAGGGAGAGCTGAAATGTTCATGAATATCAAGCAGAACAGAAGTTAACTGCATGGACTAAACTAGCAAAAGTCTAACGTGTAAAATGTTTTCTCCCTAAAACAGAAAACTTGAGAGCTGATGGGACCGCTGGAAAAGATCCTTCACAACCATCACGTGGCCACCTGAACTGTTCAGTGTCACTGCAACGGGTGGGTCTTTCTCTGTTGTCTCCGAGTGCCTCCTCTTCCCCACCCTGCCTCAGGCAATGCTTTCCTCTTTAACTTTTTGTGTAAAATGTTGCTGATCTTTTGTTTTGTGTTTCAGAGTCAAGGAAACTTTTGAGCTATTACAGCTTTTAGCAATTGAGTAAAGTATACATGTGTGAACAAAATTGAGAGCATATTTTTTTCTCTTTACTTGATTTCTCCAGATTTTGGAAACTCATTGTGAATAGTCTCAATTTATGGCAATATAGTTATTTGCATGAGTGTAATAAGAATCTGTTGGGTTTTTGTTTTGTTTTGTTTTATTATTATTATTATTATTATTATTTTTGATAACAAGACACAATTGGAGAAACTGGTTATTTTACCAAGACTTTGATGGAATGGTATACTCTAAGGAATCAAACTTGACTTGCCAAGTCAATAAAAGCCCCTTGGGGAACTGGCCTCAGACCTTTGATACAACAGTCCATGTACATGATTTCTGACCTGTGGTAAGTAAACAATGTCACCTTCTAACAGGTCCAGGAGCCCCAAGTTATCTTGGGACCCCAAGAGGAGAGGAATTTACTCAGCTCATAGGTATTTGAGGATACAAACCCATGGTAGGGCGCGGCTTAAAAAGAGTCTTATCCAAGATTCCTTCTAAGAAACAAAGTTCCATCAAAACCAGTGTTAAAAGTCTATGTGAAAAATAATTATTCTTGCTGTACTTTATATAAATAATCAGGCCAAGTATAATAAAACAAATTGGTCTTACCATGACTTATCTTTAGTGAAAATGGAAAACAGGAGAAAGAATATTACGTTTCAAGACCTATGTTACACTTGGTATTAAATTCTAGTCTCATCAGTTGTTGTTTGTTTATGCAGTTTAGGCTAACCCTGCTTATTCCTATGAACCAACCAGTGATCTTTGCCTGCTACTCTGAAAAAACAAGGCATTTTGGTAATGTAAAAATCTGGATTTCATTCTAATTCTGGGCATGTACTGGAATTGCCTAGCCACCTCATGTCAGCTTGGTTCCAGTAGTTGCCCAGTTCATGAAGAGCCTTCTAATTTAGTTTACTTGGGATACTTTTGCTTATTTTGTTATATTGCTGTTTTACTCTTTGTGTAGGAATGCAGACTAAGCTTACTAAATGTTTTCTTAAACCGAATACTTATTAATCTTTCAGATATCACCTTTCGTCAGGACTCAAGAGTTCTGAATGGCCTTCATCATACTGAAGCTTTCTGACTGAGCTCCTCTTTACCCTGAACACAAGAGACCATAATAGTCAGGCAGAAATATCATTGCCCCTATTCAGCCTGAAGAAGTTACAGAAGATGAATCTTTGTCCTTCTACAACCTTAGGATTAAGGGTTCTTTTATAAAAGGGAAGGAGGAAATGTCTAAGACATATGAACTAGAGCAACTTCATCCTGAATAGGAGCTGAGTAAAATAAGGCTGAAACCTACTGGGCTGCATCCTCAGACAGTTAAGGCATTCTAAGTCACAGGATGAGATAAGAGGTCAGCACAAGATACAGGTCCTTAAAACCTTGCTGATAAAACAGGTTGCAGAAAGAAGCCGGCTAAAACCCACCAAAACCAATATGGCCATGGGAGTGACTGCTGGTCGTCCTCACTGCTACACTCCCACCAGCACCATAATAGTTTACAAATGCCATAGTAACATCAGGATATAACCCCATATGGCCTAAAAAGGGGAGGCTTAAATAATGCACCCCTTGCTTAGCATATAATCAAGAAATAACCATAAAAATAGGCAACCAGCAGCCCTCAGGGCTGCTCTGTCTTTGGAGTAGCCATTCTCTTATTCCTCTTTCTTAATAAACTTGCTTTCACTTTACTCAGACTCCCCATGAATTCTTTCTTGCACAAGATCCAAGAACCCTCTCTTGAAGTCTGATTGGGACTTTTTCTTGTGACAGATTCTGCCAGTTTCTGTTCTTGGCAGGTTCCATTTCTACAAATTCCTCATCTCTACAGGTTTAGGATCAGAATGTTCCAGCAGGGAGCACTACAGCTGTTTCAATCTTCAGGGAGACTACTCATCTTGGGAATAATTCCTTCCTTTGTCCTGTCAGCATAATGTGTATGGACCCTGCTAAGCAGCACCCAGTCATGAAAGTGCTGCCACCGAGGAAGGTAAGGAGGTTATGACAAAAAACACAGAACGTGACCCTTTGAACAGCAGGAGAGTAGAAACCGTTCTTGTCATCAGAAATTTCAGAGAGGAAGCTCACTCACTGTCCAGCTTCCCTCCCACACAATGGAAGCATAAAAATGGAAACCCATTTTGCACAAGAAATTAGCACGTTGCCCCTCAAGAGAATTATATCCTATGTTTGTTTCTGTAGGAGTGTCTAAACAGTTAAAACCATGTACCATTCACAAAAATCTATACATAAAACATGAATGTTTAGAAAGTGAACACATATAGAATGATATTTGTTTCAATTTAAGATGCCAACCTGGATACAAGTACACATTCAGTTTGACTAAAATTGCTGTAATAATAATCTAAAAGCAAAACTAAAGAAGGGTAGAAAAAGGAAGGTAACAGATTCCTGCCATTGATAATGGAAATCATAGCATGTAAACAAAGCCAATCCTGCTTGGGAAGTTCACCCTGAGCCTGCAAGGAATGTGGGGAGGCAGCATGGGGCGCCTGGATGTTACAGGTAGTTAGTTAGGCATGAGTGGGGCAGGAGAGGGCTCCCTTCCCCCCACCGCCCAGAATGTCAGACAATCTGGTATTGATTCAGAGATTATAACGTTGCCTCTCTAATAATAATGCATAATTCAGCAGCCTGAGATAGGGAGGTACAATCTCTTGCTGATCCACAGCTGTTAACATTAAAGTGTCAATTGAATGCAGGCACCAAGGAGAAGCAAAGAAGGTTTCCAATAAAATCTCAGGTATTGGGCAGGTGAACCCAGGTATGTGCATTGAGAGACAAAAGGGTGGAGTACGACCTTCCAGGGACACTCCAACAGAAACAGGAAGAAAGCGTCAGATGGGCATGCATACAACTTCCTAAACACACTGCGCATGCTCACTTCCGAAGTGTAAGGAGGGCACTGTGCATTCGGGCAGCCTATCCTAAGGGGAGAATAATGAGAAAGGGGCACAAGATGGCCGCCTATGAAGTCCCAGGATCAAGGTTAAATGCCGCACTTGTTCTTCAAGTCACCTGCTTGGATCTCTTCCAAGTGTTCTTTCTTTTCTTCCCTGTTCTAAAGCCTTTTTAATAAGCTTCTACTCCTGCTCTAAAACTTGTCTTGGTCTCTTTTTCTGCTCTATGACCCTCAGTGGAATTTTCTTCTGAGGAGGCAAGAACTGAGGTTGCTGCAGACCAGCAAGGATTCACTGCTGATAACTCAAGATACCTTCCACCAGTAACTTGGAGATGACACCAAGAGACAACACAGGCAAAGGAAAGTGTATTAATTCTGTTTTAGGTGTAGAAACTGGAGTGATTGGAAAATAATTCCTAAAAGAAATTGAAAAGTCAAATTGTCAAGCAGTAAGTTCACCATCACATTTACCATAAAGCATGTAGAGAAATGGAAATATTTACACATCATAGTTGAGAGTGCAGGATTTGCAGTCAGACAGTTTCTGGCACTTAGTAGCTTTAGAAAGTGACTTAAGCCCTCTAAGCCCTCAGTTTTCACATCTATAAAATGAAGTAAATAATATAAGCCTCTCAGAAGTGGGGTGAGGGTTGAATGAAACAATATGTGAGTAGTTTAACACAGAGACTGGCACTGACTTAAGAAAGTATTGTGATAAAAGCAGCAGTGGAGAAAATATTTTGAATAGCTGTATGCATGGCAATCCTTTAACCTCTTTATTCATGGCAACTCATTTAATTGCCACAACAAATATGTAAGTACTTTTATTATTTCCATTGTTATGGACTGAGTTGTGCTACCTTCTTCATTTCATATGTTGATGTCCTAAGTCCCAGTGCCCCATAATGTGACTGACTATATTTGGAGATGGGGTCTTTACATCGATAATTAAGTTAAAATTAGGTCATTAGGGTGGGCCCTAATTCAATATGACTGGTGTCCTTATCAGGAGGTTAGGACACAGACATGCAAAGAGGGAAGACCAGAAAGAAGGTATAGAAAAAAAAAAATTGTTATCTACAAGCCAAGGAGAGAGGCCTCAGAAGAAACCAACTCAACAAATTTTAAAAGATGTATTTTGGAGAACAAAACTGTTAGAATATATTTAGAACAGAAAAAAACCATTTCTTCTAGAACTAAGTTGGTCTAAAAGTGCATATCTTGGTAAGGCTCTGTGAGGAAATGACCTAATCTGGAGAGAAGCTGCTGGGACACTCGTCTGTGTGTGGCCTGTGGCTCACAGGGGCAGGTATTCTCAGAACGCACATGGGATAATCACCATCCTGGTGTGTCCAGGCTCTGGGAACAGGCTCTTCCTCGTGGCTTTCACATGAGTTTCCTGGTGGGCTATGTAGTCACTTTTCTGCATCCTTCTTTTAAAGGCTCATGAATGTCAAAGTAACACAGACCCTGAGATGAGGCAGGAAAGTTGTATCGGAATGTTTTCAGACTATCAACCAGACCAAACGTTCTGGAATCCATAAGATCCAGGGCTGGGGATAAATTTAATCTATTAATTATTCTTCTGAAGTTGGCAGCTTTGAAAAAGATGCCCTGAGTCAGCATAGTCATTCTAACCAAAAAGAAAAAAGGGAAAAAATAATCATCTTTCCCAACCCTTAAATCGTCCAGCACTAACCAGACTCTGAGACCCTCTGCAGCAGCAGCCTATCAGTGCAGCCACATCCTCTCTGAGCGGATATGACAAACCCCAGGGTTGAAGCGACCTAACCTATGAGCCGCCACACACACTCAAGATGCCCCAGACACCCTGCACTCCGATCTTACTCGTTCCTTTACTGTTTTCATCCTAATTGCCCTCTTACACATTTGACCACACATTTTTGGTCTTGGTGGTTGTATTAGTTTTCTGTTGCTACTATACAAATTGCCACCCATTTAGTGGCTTAAAACAATGCAAATGTATCACCTTACAGTTCCGTAGTTCAGAAACCAACATAGGTATCACCCAGCCAAAATCAAGGTGTCGGCAGATCTGGGTTCCTTTCTGAAGGCTCCAGGGGAGAATCGATTTTCTTACCTTATGGGTTGTTTTCCTCTATCTTCAAAGGCAGCACGTTCTGTTGCTCTGACCCTACTTGCATACTCACAGCTCCCTCTAAACACTGCCGGGAAAGGCTCTCCACGTTTAAGGACCTGCGTGATTACATTGGACCCACCTGGGTAATCCACGAACTGCTTCCTATCTCAAGGTCGGCTGATTAGCAGCCCTAATTGCACCTGCAGCTTTAATTCCCATTTGCCATCTAACTGAACATCCACAGCTGTTACGGGTTGCAGGGATTATTAGCACCTGGACATCTTTAAGGAACCATTCAGCCCTCCACTCCGATGTTCCACTAGAGGGCACTAACATATTCCTGTAATATAAACATTAAAATTCAGATAATGGTGGGAGGGAAAGTTTGATAAAATTGAATACTGTATTATCAATTTTAAAAACTTGATATATAAATATGTCTCATTGGGGTCTTTCAAAAGCTAATCATATAGTACAAGAAAATACATAAACTGGAGTGACTCTCAGAACTAAAATGGCCTGAGCGTAAGTGAAATAGAATTTGAAGTGAGGTGAGAATTCTGCAGTCTATTCCTGGGCTCAAAATCACATAGAAAAAAACAAAAAAAGGTTGCTTTATATTTAAAGGGACAAGGCATAGGTTCTCTTACAGGGGTTTTTAGGAAATGGTTCATCAGTTTAGTAGGTGTTAGCTTAATTGCTTTTATCGGGATACTGTTGCCCCGGTTGGGTGGATGAGCAGTCCCTAAAAAGAGAAGGAAGAGAGCAAAGACCGAAAAAGTATGAAGGAGAGGAAGGGATGGCATGGCGTAGAATGAAATGCTTTTTCATCAAAATGCAAAGATGAAGGAGATGTTTCAGAGTGCCCGGCCGTCTAGAGGGTTCTGTTTACTTTCCATTCCCGCTGTTAGGGACATAGGAGTCTGCCCTACATTAGGGAAATGGAATAGAATAAGTTTCTAGAATTCCTAAATATGGTGGAATTGGGTAGAAAAGATCAGAGGGAAGGTTGTAGGAAGGAAGGGTGGGAAAGTAAAACAACTGGCTCCTACTGTAAGGCTATTGGAGCCTCAGGCTAACAGCATCATTTTAGTACCTTGGTTGAGGTAGAAAAGGAAACGAGAGCAGAATAGCCTCATAGTCAAAGGAACACAGAAGGAGAAACCACATTGCTGAGGAGAGTGAATTAGCTAGTAGAGGGACAGAATATAGAATTAGCTACCTCCTAAATCTTGAATTAATCTAATATGAAAAGACATTGGGAAAAATTATAATACTCTGAAGTGTAATTATGTACCTGTTCAACTTTGAAACACCACGGAATGTTGGGAAATCCAATATCCACTAATAGTGAGCTATGTGGACGCGAGTAAATTCTGAAAGATTTTGCTATTTGGGATGTCAAGGTTTACTAAGTAACATGAAATTATTTACTTGCAGTGGGTTTTTAGAATGAAAGTTGTTTTCCCTCTCTTAAGAATACCCGAATTCACAGCTAGGATATGGAGGATTTGCCAGGAAAATGCAAACACCTGTGGCTGAAGTAGAGCCAAGCTCTCTCCCTACATTTTTTTCCAGAAAGCAGTGGTGAAGAAATAGAAAAAGAGAGAATACTCCTCTTAGATCAGAGCTAAGGTCCTGATAGCAATCACTCCTTTCTCAATGCATGGAATGGAAACTGTTAGAGCTGCACCTCTCACCATGAAGGGGTCTGGGGGCAAGGAACTCATCTCTGAGGTTTGAGAGTAGGCCTGAAAACCGGGAAGGGGGCCCCTTCTTGTCTGGAGATGATAATGATTTGGCAAAAACAATGACGGGCTCTGTGAGGCTCTACTTGTGGTAGGAAGCTTTTGGGAAGAAAGGGGTAGCCTCCTTCTATTCCACCATCCAGGAATACATTCGTTCCTACAAAGTACAAGAAGGATTCAAAGGTATACATGTGTCAAAAATCACAATGAGCACTGTAAATATATGCAATTTTTATTCATCAACTATACCTTAATTTTAAAAATTAAGAAAAGTTCAAAGGTGTTCGAGGAGGAAGGCATTCTGGGGAATCCTAGGAAAGTCACCTCAATGTAGGAAGAACATATTCAGGCAGAAAAGAGAGCAGTACCAGCAGCTGCTGGAAGATCTAAGAGAAGCTTGACACTCCTGGCCCCAAACACTGCCTGGCTACAACACGATATCCAGGGACAGATACCTTCCATGTACAGCAAGCTGTGGAGTGGCAAGAAAGCAAAGCACGTACCAAAAGCAGGCAGGAAGCAGAGCTGGCTGGTAAGGCTCTGAGGTTACTGCAGGAAGCAGGTGTTGCCTCTGCCTTTCACCAGCTTCTTCTGGAGAAGAACAGAGAAGGGGAAAAGAAGAAAGATGCTCCAGATACCATCTTTGGTGGAAACAGCTGCTAGCTCTAGCAATGATGACTAAGTCAATTTTGCTAAAGAGCAAAGAAGCTGTGTGTCTTGGATTTTAAACAGCAATAGACTAGCAAAATAATCTATGATGTGAATCTGAGATTTTACACCCTAGACTCTTTTAAAATGTAGTGACTAAAAATATATACCAGTGGATAAATGAAGTCAGGGATATACTTGAAATTTTTTCTGCCAGAGTAGAAATGACTTCAAAATATATGATAATGCAGCTTTCATGTAATCCCAGCTACTGGGGAGGCTGAGGCAGGAGTATTGCTTAAACCCGGGAAGCGGAGGTTGCAGTGAGCCAAGATCATGCCACTGCACTCCAGCCTGGGTGACAGAGTGATACTCTGTCTCAAAAAAAAAAAAAAAGATAATGCAGCTTTCAATATTATAAGCTTTATGTTCTCACACTTCTAAGTGATAATCAAATGTGTTACACCACTTTATACCCTGAGATCCAAAATACATAAATATTTGACAGTTTGTACAAGACTGTATTAATAAGAAAATGTGGCACATGTATAAAGAAAGGAATCTCACAGATTAAGGAAAATGACATTGATTACAAATGTCCTCAGCCTGAGTTGGCTGTGTTGCGTTTGTACACTTCAGCCCTCTGAGCTGAAGTGGGAGTGGTTTCTCTCCTGAAAATGTTTCTGAGGCCCAAATAGCTGAAGAGGTGGAGACGTTACAGAAACCACCTGGAGCCCCCAGAACTGGCAGACACCTGCCTGATGCTGCCATGGGCCCCCAGCTCCTTGGCTATGTGGTCCTTTGCCTTCTAGGAGCAGGTGAGTCCCAGAACACATAGGCAACTTTTGGCCTTATTTTGTAGGCCTCAGCCCAAGGCATCTCCTAAAGGCTTAAGCATTGGAGATCCCCTTCAGCGCTGCCTCTAACTCTGTCCCCTTCCTTTACAGGCCCCCTGGAAGCCCAAGTGACCCAGAACCCAAGATACCTCATCACAGTGACTGGAAAGAAGTTAACAGTGACTTGTTCTCAGAATATGAACCATGAGTATATGTCCTGGTATCGACAAGACCCAGGGCTGGGCTTAAGGCAGATCTACTATTCAATGAATGTTGAGGTGACTGATAAGGGAGATGTTCCTGAAGGGTACAAAGTCTCTCGAAAAGAGAAGAGGAATTTCCCCCTGATCCTGGAGTCGCCCAGCCCCAACCAGACCTCTCTGTACTTCTGTGCCAGCAGTTTATCCACAGTGTTGCACAGCCAGCTGCTCTCTGCACAAAAACAGAGGGTAGCTGCAAGAACAAGGAGACTCCTCCTTCAGGAGACCCCTCACCGACCAACAGGATAAACTTCCTCCATCATCCCACAGAAGCCCTTCCCCACACGCCAGCCTCAGGGACTCTGCAATGCAGCCACTCTGTGGAACCAGGGGTCCATCCTCTACCTGCTGTACCAATGAGGTTTCAAAGTTGGGCAGGACAAGCTCACTGAGTTAGGTCTAGTGCCAGGGTACACTCTCCCATCCTTTCTTCTTGTGGAGCTTAAATCTTTAAATTCAACTAAACTGTTGCCCAAACTGAAGACTCCATTTACAATCTAATGGGTCTCAACAATATTTGGTTCTGTATTCCAGGTCCTATTTATTCTGGAGGTTTTGTCACTTGGAGGAACACCATGTTTGGAGTTATTTATGAAACCCAGCACCTCCTATTTTCTTCCTCTCAGCAGATGGTCCAAATGCCCAAGCCAGAGATGCAAGACTGATCTTCACTCTCTCTCTGACTTTCTCCTTCCACACCAAATCCACTACCCTATCCTGCATTTTTCTAAGTACTAAATTCCTCACAAATTTTACTAACTTTTCTAATTTCACTGATCTCACCTGGATCACTTTAGCCACCTTCCAAGTAGCCACCCTACCTGCAAGCCTGCACCTGCTCCCACCCAAAACCACTCCCTCAAGCTTAAAACCCTTTGGTTTATTTCTATTAACTAGCTAAAGTCTCAAGTTTATGTTAGTTTGCAAGTCTCTCAGCCCCTCCATGATGTGACCTTTGCATATCCCCCACCTTTCTAACACTGACTTCCCTTATCCTTCAACTACCACAACTGCCTGCATCTACTCCAGAAACATCCCATTTCTCGCACATCCCCAAATATGTCCACTGCTGACTCACTCCTGGGTCTTTATCTACAATGGTCACTCTACCCAGAATACCATTTCTCTCTCTGGTATTCATCTGTTCTTCCAGCTGCTCTTTTTGTGCAGACTGCAGCTGGCTGTGCAGCACTGTGGATAAACTGCTGGTGCAAATGTACAGAGAGGTCTGGACTGGGCGACTCCAGGAATGGGGGAGATTCTCCTTCATAGACCAATTTAGAAGTCACTTCCTCCAAGACGATTGCCTTGAATCATTGACTGGATTATTTCTCCGCTGTGTGTTCTTCTAACAGCCTGAACAGAGCTAACACCAACACCGAGACACCACCATGAACTCACCAGCCATTGACTTCTCTGTTCTATAGCTTTTTGCCTCTTTGGAATAGGCATGTCATGGGTGCAGGTATGACGTCCTTGAACTTGGTTTGCTAGACCCTACATTAAGCCTTTTTCTGGTGGTTACACATCAGTATATTTCCTAAGTTCTCTCTTTTTAGCCACAATGTCCATGAATGCTGGTGTCACTGAAATTTCAGTTTATCAAGTTTCAGAGTCAGAATATAAAGTTCTATATTACAACCAGAATATGTTTTATGACCAATATGTGCTGAGCCAGACAAGAGGCAGGAATGAAGCTCCAACTAATCTATTTCTCAGTTGGTGCTTGGAGTACAAACAAATAGAGAGTCTCTAATAGACCTGTGTCTCTTGAGATAAGACTGAGCATTTCTTTTTTTTAATATATATATACTTTAAGTTCTATTTCTTGCAACCTCCAGACATCCAGCCCTTCATAGACACTGCCAGCCGTTAACCCGAAGCCCTGCACAGCCACTTCCTCTCTGAACAGAAAAGACTGCCACAAGGGGAGAGACGGTCTTACCTTCCTGAGCCTGCCCTTGCCAGAGGAAGCCACTGCCACCGCAGAAGCACTTAGGAGCCTTTCCCACCTCCTTGCACTGAGACTTATGGAACTCTTGAGGGCCCTAGTCTGTAAAAGTCCATCCCCGGCCTGGCGCAGTTGCTCATGCCTGTAATCCCAGCACTTTGGGAGGCTGAGGTGGGTGGATCATGAGGTCAGGAGTTCGAGACCAGCCTGGCCAACATGGTGAAACCCCATCTCTACTAAAGATACAAAAAATTAGTCAGGCATGATGGTGCACACCTATAATCCCAGCCACTTGGGAGGCTGAGGCAGGAGAATTGCTTGAACCCAGGAGATGGAGGTTGCAGTGAGCCGAGATCGCACCATTGTACTGCATCCTGGGTGACAGGATGAGACTCCGTCTCAAAAAAAAAAAAAAAAATCTATCCCCAGATCACGGTGCGCCTGTGAGACAGAGCTGTCAATGTCCTCTTTCCCTTCCTTCTCATTTGCTGTTTCAATAGGGCTTCATCAGCCTGAGTTCTTTATTAGAATTGACCTGCATCAATCCAGTGCCCCCCTCATACCACCTACTAGGGAAGGCTGCATTCTACATTACGGTCTTCAGGGATCCTCTCTGGGGCCCCACATGCTTCCCTTTTTGTTTACCTGTGTCTCGGGGCAATTTTAATCTTAGTCTTATACTTTTCATTTAAGCAGGTTAGGCTACACTATACACTTACAGATTTTGCCAGTAGAAGCTTTGAGACTTCACATCTTGTAAAATAAAAAAAAAAAATTGTACTAAAGATAACAATGTTTATGGTTGTGAAGCTTTTTTTGTAAGCAAATAGTCTGGTGAAACTGAAGTTCAAAGGTGTTTGTGTTGGGTAGCTGTGTCAGTATGCTTGATTTATGGTAAGGCCAAGTCTGTTGGATTAGATATTAGATATTCACAGTAATGTCAAAACTAAGGAATATAGTCTGAATAATTACAATAACTATTTTATATTATTGCAAACAACTTAAAAACTATTGTGACTTGATTGATTCATACTATGCATGGATACAGTTTCAAAACCTGTTTAGACCATCAGAAAGTTTTAATGAATAATGTTAGCAAAATAACCACAAGTAAAGTGTTACCGGAAAATGCAGTATAAGCATCACACTGACAGTTGTAGCTGACCCTTTTGTTTTGATCAGTGGTTCTCGATGTGTACCAAAATTACTTGGTGAGATTTCTTTTTATTGTGGGAATAACACTTAGCATGAAATCTAACCTTTAAACAAAACTAATGTGCAATATGATATTGTTAACTCTAGGTACAATGTTGCATAGCAGATTTCTAGAATGTAATTATCTTGTATAATTGAAACTTTACACCAATTGAATGGCAGCTCAGTTCTTCCTTCTCCCATTTTCCTGGCAATTATCATTCTGTTCTCTGCTTCTCTGTGTTTGACATAATGCTAAGTGAAATGAGCCAGTCACACAAGGACAAATCTTTCATTGAAGGAGTCTTTTATCACCAAAAGTATTTAGAATTCCTGGCACTTGGTGATAATAAAAGCAAAACCATTTCACTTGGGTTTTATGATTGTTTTAAAATGCTTTGCACCCTTTATCGCTTGCACCTGGGGCTGAACACACCTACCACCCCATTATTGATATACCACCATCTCCCCAACCCCATCAGGTAAACCTACACATGTGAGCACTCACATGAACCTACACATGTGGATTTGAACCAGATTCAAACCCAGGCAGCATAGTTCCAAAGCCTGCCCTATTACCCAATATGCTACTTGTAGTAATTATTAAGTATATTGTATGAGAAACTAAGACTGCTCTCAATAAAATATATGTTGAGAGTGAGGAGAGACAGACAGAGAGAGAGAGAGAGAGAGAAAATGGTAAGGTTTTCCTAATCACAGTTGGTCAGGAAAAAAATTACCTTCACTTTCAAAGACTGAGACTCACCAGAAGGACTCATGGGACTCGGCGTGTCCTTGTACTCATAGCAAAGATGTATCACAAATATGTAGTAAGAATACTATGATCACAAGGAACAAAGACATGGTGGACTTTGGAGAAATCCATGTGAGACTTCCTTATGTTCTCTTCCATGAGAGAGCACACTCTCACCCCAACAATGAAAATGCAGCAACGTGAGAACAACCTTTCTGCCCAGGGAAGCTCATTAGAGACTCAGCACCTCCAATACTTTCAGTGGCTGGTGTTAGGTGCTGAATCGTGTCATTAAACATTCATATGTTGAAATCCCAGCCTCCAGTACTAAGAATATGACTATGTTTGGAGATAAGGATTTTACAGAGGTGGTTAAGGTTAAATGAGGTCCTCACTAATATGACTGGGATCCTTATAAGAAGAAATTAGGACACAAACATGCATAGAGGGAAGACAATGTGCAGACACAGGGGGAAGCCATCTACAAGCCAAGGAGCGAGGCTCCACGAGAAACCAACCATGCTGACACCCCGATCTTGGATGTCTAGTCTCCAGATGTATGAGAAAATACATTTCTGTTGCTTAAATGACCTAGTCTGTGGTGACTTATGGCAGCCCTCGCAAAATAATTCAGCTGATCACATTGGCACCCTCTGCCTATCATGCAGCATAATTCCAGACTTGACGTAAAGCAAGTGTTCAGCCTAACCCACGTGGTTTGTGCAAGCAGTCTAGACACACTAAGCCATGCTTACCAGTTACTATAGTGGGAACACTCCCAAAATTCAAGTTCGCAGATGCAAATCAAGAGCCAACCATGCAAGCAGTCCCTTCTAAGGCCAGCAGTCTCAGGCCCGCTGTGTCAACTCTTTTCTATACGTGCACATACACACAGTGACACTTCCATGAGCACAAGGGATGTCCTTCACTCTCTAGCACCTCTAGACCCTTTCTAGTCTAGACAATGGCTGAGGGATTATGAGAGTGGGCCGGGACAATGACATCACAGACCATCAACCCACTGCCTGGTCCTGGGAGAAGACCTATTCTTTCTTCAAAGCAGCCATGGGAATCAGGCTCCTCTGTCGTGTGGCCTTTTGTTTCCTGGCTGTAGGTGAGTCCTGGGAGTTGCTGGGTCTGGGGAGTTGGTGGCAACCCCTGTCCTACTATTTTGAGGTCTTTTATACCAAGCTCTTTTCTCCTCTCCTCCTTGATGGCCTGTTTTTCACCCTTGCTTTCTGTCTCTCACAGGCCTCGTAGATGTGAAAGTAACCCAGAGCTCGAGATATCTAGTCAAAAGGACGGGAGAGAAAGTTTTTCTGGAATGTGTCCAGGATATGGACCATGAAAATATGTTCTGGTATCGACAAGACCCAGGTCTGGGGCTACGGCTGATCTATTTCTCATATGATGTTAAAATGAAAGAAAAAGGAGATATTCCTGAGGGGTACAGTGTCTCTAGAGAGAAGAAGGAGCGCTTCTCCCTGATTCTGGAGTCCGCCAGCACCAACCAGACATCTATGTACCTCTGTGCCAGCAGTTTATGCACAGCGCAGCACAGCTGCATCCTCTCTGCACAAAAAGAGCGGACGTAAGAGAGAAGGGGCCCTAACTCAGGGCTGGTGCTGGCTCCGATGGCACATTCGTGCTAAATAGAAAAAAAGCGGCCACTAAGGAGAAACTAGCTCCATAAGCACACTTCTTTGCAAGGAGAGAATGAGGTATTATTTTTCACCCCTTTACAAGTCAGGGACTGTTCTGGATTTAATTCCCCCAGTCCGATGTGTTGTAAATTCACAAGTCCCAACAAGGAGGAAAAGTCCTCTCGCATATTCACAGTGTAACCCTGTTCTACCATTTCGTTAATCAATTTTACCTTCCCTTTTCTATCCTCGTCTCTCTTAACTGTGCATTTTCTACTTTGCTTAGTGTTTTGCTCTTGGTTGACATTTCACTAGAGGACATTAACATATTCTAAATTCTTTCGATGATTTTTACTGTGCCTGTGCTGATTCAAGAGAAAGTTTGTGGAATTTGAATTTTGTTCATTCAATTTAGAAAGAGAAAAACTCTGATTAAAACAAATTCTTCCAGGTTCTCCGATCAATCATATTTTGCTGGAAAAAATTCTGATCACAGAAGGTTTAAACTCTGCTGCAGAAGGTGGTAGGAATTTGGTTATAACTGAACTCACAATCTTCTGGAAAAAGTGTGTATTTGTCTGTCTTTAAGAATAAAACATATGCTCTTCTGTCAGTAAAAATTAACAGTGCTTTGGAAATACAAATAAATGTAAAGGGTATTAGAAATCCCAAACTGCAGAGCACTTGCACAATTATTATTGGCAAGACAAAACAGGCATCTGAAAACGTATTTTGATTCAGTGCTAAATTTTTGTGTGGAAGAAGTCAGAGAAAAAAATTGAATGAATGTGTATCACAATATTCAAGATTAAGTTTGTGTGAGATAGGACTTGAGCTGATTTTGAATACAAGTAAATGAGGGAAGAGAAACCATCAAAAGGAAGAAATACCCTGCAAATGTTTCTGTGAGAGAGTCTACCAGAAGGAAGAGGAAGATTCTTTCCCTGAGGAAAGACAGGAATCACAATTCTCCTGGCTGAGGTCAACATCCAGAACAGAGAAAGCACATCTTCCCAGAATATCATTAAAATCCTTTCCCTTTTGCGCCGAGAATACATGCTAGCGGTGCTTGCGGCTGCAGCGTTTCCCCTGAGATAACACACAAGGTTTGATACAAGAAATTCTTTCTCCACCTTCTAAACATTACAGTGCTTAACTCCTACATCCTGTTCAAGAAGGAGAATTCTGAGCACACGGTTTGCCATAGAAACTTCAGACTGACATTGATTAAAAGGATGCTGAAAAAGCATCGTGAGCCAGGGCAGCAACGTCTCTGGGGTCGTCCACGCTCTGATGATGTCACACCTCTTGGCCCACCTGGAAGACATTTTCCCAACAGCATTACCACCATCAAAGAAACAAAACCCAACTGGTCACTGCACTTTTGCTGCTCACACAATGACGAGGATGGCAAGATCTATAGAGAACGGCAATATTTTTGTGCGGAATGTGATGTTTCACTTTCTGTTGTTCCGTGCTTTGAAATTTTCCCACACGAAAAAATTATCTAATAGTGATTATTATATACATTTCTGTGATGTTAGGATTAGAGGCCAGTTCTGTTTAGAAATAATTCCAAGAACAGTTTTTATATTTTATTTTCATGTTGATAATCAGTCAAATTTGCTTCAGCCTCAAAGAGCATGTTTATGTCAAATTAAATGAATGCTGGCAGCGAGCTGCACTTTTTTTACTAAACAGGAAAAGGGTTAAATAACAGAACACTGTATCTACAGATTTTCATATTCAGTGAAACTTCAGGTTTTCTGAGAGTCCTACATTTTCCCACAGATTATTTATTTCTTATAGCAAGTATTGCCCAGACTCAGAAGATCAACTGCAAGAGATGGGAACAGGTACCAGCACTTTGCGTCCATTCCCAGGGCTATGTGGGACCATTTCCAACACAGGGGTCATCACCTCAATTGAGTCCCTGGTAGAAAGAGTGCTATGCCAGACTCAGCTTCCCTTCTGGCATGGTTACCACCTGCTCCCTCCAACACAGCCTCACCTTGCTAAGAAAATGCAGCCCAGGGAGAGAGGAAGAACACATAAAAAAATGAAAATGAAAATAGGCAGAGATGGAGTATCAAACATCAAAGTGAGTAACAGAAGACATCTAAAGAGGTCAAAAGGATTGTAGATTGGGATAGGAGGTTTGAATTTAGAAAAAAAATGAAAAAGTGTTCACGGGGGAGTTCACAGTTTACAGAATAGACTTTTTTTTTCTTCTTCTTTTGAAATGGAGTCTCGCTCTGTTGCTGAGGCTGGAGTGCAGTGGCACAATCTTGGCTAATTGCAACCTACACCTCCCAGGTTCAAGTGATTCTCCTGCCTCAGCCTCCCGAATAGCTGGGATTACAGGCGCACGCCACCATGCCTGGCTAATTTTTGTTATTTTTAGCAGAAATGAGTTTTCATTATGTTGGTCAGGCCGGTCTCGAACGCCTGACCTCTTGATCTGCCCACCTTGGCCTCACAAAGTGCTGGGATTACAGGTATAAGCTACCACGCCTGACCCACATAATAGACTTTTAAAGGCACATAATAGATCATGGATGTTTACCATGAGGGTACAGAGAATAATTCAGAAAATGTAAACCATTATTTCACTAAACATACATAAACATACATCACATTAGGAGACCAACAAATTCACAGAACATAAAAATTGATACTCTAAATCTCCAAGTAAGCAATGTTTGTTTATCTATTTATTTATTTATTTATTTATTTTGTTTTACTTTAAGTTCAGGGATAGATGTGCAGAATGTGCAGGTTTGTTACATAGGTATACATGTGCCATGGTGGTTTGCTGCATCTATCAACCTGTCATCTAGGTTTTAAGCCCTATAAGCATTAGCTGTTTGTCCTGATGCTCTCCCTCCCCTCGCCCCCGACCCCCAACAGGCCCTAGTGTGTGTTGTTTCCCTCCCTGTGTCCACATGTTATCACTGTTAAACTCCCATTTATGAGTGAGAACATGCGGTATTTGGTTTTCTGCTCCCATGTTAGTTTGCTGAGGATAATGGCTTCCAGCTTCATCCATGTCCCTGGAAAGGACATGATCTCATTCCTTTTTATGGCTGCATAGTATTCCATGGGGTATACATGCCACATTTTCTTCATCCAGTCTATCATTGATAGGCATTTGGGTTGGTTCTATGTCTTTTAAGCAATGTTTTAAATTATGTGATTTGGGAAAATATAACAAAATAAATTATTTTTTGTTGAATGGGAGTATTAACAGGGCTCTTTGATGGGACATGGCTGGGAAGATGTCTGGCCTCTTCCTGCAGGGAACAAGGAAAATTTAGAGAAGGAGGCAATTTTTTTTTCTCTAGAGTCCACTGAGATATCACAGGTAGTTTATACATATAAAATACAGCAGCCCTGACATACAGATATTATTTTCTCCTAATTAAAAATAAATTTAAATAAGTGAAGTGTAATTAAACCTAAATTTAAATGACTTGCCTATAACCTCACAGCTGAAAAGTTAGTGGAAAGGCATGTTTCTATATTGTTTTTTAAATAATAAGATAATTGAATCCAAGATAGGTATATTTCCATCTTCAGCTGAATGGGTCCCAAGACCAACCATTAGGTGAAAGACGTAATCCACACAGCCAGGGAATTCTACCTTCTACCTTTGTAACAGCAAGATAGCCATAGCACCAAAGACATTTTTAATGTCTTAGCACAAGCTTCTAACACCTCCATTTTGAAGTAGAAGGATGAAGGCTTGAGAGCAGAAACTGGATCTTGTTAGTGATGGACAAGTGGACATAGTCATATTAATTGTGCGTTTTACAAGATTCTTTGATAATCACTATTAAACCAGCTGTAGATACACTGTATCATCATTTATCTCCCATGTCACCATCATATCATAAGATTAACATTGATGACTTTGAAAATTTGCTGCTAAAATTAAATTATCTCAATTTTCCAGTATCCTCCTAACTGACCTAGCCAATTTTGTATGGCTTGAAAAATTGGGAAGTCTTCTCATCTGTGCTAGATCTTCTTCAATTAATTTCAATTCATTAAAACAGAAATAGCAAGAAACTAAGAGTCAATGGGGTTTCTTCATCCCATCATTCCCTATAAAGGGCAGTGACAAGCACCTAGATGTAACATAGATTTCTTCTGCCCTCTGTTGAGGGCATCAGAACTGGCTCAGTTCACTCAGACATCGGTGGCAGAAAGTTGAGGGAGATTTCCTTTATGCTTAAGCCTTCAGTAGAATAAACTGGTACCTGTTCTATCCAATGGATGCTGTCTTATTTAACTTGGGACACTGAAGGGGTACTATTCACTAATGAAAACATTAAAAAGCAGACCATAAGATATTTTAAAGAAAGAGAAAACATAATGAAGGATGTATAATCATTACATAGTGTATCAGTCTGTTTTCACACTGATGATAAAGACATACCCGAGACTGGGAAGAAAAAGAGGTTTAATTGGACCTAAGAGTTCCACATGGCTGGGGAGGGTTCAGAATCATGGCAGGAGGTGAAAGGCACTTCTTACATGGTGGCAGCAAGAGAAAAATCAGAAAGAAGCAAAAGCAGAAACCCCTGAGAAACCCATCATATCTCGCGAGACTTATTCACTATCATGAGAATAGCTCAGGAAAGACTGGCCCCCATGATTCAATTACCTCCCCCTGGGTCCCTCCCACAACACATGGAATTCTGGGAGATACAATTCAAGTAGAGATTTGGGTGGATACACAGCCAAACCATATCCTTCTGCCTCAGTCCCCTCCAAATCTGATGTCCTCACATTTCAAAACCAATCATGCCTTCCCAACAGTCCCCCAAAGTCTTAATTCGTTTCAGCAATTACCCAAAAGTCCACAGTCCAAAGTCTCATCTGAGACAAGGCAAATCCCTTCCACCTATGAGCCTGCAAAATAAGCTAGTTACTTCCTAGACACAATGGGGATACAGGGATTAGATAAATACAGCCATTCCAAATGGGAGAAATTGGCCAAAACAAAGGGGTTACAAGTCCCCATGAAAGTCTGAAATCCAGTGGGGCAGCCAAATTTTGAAGCTCCAAAACGATCTCCTTTGACTCCAGGTCTGACATCCAGGTCATGCTGGGGCAAGGGGTGGGTTCCCATGGTCTTGGGCAGCTCCACTCCTGTGGCTTTGCAGAGTACAGTCTCCCTCCCGGCTGCTTTCACAGGCTGGCATTGAGTGCATGTGGCTTTTCCAAGTACACAGCACAAGTTGTTGGTGGATCTACCATTCTGGGGTCTGGAGGACGGTGGCCCTCTTCTCACAGCTCCACTAGGCCGTACCCAGGTAGGGAATTTGTGTGGGGGCTCCAAACCCACATTTCCCTTCTGTGCTGCCCTAGCAGAGGTTCTCCATGAGAGCCCCACCCCTGCAGCAAATTTTGCCTGGGCATCCAGGCCTTCTCATACATCTTCTAAAATCTAGGTGGAGGTTCCCAAACCTCAATTCTTGACTTCTGTGCACCTACAGGCTCAACACCACATAAAAGGTGCCAAGGCCTCCACCCTCTGAAGACACAACCTGAGCTCTATGTTGGCCCCTTTCATCTATGGCTGGAGTGGCTGGGACACAGGACACCAAGTCCCTAGGCTGCACATGGCATGGGGACCCTGGGCCTGGCCCATTAAACCAGTTTTTCATCCTGGACCTCCAGGCCTGTAATGGGAGGGGCTGCCATGAAGGTCTCTGACACGGCCTGGAGACATTTTCCCATGGTTTTGGGGATTAACATTAGGCTTCTTGTGCAAATTTCTACAGCTGTCTTGAATTTCTCCTCAGAAAATGGTTTTTTTTCCACTGCATTGTCAGGCTACGAATTTTATAAACTTTTATGTTCTGTTTCCTTTTTAAAATGGAATGCTTTTAATAGCACCCGAGTCACCTTTTGAACACTTTGCTGCTTAGAAATTTCTTCTGCCAGATACGCTAAATCATCTCTCTCAAGTTCAAAGTTCCATAAATCTCTAGGGTGGGGAGAAAATGCCATCTGTCTCTTTTCTAAAACATAACAAGAGTCACCTTTGCTCCAGTTCCCAACAATTTCCTCATCTCCATCTGAAACCACCTCAGCCTGGACCTTATTGTTCATATCACTATCAGCATTTTTGTCAAAGGCATTCAACAAGTCTCTAGGAAGTTCCAAGCTTTCCCACATTTTCCTGTCTTCTTCTGAGTCCTCCAAACTGTTCCAATCTCTGCCTGTTACCCACTTGCAAAGTTGCTTTCACATTTTCGGGTATCTTTTCAGCAACACCCCACTCTACTGATACCAATTTTCTGTATTAGTCCATTTTCATGCTGCTGATAAAGACATACCTGTGACTGGGAAGAAAAAGTTTAATTGGACTTACAGTTCCACAGGGCTGCGGAGGCCTCAGAATCATGGCGGGAGGCAAAAGGCACTTCTTACATGGTGGTGGCAAGAGAAAAAAGAGAAAGAAGCAAAAGTGGAAACCCCTGATAAAACCATCGGATCTTATGAGACTTACTATCATAGGAATAGCACAGGAAAGACCGGCCCCCATGATTCAATTACCTCCCTGTGGGTCCCTCCCACAGTGCATGGGAATTCTAGGAGATACAATTCAAACAGAGATTTGGATGGGGACACAGCTAAACCATATCACATAGTATATATTGAAAATGTATTGTCAAGTATCTTGGATGAGATACACATTGCCAGATACCATACAGTTACCTGCCTAAGAAAATAAGCCAATAATTATAGTCTATTAATGGTAACATTAGACAGACAAATGCTTACATGGTAATGCCAGAGCCCATGGTTTGAGATGCTCTGACATGTGATGGGTCTCATACATCACTTTCTTGTCTAAAAATAGTAGCTAAGTGTTCTGAAACCTTGCCCTCAATGAACTCATATTTCTTAATTATTGCCATTCTGCTTTACAAATGCTCAAAAATCTGCATATTTAATATTCAGTTATGAATATATTTTATGCATGTGTAGGGTGGCAGGATAAGAAGAGGGATGATGTTAAATTTACTAACTTATAATTTCTAGGTGTAGAACTATTGCTTGCCCATATCTGAATATTAAAGCTATATTTGTCCTTCTTTGAATTTTGATTATACTGTCTCTTCCATTTTATTTATTAAAAATTATGACCAGAGAGAGTGTGTGTAGTTGATACCCAAAGCAGAAAATCAAGTTATAGATGACTAGTTTATAAATTAAACAGAAATCCCTTACTCTCACCCTTCACAGACCATCTAAGCAATACATCAAATGCTAGTAGCCAACATTCTTCTTTTTGACAGGAAACTAGAAGTTTATTCTAAGAAACTAAATAAGAAGATCTCAAGCCTTGGAATTACATGGCATATCAAGAGTGATATGAGATGCAGGGCTAAAGACAAAGAGAATAATTGATATATAAATATATAGTCTCATATAGTCAATTATCCAGTTTCTCTTGTTGAGAACTGTTAATGATATGAGATTTTACCATACTTGCAAGCTAAGAGCTTGACAACATTCCATGGATGCTAGCAGAAGACAAGAGACTGCTGGATTACAGACAAAGTATTTTTAATACTCTCAACACAGCAGGCAGCATGAGCTTCATATGTCTATAAGTGACCTGTGCCTGCCCCTCTGCCCAGTTCCCCAACAGTGACACAGAGCAGTTTCTGGATGCTGTGGCTTTTCCCAAACCTCATCAATCTTTGTCTCATGGGGGTACATTGTGTTTATTATCCTGGATAGCAAACAGATCCAGAGGGAGATGTTGTCTCTGTCTTCCAGGTTGATTGCTATACAAACATTCTTGACAAGATAGTCCAAATGAAAAGTTGATATAAGTTGTGCAGAAATGTCAGAGACCCATGAAGAATTAACTCTCAACACCTCTCCACTGCCTTTGGCACAGAACAAGTAGGTAACTATACCCACAGTAGCATAATAATATATTTTTATTTGAAGAAATTGAGCAGCCCCTGAAAAGAGACTTACAAATACTGATATTTCAGTGTCCCTTACGAAACAACCAGTTCCCCGCCAAATCTCTTCAAGTAAAATCTCCTAGCAAACAAGTACCATCCATATTACCAGGCTTTCAGTCAGGTTTTTAGTGCTTTACTCTTAAAAATCAATATACAATCAAAGATCACTAGTATACAAAGTTTCTAACATAGATAGAAAGGAAAAGGATACAGACATTAAAAGAAAGAAGAGAAAAAGAAAATAAAAAACAAGAAACAGAAAAAGGAAATGAAATTAAATAAATAGTGGGAACAAAGAAAATTGACTCAAGCATATAAAATAAAGAAAAAAAGTGGACTTCTAAGTAGTAATCATGTAAATTCTTGTTTCTATCCCAGACAGATATAAGAAACACATCGTCCTTAAAACAGAATAAGATAAAGGGGAGAAACTTTAAGAAAGTCAAAATAAATTTTTAAAATAAGAGTCAAAAGAAAACTCGATATAACATCCCAGAAAATAGAACAAAAAGTTCAAGAAGTTAAATAACAGAAAACATGAAAGAAAATATAAGTGACTTGAAGGGTGAACAAAGGAGAGTCAACTGTCCAAGAGAAACTCCAGAAAAAAGAAAAAAAAAATTTTTAATTATCAGAGAAATTATACCCTAAAAATTAGTTCCCAGAAATGAAAAAAAATTAGCCTCCATATTTTAAAATGCCTGCTGTTGGCTAATTAATGTCAGACAACTGAAATGAAGGCATATCTTCATGATTTCAGAACACTGGGGATTAAATGATTCTAAACCACAAAAAGACAAAGAAAATGTTAAAAATCAAAATTATACTTAGAGAAAAGTGATAAATAAATGCAAAAGTGGAATGACATCACATTTCTACACAGCAACGCTGAATTCCAGAAAAAAAGGTGCAAGAAATATCAATAAAATTCTGATAGAAAATCATTTTAATCTTAGATTTCTCTACTAACCCAATATATCAATAAAATGCAAATAAAAAGACATTTTTAATAATGTTAGGATCCAAAACATTTACCTCCATCTCAAGCTTTCTTAGGAAATTACTGGCTAGTATGTCTCAGCAAACTGAGAAAACAAACCAAAAAGAAAAAAAAAATGGGGTCCAGGAAATAGAAATTCTCATTCAGAATAATAAGAAAGAAAAGTGCCAGGATAAAAGCTGGGCAGTGGAACTAATTAGCAACTAGCCCAGACTAAAGCAGAGGGACTCCAGGGTTGCATTTTCAAATAGTGCCAAAACGTAGACTATGGATCTATTAAATGATACATCTGAGTAACTCATCCACAATTTTGTAGTATCAGTTTGCATGGCCTGTCAAAAATCCAGATCCATCCTGGAGAAGGTGATCCCATTAAAAAGAATCCAGATTATTCAGCAATATCAAATATAGGTAGAAACCAAAAGACAAAAATCTGCTGATTTTTCAAACCATTAAAAAGATTGATGCAGTTCTGGTAATGGCATCATAATTCTTATAAGACCCACGCTCCCACAAATAACAAATATAAACTCAGGACGAACATTTTTAAAGCCTATCTTAAGGGACAGCAAAGCAACCAATAGCCAGTAGAAACTACAGGGAAGTCAACACTTGGATGACAGGTAAGTTTTCTGTTTTTGTAGCTTTTTGCTGGAAAGTAGTTCCCAGTCAAATAGAAACCCATTAAAAAGCCAGCTGTAGAGTTAGGAAAGACATCCAAGAAGGGAAAGTCCAAAAAAGAACAACCCAATGTTCTCCATACAAACTCTGTTTGAATCTCTGGTTGATGCCTAAACTATGCATGTGAGAGGAATACTGGAATCAGCAGTGTTAAACCTAACATAACTGGATAGAGATTTCAGCTGTTGCCGGCTATAGGAAACAGAATTTGAAGTATAAATCCAACCAAGTTAAATGCCTGTTAAAACAAAAATCCAACCATCGTTAGAAGGATAAAACAAAATCTAGATATATTGTTGACAATGTCCAAGATACAACGCAAAAATTACCAGGCATATGAAGAAAAGAAATCACATGACCTAATTTGAATGAAGAGGCCATTAGTGGATACAAACTTTGAGTTTACCTGGATGCTGGAATTACTAGACTGAAATTTAAAGTAGCTATTATAATCATGTTTAAGGATATAAAAGAAAATGTTCTTATAATGAATAAAATAGGAACGTTTATAACAATAATGAAACCTATTAAAAATAAATGAAAAATTTAAAATTTAAACTGCAATATTTGAAAATTAAATAAAATCTCACTAAACGAAATCTCTAGCAGATTAGAGATGACGGAAGAAAGATTCAGAAACTTGATGTTATATCCATAGAAATTACAAAATCTAGAAAACAGGAGAAAAAATATGAAAAAATAGCCTCAGTGATCTTTAGAAAAATATCAAAAGGTACAAAATGTGTGAAATTGGAGTAAAAGTGAAAGAAGAGGAGATATAAAAAAGCATGGATAAAAAACAATATTTTTTTAAAAAAGCCTAATTAAAAAGTATATTGAAAGACATAAAAAGAATTTCAGAAAAATAATTTGTAGAACACCTACCTAGGCACATCACAGTCAAATTGTCCAAAACTAGAAAAGAAGACAAAATCTTCAAACAGCCAGAGAAAAATCATACATACCAGGAACAATGACATGAATAATGATAATTTTTCATTTTAAAAAAGTGAATACCAGAAGAGAAGGGAACTGTAGCTTTAAAGTGCTACAAGAAATATAAAAAGTCAACCCAGAATTTGATATAAAATATTCAGCTAAAAATTAAAATACTACAGTAAAGTTATCTGAATATAAATAAAAATTAAAATATCCATTGACAGTAGAACTACATGATAGTAAATCGCAATGGAATTCTCTTAGGTAAAAAAGAAATAATACCAGTTGGAAGCTTGGATTGTGAGGAAGAAATGAAGAGCACAAGAAGTAGTGAAATGCAGTCAGATATATTACATATATCATATGTAAGACTAGCTAAAGTAAAAATTTCATCATTGTATTATAGGATATATAAAATATATATAATACAGAATGACACTAAAATCTAAAGGATGGAAATAGGAAAAACAGATCTATTAGATACAAATTTCTTATATTTTAAGTAAACTTCTACAATATAGTAAGTAGACAAATAGTTTTAAATGTATCATTCTTTATTTTCCAGAATAGCCCTGAAAATATTAGAGGTATAGCAAAAAGCCAACAAATAAAAATCAAAACAGAATCTAAAAATATTATTCAAATATTTAAATAGAGTCAATTCTAGGAGAAAGTTTGGTATAATATTAAAAAATCAATCAATGTAATTCATCTTGTTAACACATTTTTAAAAATCTATTTGATTATACGTACAGATAGAAAAAACTTGGTAAAATTCCAAACTCATTTATAATAAAAACACTCAGAAAATTAGGTAAAAAAGGGACTTCTTCAATCTAACAAAGGCACCTGAGAAAAACCAACACCTTATGTCACACTTAATGACAGAAATATTAAACGTCTTCCCATTTTTATTTCTTAAATATTAAACATGTTCAAGATCATAAACAAGTCAATAATGTTCACCCTTACCACTTCTATTCCATATTGTACTGATGCATAAAGACAAGAAAAATACTAAAAAGCTAGGTATCAAAAGATAAAGAAAACCTTTTTCAGAGATGAAAGGACTACTTACATGCAAATATTAAAAGAAATCTATATATTAACTACTCAAATTAGTAAGTTCATACATTAATTTATTATTACAACATATAAAAATTATATTTTGTATACTAATGATAAACAATTGGATAATTGAATTTTAAAACCTGAATTTATATTAAAAAACATAAAATATTTAAATTTAGCAAAAGACATGCAAGACTTGTGTACAGAAAACTAAAAACAGTTGCTAAAGGAAATGAAAGACAGTTTTAAAATATAGAAATAGAAATAATGTCCTGTTGCAGCCTCTGCCTCAGGAGTCCCCTGCAGCCTGGAACACCTAGCAAAAGAAATGCAGGTGCAGTGCCAGGGATTGGAGCTGGATCCCCACAAGTCCTAGAAGCAAACCTTGTGAGGGGGCCATCTGTCTCCCCGACCCACCTCAGAGCATGCCTGTGAACAAGAAAGTACGAGAGCCACACAAGCTGGGTGTTAGCCTAGCTACCGGCCGTTACTCTTAAGCGCATCTACTGGATCACAGCACAAACTACAACACTAAAATTACCGTGCTAATATATGCAGGATGTGAAACCAGGTGCAAGAATTCACCCACATATGCGGATTCTGTACAGAGCCCTGGCCCTCCGAAAGCATCCAGAAATGAAGCCAACTGACCATACTCAGCTTACACCACAGTTAAGGGAACACCAACCCTACCAGATGAGAAAGAATCAGCACAAGAACTCTGGCAATTCAAAAAAACCACAGCATCTCCTTACATCCAAATGGGTCACTAGCTCCCTAGAAATGGTTCTTAACCGGTCTGAAATGGCTGAAATGACAAACACAAAATTCAGAATCTGGATAGAAAGGAAGCTCATTGAGATTCAGAAGAAAGTTGAAACTCAATCCAAGGAATCCAAGTAACCCAGTAAAATGATCCAAGAACTGAAAGATGAAATAGCCATTTTGAGAAAGAATCAAAATAAACTTCTAGAGCTCAAAAATTTACTACAAGAATTTAATAATGCAATAAGAAGTATTAACAGCAGAATACACCAAGCTGAGGAAAGAATCTCAGAGCTTGAAGACCAGTTCTTTGAATCAACTTAGATGAAAATAAAGAAAAAAGAATTTTAAAAAATGAACAAAACTGGCCAGGCACGGTGGCTCACACCTGTAATCCCAGCCCTTTGGGAGGCCAAGGCTGGTGGATCACGAGTTCGGGAGATCGAGACCATCCTGGCTAACACGGTGAAACCCCGTCTCTATTAAGAATATAAAAAAATTAGCTGGGCATGGTGGCGGGCACCTATAGTCCCAGCTACTCAGGAGGCTGAGGCAGGAGAATGGCATGAACCTGGGAGGCGGAGCTTGCAGTGAGCCGAGATAGTGCCACTGCACTCCAGCCTGGGTGACAGAGCGAGACTCCATCTCAAAAAAAAAAAAAATAAGGAAATAAGAAATATAGGGTTATGTAAAGATACCAAATCTATGCCTCATCGGCATTCCCAAAATAGGAGAAAGAGTAAGCAATTTCAAAAATATATTTGAAAAATATATTTTTCAAAAATATAAATAATGCCTAATATAAATATAAATAATGCCCAAAATCGCCTAATCTTGCTAGAGAGGTTGAAATTCAATTCCAAGAAATACAGAGAACCCTGGCTAGTTACTATATGAGACAACTATCCCCAAGACACATAGTCATCAGATTCACCAAGGTCAAGGTAAAATAAAAAAAATTCTAAAGGCAGCTAGAGTGAAGGGTCAAGTCACATACACAGGAAACCCCATCAGGCTAGCCACAGACTTCTCAGCAGAAAACTTATAAGCCAGAAGAGATTGGGAGACTATTTTCAGCATCCTGAAAAAAATTCAACTAAAAATGTTATATCCTGCCAAACTAAGCTTCATAAATGAAGGAGAAATAAAATCCTTCTTAGACAAGCAAATCTGAGGAAATTTGTTTTAAGTAGACCATCCTTACAAAAGGTCCTTAAGGTAGTGCTAAATATGGAATCTAAAGAACCTGCTGCCATAAAACACTTGAATGCATAGCCCACAGGCACCACAAAGCAACTACGCTATCAAATTTACATAACAACCAGCTAACAACATGGGTATGAGATCAAAATCACACACATCAATACTAATCTTGAATATAAATGGGCTAAACATCTGCTTAAAAGACATTGAGTGGCAAACTAGATAAAAACACAAGACCCAGCCATCATTGCCTTCAAGAGACCCATCTCACATGTAACAACACCCACAGGCTCAAAACAAAGAGAGGGGAAAATATCTATCATGCAAATGAAAAACAAAAAAGGACAGGAGTTGCTATTCTTATATCAGATAAAACAAACATTAAACAATGAAGGGCATTACTATAATGATAAAGAGTACAATCCAACAAGAAGAACTAACAATGCTAAATATATATGCATCCAACATTAGAACACCCATATCCATAAAACAAGCTCTTCTTGGCCTATGTAAAGATTTAAACAACCAAACAATAATAGTAGGAAACTTCAACACCCTACTGACAGTGTTAGACAGATCACTGGGCAGAAAACTAACAAAGAAATGCTGGGCTTAAACTCAACATTTAACCAGTTGAAACTAATAGACAAATACAGAACACTCCACCCAAAAGGAATGCTTATACACTGTTGGTGGAAACGTAAATTAGTTCAGGCACTGAGGAAAGCAGTTGGAGATTTCTCAAATAATTTAAAACAGAGCTACCATTCCACCTAGCAATCCCATTATTGAAGATATATCCAAAGGAAACTAGATCATTATACCAAAATGCACTCATATGTTCATCACCATGCAATTCACAATAGCAAAGACATGGAATCAACCGAGGTTCCCATCAACGATGGATTGGATGAAGAAAACATATACACCATGGAATACCACACAGGCCTAAAAAAGAATGAAATCAAGTTGTTTGCAGCAACATAAATAGAGCTGAAGGCCGTAGTCCTAAGTAAATTAATGCAGGAACAGAAAACCAAATACTACATGTTCTCACTTACAAGTGGGAACTAAACATTGAGCGCACATGAACACAAACATGGGAATGATTGACACTGAGCACTACTCAAGGGGAAGAGAGAGGGAGGTTGACACGGGTTGAAAAACTACCTATTGGGTACTATGTTCACTATCTGGGTGCAGTATACCCGTGTAACAAACCTTCATATGTACCCCCTGTATCTAAAATAAAAGTGAGAATTTTAAAAAGACTAAATATGTTAAAACCAGTACTCTCTAAATTTTATCTACAGTCATTAAAATCTCAATTGTTATCTCAACTGTTTTTGTTTTCTAAGAAACTGAGAAGCTGATTCTAGAAGGTATATGAACACACAAAGAATTTATGGGAAGTCCCGCTCCTGGTTAGAAGCCTATGTATGATGTTTCAGGCCATAGATAATTAATTACAAAGGCTTTACCTGGCTGGTTTACAGGGTGTGGAGAGGCTGTTCTGCCCACCCCAGACTTGGTGCACAGCCAATGCATTGCAGTCTTTGAAGGGAGTTGCAGTCAAGGACCCCCTGGCTGGTCACGCCCTTGTGCATATTTATATTGCCAGCTCAGGATCCTTCATTCTTAGGTCTCTTTTTCTGAGGCCTATGTAGAGGTCTTCTTCAGGTGCCTCTGTCAAGGCCTCCTAATAGGAGAGGAAGAGAGAGCCTTAAAGACACTTTTCTCCACTCTGAGTACCCAGTGAGTTTCCACTTTCTCCTTGCAGGGCTCCCCAACAGTGAGACAACTCCATGTCTGTGCTAATCCAACTAACACTTGACCAGTGCCATTTCCACAGGGAAAAACAGAACAGGGGGAGTCAGTAATTTCTCTGGCTTTAGACTCTTGCTTACACTATTGAAGGAGGTAATTAAAGATTTAACTCTTTCCTTTGGGGCTTGTTGCTTTAATTGGCTCACTACCTGGATGCAATATACCCATGTAACAAACCTGCATGTGTACCCCCTGTATCTAAATAAAAGTTGAAATTTTAAAAAGAATAAATATGTTAAAATGAGTACCTAAGTCCTCAGCACTCTTTTTCAGCTATGCTGAGCTCCTGACACTCTAGAATATTCAAAACAATATTTAGAAAGAACACATTTGGAGTCCTTTCACTGTCTGACCAAGACTTACTATAAACCCACAATAATCAAAGTAATGTGGTACTGGCAAAAGGGCAGACAAATAAAAGATACACATTAAAACCACAATGAGATACCGCTAACCATCCACATACCCACTCAAGTTAAACCACCTGGCAACACCAAATGCTGGCAAAAATTTGGAGTCCCAGAACTCACATATATTGTTGATGAAAGTGGATAATAGTACAATCAATGTGGAAAATGTTCTAATAGTTTCTTATAAAACTAAACCCCTCTGATCATCTACCCCTATGAGCCAGCAATTATACTCCTAAGTATTTACTTAAGAGAAATAAAGGCATAAATCTACAAAAAAAGACTTAAACTGGAATGTTTACAGAAAGTGAATTCATCATTGCCAAAACCTGGAGATATCTTGAACGTCCATCTACAGGAGGCTGGCTAAACAAACGGTAGTATATCTATATGGTTACATATTCCACTGCCACAAAAAGGAATGAAGTACTAATACACACAACTTGAACAAATCTTAAAAATATTATTCTGGGTGAAAGAAGTAAACAAATCTTAAAACCATTATTCTGGGTGAAAGAAACTTTGCACAGAAGAGCGTATGATGTTATTCCATTTATATAAAATTCTAGAAAAGAATAATTTATAATGAAAAAATCAGAACACTAATTGCCTCTAAGGAGTTAGCAGTGGGAAAAACTAAAGGCATGAGAAAACTTTGGAGATAATGGTAATATTCTACAATTTGGTAGGTTACACAGTGTATGCATTTGTCAAAACTTGTTTAACGGTATTCAAGATTTGTGTGTGGTGCTGTATGCAAATTTTACCTGAAAAACACCTTGAACTCCAGTTAATTATACACGTGCTGAACTGCTTAGAAGTGAAGTATGCCTCCAACTGACTTTTCAATGAATTAAAAAATTAGATGGATTGATGGATGAATAGAAGGATGGATAGATGGATAGTTATGTGGTAAAGCAGTAACAGTTTTATCCAGAACCTAGGCGGTGGGTACATGCATGTTCACTGTATAATAGTTTCAGCTTCTATAGATGTTTGAAAATTCTCATAATAAAATGGAAAATAATGGCATGATTCTGTGTATTTTTTAATAAAATCAACTTTGAAATATGCTGATAAGAACCACATTGCTAATTAAAGAAGTGAAGTACAGGAAGGTTTGGGCTGTGTGTTTCTGTGTAAAAGAAGGAGGAGTCAGATTTACATAAACTTGAACAAGCAAGAACTATTATTTCTAAGAACATGTAGCAAAATAATTACAAGACTGTCTCTGGAGAAGGAACTTACCTTTTGTTCTCTGTTATAATTGAATCATTAACCAGGTGCATGTATTAATTCAATAAATAAACA